>NC_000013.11:95040857-95343888 GCF_000001405.40 Homo sapiens | reverse complement strand
ACTTTGGGAGGCCAAGGCGAGCAGATCACTTGAAGCCAGGAGTCCGGGACCAGCCTGGCCAACAGGGTGAAACCCCTTCCCTATTGAAAAAAAAAAAAAAAAAAAAGGCAGGCCGGGCACGATGGCTCGTGCCTGTAATCCCAGCACTTTGGGAGGCCAAGGCAGGCGGATCATCTGAGGTCAGGAGTTCTAGACCAGCCTGACCAACATGGCAAAACCCATCTCTACTAAAAATACAAAAATTACTCAGGTCTGGTGGTGGGCTCCTGTAATCCCAACTACTTGGGAGGCTGAGGCAGGAGAATCACTTGAACCTGGGAAGCGGAGGTTGCAGTGAGCCGAGATCACACCATTTCACTCCAGCCTGGGCGACAGAGTGAGACCCGTCTCAGAAAAAAAAAAAAAAAAAAAAAAAAGCCAGGCATGGTGGCACACGCCTGTATCCCAGCTACTCGGGAGACTGAGGCAGGAGAATCGCTTGAACCCAGAAGGCAGAGGTTGCAGTGAGCCGAGATGGCACCACTGCACTTCAGCCTGGGCAAGACAGCAAGACTCCACCTCAAAAAAATAAAATAAAATAAAATAAAATAAAATAAAATAAAATAAAATAAAATAAGTAAAAAAAGCAAAAATTAGATGAGAGTTTGTCTAACAGTTTAAAACTTAGATAAATCAGAGTTAGTCATGAACAGAAATTCTGAAAGAGGAAAAAAACACAAGGTGTTTATATATTAGGAATAAATATGATTCAGAGAATATAGCTAGGCTGGGCGTGGTGGCTCAGCCTGTAATCCCAGCACTTTGGGAGGCCGAGGCGGGTGGATCACGTGCGCCCAGGAGTTTGAGATCAGCCTGGCCAACATGGTGAAACCCCATCTCTACTACAAATGCAAAAAATTAGCCAGACATGCGGCATGTGCCTGTAGTCCCAGCTACTCGGGAGGCTGACGTACAAGAATCCCTTCAGCCCAGGAGGCGGAGGTTACAGTGAGCTGAGATCGCACCACTGCACTCCAGTCTGGGCGACAGAGCGAGGCTCTGTCTCAAAAATAAATAAATAAATAATAAAGGAATATAGCTATTAGTTTTTTCATTTTAAAAATATTTAGGGGAGCATTTGGAGTGAACATGTGTAATGAAACAGAATGTAAACAGTCTTTTTAAGGGTCCATGGTCCGTGGTCATGCCACTCTGTTTGGCAACACTTGGGTTCGGATGCCCAATGGGTGCACTTGACAAGCTGAGCAGATTTAAGTCTGAATTGATTCTAGGGCTCTAGGGCCCACTGCTGGGGGGTTCCAGTGTCTGATATCAGCCACGAGAATCCATTTTTCCAAGGAAGCCTGTTGCCTTATCTTGTATGTAGAACACAGCAAATTGCAACTCGGATTTTCCAAGGGTGTCAAAGGAAAGAGAAGGTCCACTTTCTCTTCCTGATTGTTATTGCCACCATACATTCTGGATAAGAACATGGGCACCAATGACTTCTTTTATATCCTGCAGAAAAGCAGCACAAGAAATATATACAGAGTTTTTACTGAAAAAAAAAATGAGATGCAAAAGGAAAGTAACCCTGCCTGATAAAATAATTTCTTTATAAATTTTAATTAATTAATTTTTATTTTTAGAGATGGGGGTCTCGCTATGTTGCCCAGGCTGGTCTCGAACTCCTGGTCTCAAGCCATCTTTCTGCTTTGACCTTCCAAAGTGTAGGAATTACAGGCGTGAGCCACCGCACCCAGCCAAAATAATTTCATCAACAGCTACAATACTAAGATTTGTGCACTTTGGGGTAAATACATAAAGTGTTTTTTCCCCCTAAACGCTGCCTATGATCTTTGTTATCCCCAAACTGGTCTATGTTATCCTCTTTCCCTTAATGAATTCTCAAAGTGATTCTATATTTTTTTCAGTTCATAAGGCTCAGCTCTGTTCACTTACAACTTCAATCTCACATCCTACTCAAGTTTCTCACCTGTCAGCCAAGCAAGTTAGCCTCAAGGCCCTAGATCAGGGTGTCTCAACTTCAGTGCTGCTGACATTTGAGGGGCTGTCCTGTGCATTGTTACATATTTAGCAGTATCCCCAATCGGTACCTACTACATACCAGCAGCACCCTCCCCACAGTAGTGACAATCAGAAATGCCTCCAAGCATTGCCGAATGTCCCCTGGGGGTGCAAATCACCCCCATTTGGGAGCCACAGCTCTAGATGTTTGGAATGCTTGTGTGGGGATTTTGGTATGTTCTGGTTTTCACAGACCTCTTCCTCCTCCCTTTTTCTGGTGCCAAAATTCCTGAATTAAGAAATTGCGGCCAGGCCCGGTGGCTCATGCCTGTAATCCTGGCACTTTGGGAGGCCGAGGCAGGCAGATCACTTGAGGTCAAGAGTTTGAAACCAGCCATGGCCAAGATGGTGAAACCCTGTCTCTACTAAAAATACAAAAAATTAGCCAGGCATGGTGGCACATGCCTGTAATCCTAGCTACTGGGGAGGCTGAGGCAGGACAATTGCTTGAACCCGGGAAGCAGAGGTTGCAGTGAGCTGAAATCGCACCACTGCACTCCAGCCTGGGTGACAGAGGGAGACTCTGTCTCAAAAAAAAAAAAAAAAAAAAAGAAATTGCAATCTAGCTATCCACTTATTTTATTTGCAGTTGGAGAGGTAGGGTGGAGATATAGGAACGACTGAATTTAATATTTTGATAAATTATCTTGCCATAATAGCTTCTTCTCATTAAACATCTATGTTCCAGGAATTGTAATAAACACTGTCACATAAACAATAATCCTGTGAGACTGGGCGCAGTGACTCGCCTGTAATCCCAGCACTCTGGGAGGCCAAGGCAGGCGGATCACAAGGTGAGGAGTTCAAGATGAGCCTGGCCAATATGGTGAAACCCCATCTCTACTGAAAATACAAAAATTAGCCGCGTGTGGTGGCGGGCACCCGTAAACCCAGCTACTCGGGAGGCTGAGGCAGGAGAATCCTTTGAAACCAGGAGGCAGAGATTGTAGTGAGCTGAGATCGCATGCCACTGCACTGCAGCCTGGGCGACAGGGCAAGACTCTGTCTCATTAAAACAAACAAACAAATAAACAAACAAACAATAACCCTATGAGTTAGGTACTACTTTTTGTATCCATATTACAGATGAGAAACCAATTTCAGCAAACATAAGTAAATTTCCCAGGGTGGTCCAGCTGTAAAAGAAGATACGAATATAAATCTAGACAATCTGGGTTACAGGGCACAAAGTATTCATCTTCAACTTGGAGTTCAGCTTCTGGAATGCAAGGGTGGATTAACACAGGGGAACTGGGAGAGATGGGCTTATGTGTGTTAGGCCCAGGCCAGCAGATGTGAAGCTTCACAGGACTGTGTGGGTAGAAGGGAGGTCCAAATCATACATAAGCAACAAGGGCCTATCTGGGCAACATTCTGGGGAGGCTCAATGCAGCAGAATGATGACTAGGGGTTATTTGTTTCTTTCTTTATTTCCAATCCTATTCCTGCCAAACCTCCCTGCCCCAGGAACCCAGGACAGGTATCCTGCACCCCTCTTACCTGTGTCTCCATTTTCTCCGCATCTTGTTTCGGGTTTCGCTGACAAAGCTCCTCAATCGGTAGGGCGTGGTGGCTCACGCCTGTAATCCCAGCACTTTGGGAGACTGAGGTGAGACGATCACTTGAGGCCAGGAGTTCAAGACCAGCCTGGAGAACATAGTGAAACCCTGTCTCTACTAAAAATACAAAAAAATTAGCTGAGCTTGGTGGTGCTTGCCTATAATCCCAACTACTCAGGAGGCTGAAGCATAAGAATCTCTTGAGCCTGGGAGGTGGAGGAGGCAGTCAGCCAAGATTGTACCACTGCACTCCAGCCTGGGCAACAGAGCAAGCTCTTTCCCCCACCGCCTCCCCCCCCCAAAAAAAAGAAAAAAGAAAAAAGAAAAAAAAACCCTCAACAAATTTACCCTCTGATTTCTTTTTTAACTTAATCCCAAATGTGATAGTACCCTCTGATGTTAATGTTAGCTTGGTCTCATATGAAACTGACCATCACCAAGGTAATATAGCCACATCTGGACAGTGAACGGCCTATTGGCTGGTGAAAAGCCAAGATGACTGGCTTTGAATCAAACAATGCAGGTGTATGCCCAGCTCTATTACTGTCACTGAAAACATGTGTGGCCTCAGCAAATCAGGGACCTTCTCTGAGCCTCAGATTCTTTTCCTATAAATTCGGATGATATCTCCCACCTCACAGAATTATGTTTGGGATTAACTGAAATTTCACACCTAAGAAAGCCAAGCACTGTCGCTGTATTCTATGAATTTAGTAAAAGTTAGTTGGATCTGAATCAATCCACAGGAGGAAGAATTTTAAAGCATCATTAGTCAGTAATAGACATATTGAGCAGGAAGCAAATTCACATTGTTGGGGGACAATACAGGTTAATATTTAAAAAAAGAAAAACCAAAGGGCTCAGGTTAAATCACCCAGTTCTGATGGGATAAGAAAGGAAATGGCGTTGACGATTAAAAGAGGAGCTCTAAATTTTTGCATCATTTAATCAGCAAAGAGGACAAATTTACAGCAATGCTGGGGAACTTAGCGTGTGCACAAATATATTAGAACTGTTTATAGGGTTTGCTTGACTTTAATTTCCTGGTGTTATTACTATGATTCTTCTTTGGTTGAGGCTTGTAGATGGGTTATATGAAGAATGAGAACACTTCTAGAACTCAGAGTTCCAAATGAATATTAGCCAGGTGTCCATGCCTGACGGCAAATCTAAACAGTTTATTCAAAGAATGAGTCTTACGACTTTTATAGTTTGGGGAACTGTTTTTCTGTGTGGTTCCTCTGGAACAGAGTGGAGGACTGAAACAGCAAAGAGACACTGTTATGATCACCAGGCATCAGGCCAAGACAGGGAAAGAGGATGGGTTTAGGGGATTTGAACTCTGAGAGTTCCTTCAATGGAAAAGTCTATGTCCCTGCAGCACGAGACCCATGACCTTGCCTCTAAAGCATATGCAGGCATCCTTGCCCTTTAACCAAAATCTATCTCATAATAAATCCAGACGCCTGAAGACTTCAGGTACTCTATAGTCTTCTTTTTCTTTCTTTCTTTCTTTTTTTTTTAATTTCTCAGCTGGGCGTGGTGGCTCATGCCGTAATCTGAGCACTTTGGGAGACCGAGGTGGGTGAATCACCTGAGGTCAGGAGTTTGAGACCAGCCTGGCCAACATGGCGAAACCCCGTCTCTACTAAAAATACAAAAATTAGCTGGGCGCGGTGGCGGGCACCTGTAATCCCAGCTACTCGGGAGGCTGAGGCTGGAGAATCACTTGAACCCAGGAGGCGGAGGTGGCAGTGAGCTGAGATTGTACCATTGAACTCCAGCCTGGGCGACAAGAGCGAAACTCTATCTCAAAAAAAAAAAAATTATCTTCTTTTTTGTGTGATTTATGTTTCTTTAAAATTAAAAAAAAAAAAGAAAAGAAAAAAAGATGGGATTACACCATGTTGCCCAGGCTGGTCTCGAACCCCTGAGCTCAGGCAATCCACATACTTTGGCCTCATAAAGTGCTAGAATTACTGGTGTGAGCCACCATGCCTGGCCTATTTTTCTTTTTTTTTTGAGATGGGGTCTTGCTCTGTCGCCCAGGTTGGAGTGCAGTGGCAGGATGATGGCTCACTGCAACCTTGAACTCCTGGGTTCAAGCAATCCTCTCGCCTCAGCCTCTTGAGTAGCTGGGACTACAGGCACGTGCCACTATGCCCGACTACTTTTTTAACTTTTTGTAGAGTAGGGATCTCACTATGTTGCCCAGGTGGTTGTTGATCTCCTGGGCTCAAGCAATCCTCCTGCCTTAGCCTCCCAAGGCCGAGGGATTACAGGTGTGAGCCACCATGCCCAGCCTCACCATAGCCTTCTAGAGGTCCATGTGACCATTCCACGTGGGTATTTCTTCATGGGTGTATGGGTTGCCTCCTATTCTTATGACATTCCACCGAGATCACTTGAGGATGCCAAATCAAGACTACAGCCCATAATACTCATGGATGTATGTCAGTGGTCAGTAGAGACTTCTGTCTTGTTCTATTATTAGTACAATGTTTTCATAAGTCTGCCCATAACATAGCATGTTTCTCAAAAGCATCTAAACACCAACAAATACACAGATTCATCATACCCTGAGAAGCCCAAACAACCCATATGTGAGGAAAATGCAACCACATCTTTGTTGAGTGGGTCAAGTAATAATGGAAATGCAGCTTTTTTTTGTTTGTTTCTTTTGAGACAGAGTCTTGCTCTGTCGTCCAGGTTGGAGTACAGTGGCATGAACTCAGCTCACTGCAACCTCTGACTCCCGGATTCAGGCGATTCTCCTGCCTCAGGCTCCCATGTAGCTGGGATTATAGGCGCCCGCCACCATGCCTGGCTAATTTTTGTATTTTTAGTAGAGATGGGGTTTCACCATGTTGGCAAGGCTGCTCTCAAACTCCTGACCTCAGGTGATCCACGAACCTCAGACTCCCAAAGTGCTCGGATTACAGGCATCAGCCACCGTGCCTTGCCTGCCAGGAACTCGGCTTTATTATGAAATAGGAAAAGCTTGTCTTTAGCTACAGTGGAACTTCCCCATCTTGCCTCCCAGAAGCGGTCCCCTAAAGCCACTCCCAAGGATAGGGAGGAGAGGAGTTACAGAGCCGGAAGAAGGAGTTGTTTTGCTCAGAGCACAAGGTCATTCTTTTCTTTGCAGGATTTAAATCAAAACTCCCACAAAAGCAGAATGGAAGCTTCCAAGGTCAGTTTTGTGCTATCCAAGTGAGAATGTTAAAGGCCAAACTGAGGAGGGCCTGGACAATCAAGCTGTAAAATAGCATCAGTGATACGAAGTTCTCCTTCCTCATCTAAGTTCTGCATGGTCTTTTCACAGGTGGCAATCTGGCTCTGCCTTTCACCTCGAATAGAAGAGAGAGACACATAATCAAGTTCAGAGTTACAAGAAACAGAATCCAATCCTGACTACCTTAAGCAGGAAAAACATTAAAGGCTTTTGTGGCTGGTGCCGTGGCTCACGCCTGTAATGCCAGCACTTTGGGAGGCTGAGGCAGGCAGATCCCCTGAGGCCAGGAGCTCGAGACCAGCCTGGCCAACATGGCGAAACTCCATGTCTACTAAAAATACAAAAATTAGCCAGGTGTGGTGGTGAATACCTGTAATCCCAGCTACTTAGGAGGCTGAGGCAGGAGAATCATTTGAACCTAGGAGGTGGAGTTTGCAGTGAGCTGAGATTGCCCCAGTGCACTCCAGCCTGGGCGACAGAGTGAGACTTTGTCTAAAAAAAAAAAAATATATATATATATATATATATGTATACTTTTGCATTGCTCACAACATATCCAAAAGCAGGGATAACCAGGATTGGAGGCTATGTCTGCAGGAAAAACAGCCAAGACTGTGCCACCAAACGGCTAATGAAGATTCCCTTGCTGCTGCCACTAGACACAGACATGGTCCCTTGCAATGCTGCTGGCCCCCAGATCCTGTGGTCCTTGTCTCTACCTCCACACCTCTGGAAACTGGCTATCGTACTGCCACCCACACCAGTAAGGATTCCACCTAGGCACTGCTCTTTGCAGCACTCGTTTCTGAGTCAAAATCCTATGTGGGACTGGTCCGATGGTAGTGGGTTATCAGAACTTATTAACATTCATGTCCCTAAGGTTGGTATACAGCCTACCACTGCTAAATTTGACTGGCTTAATAAAATAAAAAAAAAAAATAAAATAAGGAAAATCCTACATGGGTAAGTCCAATTGGCAGAGTATGGGCTTTGGGCAGGTATCTGACTTAGCTGTAAGGCTGGAAAAGACAGTATCCAGCTCCCACAGAGGTGAGCAACCCCAGTATCCCAAGAACCAAAAGCACGGGAGTTCCCGAATGGATTAAGGGTGTTTTGAGGTTGGGTGGCCAACAAGAACAACAAATGCCACTCTTGTTACTCATCCATGTGAATTAATATAAGGCAAAGTAGTGCCTCTCCCAGGGGTAGCCACATTCAATCTGTCTTTAACTATGGAATGAAAGGCCTTGCTTCTTGAGTCCTTTAAGATAGCCGGGCAGGCTGGGCACGGTGGCGCATGCCTGTAATCCCAACATTTTGGGAGGCTGAGGCCGGTAGATCACCTGAGGTCAGGAGTTCACAACCAGCCTGAGTAACATGGTGAAACCCTGTCTCTACTAAATACAAAAAAAAAATAGCCGGGCGTGGTGGCACATGCCTGTAATCTGAGCTACTTGGGAGGCTGAAACAGGAGACTCGCTTGTACCCAGGAGGCAGAGGTTGCAGTGAGCCGAGATTGTGCCATTGCACTCCAGCCTGGGCAATAAAAGCGAAACCCCGTCTAAAAAAAAAAAAGAGAGAAAAAGCCGGGCATGGTGGCTCACGCCTGTAATCCCAGCACTTTGGGAGGCCAAGGCAGGCAGATCATTTGAGGTCAGGAGTTTGAGACCAGCCTGGTCAACATGGTGAAGCCTCGTCTCTACTGAAAATACAAAAATTAGCTGGGCGTGGTGGTGTGCACCTATAATCCTAGTTACTGGGGAGGCTGAGGCAGGAGAATCCCTTGAACCTGGAAGATGGAGGCTGCAGTGAGCCAAGATCATGCCATTGCACTCCAGCCTGGGTGACAGAGATAGTCTCAAAAAAAAAAAAAAAAGCCTAACATTAGCTAGTGAGAATGCTGTTGGTGGTATTGAGGTGTGCAGTTTTCATTTATTTATTTATTTTTGAGACAGGACCTTACTGTGTTACCCAGGCTGGTCTCAACATCCTAGGCTCAAGTGATCCTCCTACTTCAGCCTCTGGAGTAGCTGGGACCACAGGTGTGCACCATCACACCTGGCTAACTTTTTAATTTTTTGAAGAGATGGAGTCTCCCTATGTTGCCCAGACTGGTCTTGAACTCCTGAACTCAAGTGATCCTCCTACCTCGGCTTCCCAAAGTGTTGAGATTACAGGCATGAGCCACCACACCCAGCTAGCATTTGGGTATTGATACCAGAAGCTTTCCTGGTATTGAAAAGCATACTCATCTATGAAAAGTTCTGGAAATGGATAGAGGTGATGGTTGTACAACATTGTGAATGTACTTAATGCTACAGAATTGTACACCTAAAATGGCTAAAATGGTGAATTTTTTTTTTTTTTTTTTGAGACAGAGTCTCACTCTGTCACCCAGGCTGGAGTGCAGTGGTATGATCTTGGCTCACTGCAACCTCTGCCTCCGGGTTCAAGCAATTCTCCTGCCTCAGCCTCCCAAGTAGCTTGGATTACAGGCATGTGCCACCACGCCCGGCTAATTTGTGTATTTTTGGTAGAGATGTGGTTTCACCATGCTGGCCAGGCTGGTCTCGAACTCCTGACCTCAAGTGATCCACTGCCTCAGCCTCCCAAAGTGCTAGGATTATAGGTGTGAGCCACCACACCCGGCCATAAAATGATGAATTCTATGTTACATATATTTTATCTTTTTTTTTTTTTTTTACAAAACACACTAAATGGAACCACCCTACTTGCCCCAGTGCTGGCCTTACACGTGGGGCCCATGGGGCACAGCAGCTATACCACATACCTCCTCTTCCACAGGCCTGCCCACAGGCCACAGGTTGGCCCAGGGTGTCCCTTGGTACCATGGTCACTGCACTAGAGTAGAACTCCCTAGATTTCCTTCAACTCTATTCACATTTGACAGGCATCCATGAATGACAACAATAATTAGCTGTTCAAATCCTGTGTTACTTACTGTGTAACCTTGGGCAAGTTGTCTAACTTCTTGAAGATTCCGTTTCCCCATTTAAAATGTAGGGACAATTATAACACCCATTTCTTAGGGTTGTTGTAACAAGTTGACAGGTGTAGAGTGTTTAACACAATGCTGAGCACATAATCAGTGCACAATAAGGTTACCTATTATTAGTATTATTATTTTTTCTTCTATAAACTAGCACCAGGCTCACACCTGTAATCCCAGCACTTTGGGAGGCTGAGGCAGGAAGATCGCTTGAGCTCAGGAGTTTGAGACCAGCTGGGCCAATATGGCAAAGCCCTGTCTCTACTAAAAAAAAAAAAAACACAAAAATCAACCAGGTGTGGTGGCACATGCCTGTAATAGCAGCTACTCAGGAGGTTGAGGCACGAGAATCACTTGAACCTGGGAGGCAGAGGCTGCAGTGAGTTGAGATTGCGCTACTGCACTCCAGGCCAGGTGACAGAGGAAGATTCCGTCTCTAAATAAATAAATAAATAAATAAACTAGCACCAGAGTTTTAAGATTTTCCTTCTCTTAAAGGATAAATTGGTGGCTCACGCCTGTAATCCCAGCACTTTGGGAGGCCGAGGTGGGTGGATCACCTGAGGTCTGGAGTTCGAGACCAGCCTGTCCAACATGGTGAAACCCCATCTCTACAAAAAAAATTAGCTGGGCATGATGGTGCGTGCCTGTAATCCCAGCTACTCGGGAGGCTGAGGTGGGAGAATTGCTTGAACCAGGGAAGCGGAGGTTCCAGTGAGCTGAGATCACGCCATTGCACCCAGCCTGGGTGACAGAGCGAGACTCCATCTCAAAAAAAAAAAAAAAAAGCCTGGGTGAGGTGGCTCACGCCTGTAATCCCAGCACTTTGGGAGGCCGAGGTGGGCGGATCATGAGGTCAGGAGATCGAGACCATACTGGCTAACACAGTGAAACCCTGTCTTTACTAAAAATACAAAAAAATTAGCTGGGCATGGTGGCGGGCACCTGTAGTCCCAGCTACTCAGGAGGCTGAGGAAGGAGAATGGCATGAACCCAGGAGGCGGAGCTTGCAGTGAGCCGAGATTGTGCCACTGCACTCCAGCCTGGGTGACAGAGTGAGATTCTGTCTCAAAAAAAAAAATAAAGATAAGTTGGTTATCTGTTGCTGTATGACAAATATATTAGTTAGGGTACTCCAGAGAAACAGATCCAATGGTGGGGGTAGGAGAGGGAGAGAGAGAGAGAAATTTGTTGTAGGAATTGGCTCATGCAATTATGGAGGTCAAGAAATTCCATAGTCTGCCACTTGAAAGCTGGAGAACCAGGAATGCCAGTGGAGTAGTGCCAGCCTGAGTCTGAAGGCCTGAGAATAGGGACAGGGCAGGAGCAATGGTGTGAATCCCAGTCTAAGTTCAAACGCGCGGAGAATCAGGAGCACTGATATCTGCGGGCAGGAGAAGATGGATGTCTCAGCTCACACAGAGACAGCAAAGTTGCCCTTCCTCCACTTTTTTCTTCTATTTGGGCCCTCAGTGAGTTGGAAGGTGCCCACCCATGTTGGTGAAGGTGACCTTCCTTACTCAGTCTACTAATGCCAAGGAAAATATTTTCTGGAAACACCCTAACAGACACACCCAGAAATAATATTTTACCACCTATTGGGGCATCCTTTAGCCCAATCAAGTTGACACATAATTTTTTTTTTTTTTAGACGGGGTTTCGCTCTTTCGCACAGGCTGGAGTGAAGTGGCACAATCTTGGCTCACTGCAACCTCTGTCGCCCGGGTTCAAGCAATTCTCCTGCCTCAGCATCCTGAGTAGCTGGGATTATAGGCATCCGCCACCACGCCCAGCTAATTTTTGTATTTTCAGTAGAGATGGGGTTTCACCATGTTGGCCAGGCTGGTCTCGAACTCTCGACCTCAGGTGATCCACCCACCTCAGCCTCCCAAAGTGCTGGGATTACAGGTGTGAGCCACTGCGCCCGGCCAACACATAAAATTAACAACCACAACAAATTACCCCAAAACACAGTGGCGTGAAGCAACATTTATTATCTCATTGTTTTCATGGGTTGGAAATCCAGGCATGGTTTAGCTGGGTCTCCTATTTTGGAGTCTTTCACAGGCTGCAATGACAGTGTTGGCGGGGGTGCAGTGTCATCTCAAAGCTGGACTGGAGAAGGGCACTCTTCTGTGCTTACTCATGTGGTTGTTGGAAGGATTCAGGTCCTCAGATACTGTTGGCTGGAGCCCACCCTCTGTCCCTTGCCGAGTGGGTCTCTCCAACATTGTGGCTTTCTTCATCAAAGTGTAATAAGTAAGAAAACAATAAAACAGCATAGCAAGCCAGAAGTCACGCTCTTCTGTAATCTAATCACACAAATGATATTCTATCCCTTTTGGTTATTCTGTTTGTTGAAAGCAAGTCAATATGTTCAGCCCACACTCAAGGGGAGGGGATTACAAAAGGGAATGATCAGTGAGGGCGGTGTGTAAGAGCTGCTTACTCCGGAGGATAAGGACAAGTATGGTTATTCTTGTGTGTGTGTGTGTGTGTGTGTGTGTGGTGTGTGTGTGTTTTTGAGACAGAACCTCATGCTGTCTCCCAGGCTGGGGTGCAGTGGCACAATCTCGGCTCACTGCCACCTCTGCCTCCCAGGTTCAAGCCATTCTCCTGCCTTAGCCTCCCGAGTAGCTGGGATTACAGGCACGCACCACCACGCCCAGCTAATTTTTGTATTTTTAGTAGAGACAGCGTTTCACCATGTTGGTCAGGCTGGTCTCGAACTCCTGACCTCAGGTGATCCACCCACTTCGGCCTCCCAAAGTGCTCGGATTACAGGCATGAGCCACTGCGCCCAGCCCAAGTATGGTTATTCTGATGTTCACTACAGGAAATTCAAGATGGGATATGCTGGAAGGATAATTCTGGTGTTGAGAGAGAAAAGGATTTCTTTGTTAAAGATTTTCTTGTGTGTGCATGGTTATGGGCTCATGCTTTTCATAAAAAATGTCATGTCACTTTCAAGCAATTCTGTAAGGTAGGTGAGAAGACACTGCTGGCCCAGCCTCAAAATTATTTTATATTATTTTATTTTTTTAGAGACAGAGTCTCACTCTATCACTCAGGTTGGAGTGCAGTGGCATGATCTTGGTTCACTGCAGCCTCAACCTCCTGGGCTCAAGTGATCCTCCCACCTCAGCCTCCTAAGTAGCTGGGACTAAAGCTATGTACCACCACACCCAGCTAATTTTTAAATTGTTTGTAGAGATGGGGTCTGGCTATGTTGCCCAGGCTGATCTTAACCTCCTGGCCTCAAGTAATCCTCCCACCTCAGCCTCCCAAAGTGCTGGGATTACAGGCGTGAGCCACTATGCCTGGTCTTCCAATTTTATTCTGGTGGCTACACTCCATGCAGTGCTATGCTTCAGAAGAGGTGGCTCTAACTACTTCAAGGATGAATCTAGGCCTTTCAAAAATCCTATTCTTTTGCCAGTGATTGGCTTAGGAAGGGACATGCGATCCAATCTCAACCAATAAGATGTGAGAATAGGCTAGGTGCAGTGGCTCAAGCCTGTAATCCCAGCATTTTGGGAGGCCGAGGCGGGTGGATCACTTGAGGTTGGGAGTTTGAGACCAGCCTGGCCAATATGGTGAAACCCCCATCTCCACTAAAAGTACAAAAAATTCGCTGGGTGTGGTGGTGCATGCCTGTAGTCCCAGCTACTCAGGAGGCTGAGGCAGGGGAATCACTTGAACCTGGGAGGCAGAGGTTGTAGTGAGTCGAGATTGTGCCACTGCACTCCAGCCTGGGTGAGAGAGTGAGGCTCTGTCTCAAAAAAAGATTTGAGGATAAGTTTGTTACGGGGGCACTTCTGAGAAAAGTTTTTGTTTTTGTTCTAAAAAAAGAGACACAAGTCAGAAGTAGTGGTTCCCTTCCTTCCCTTTCTTTTCCTTTCCTTCTCTTTCCTCCTTTCTCCTCCCCATCCCCTCACCTCCTCTTTCCTCCCTTCCCCTTCCCCTTCCCCTTCCCTTCCCTTCCCTTTTCTTTCCACCTCCATATATTGGTGTGATGGATGCAAAAGCTTGGAGCTTTTGCAGCCATCTTGTGACCAGGAGACAAGGTAATTGAAATTCTGAGGATGACAGAGGAAAAGCAGAAAGGACCTGGGTTTACTCAAAGAGCTTATTGAATAATCCCCATAATAATTGTGCCTCTGGAAATAATATGTTCTATTTTGCTTAAGTCCATTAATTGAGGTAGAGTAATTTGTAGCCAAAAGCATCAATCCAATACAAGAAAACTCATCCTCTCCATTTTGCAGACAGAAGACTAAGATGTGTTGACTAACTTGCTAAAATCACAGAATTTTGTTTTAATACAAAGTAAATTCTTTCCTTTAATAGTGGTATGTGTATGTGTTCTTTATGAAGTTTGCTCTGAGCATCTGAGCCCCTGA
This sequence comes from Homo sapiens, assembly GCF_000001405.40. Taxonomy (NCBI): domain Eukaryota; kingdom Metazoa; phylum Chordata; class Mammalia; order Primates; family Hominidae; genus Homo; species Homo sapiens. The sequence goes on along the minus strand of NC_000013.11, from coordinate 95,329,614 downwards.
TTGTCACTATTTCCTTTACTAAAATCCAACAGTAGATAGCACCTGCACCATACCTCCTAGCATTTTGTTATACACTGGGTCATATTATTCTCTGATTGTTTTTCCAGTGTTCAGCTCTTTGAGGGCAGGTCCATAGCTCCCCTGGTTTATCACAGTATAAGGTGCACAATACCTGCTTAATATAGACAGGAAAAATTGACACATGACTGAGTTTGAAATGTACTAACAAATTAATAATCTATTCTGCCTCTTGGTATAAAAAATTAATAACCAAATTTTATGGGAATAATATAAATTTTGTTTTTTTGAAATGGGGTCTCATTCTGTCACCCAGACTAGAATGCAGTGGTGTAATCGTGGCTCACTGAGGCCTTGCCTTGACTTCTTGGGCTCAAGTGATCCTCCCACGTTAGACTCCTGAGTAGCTGGGACCACAAGTGTGTGCCACCACACCTGGCTAATTTTTTGTGCTTTTGTAGAGATAGGTTTTTGCCATGTTGCCCAGGCTGGTCTTGAACTCCTGAGCTCAAAAAATCCACCCACCTCAGTCTCCCAAAGTGCTGAGATTACAGGCATGAGCCACCGCGCCCGGCAATATAAATAATTTAAAACTCTTCACGGCCGGTGGCTCACGCCTGTAATCCCCACACTTTGGGAGGCCTAGGCAGGCAGATCACCTGAGGTCAGGAGTTCGAGACCAGCCTGGCCAACATGGTCAGCTGCCCCCACCCGCCCGCCCCACTAAAAATACAAAAATTAGCAAGGTGTGGTGGCACACGCCTGTAACCCCAGCTACTCAGAAGGCTGAGGCAGGAGAATCGCTTGAACCTCGGAGGCGTCTGTCTCAAAAGAAAAGCCTCTTTGCAGAGCCCTTTTTTCTTTTTAAGGGAGGCTGCCATAAATTCATGCTCTGTGTGATTAATAATCATAAAAATAACAACAGTAGAAGTTGCCATTAACTTAGTGCCAATAGCCCAAACTTTATGTGTGTGTGCATGTGTAGATAAATACGTGTTTATATATGTGTATATCAATATACATGTGTATACACACACACACCCACATATATCTTTTGAGATAGAGTCTTGCTGTGTCACCCAGGCTGGAGTGCAGTGTGGCACCATCACAGCTCACTATAGCCTCTACCTCCTGGGCTCAAGCAATCCTCCCGGCTGAGACTCCCAAGTAGCTGGGACCACAGGTGCACAACCACCACGCCCAGCTAATTTTTGTATTTCTTGTAGAGACAGGGTTTCGTCATGTTGCCCAGGCTGGTCTCGAACTCCTGAGCTCAAGTGATCTGCCCGCCTCTGCCTCCCAAAGTGCTGGGATTACCGGCGTGAGCCACTGTGCCCTGCCATATGAATATTTCTTAATCTTCCTAACAGTCTTGTGAGGTACATATTAATATCCCCATTTTACAGGTAAGGAAACACTGTCTGAGAGAGCAACTTGATCACAGATACCAAGTTTGGCCACTTTACTTGTTATTTATGATACTTGGCTCCAAGTCCATACTTTCCTATTCTGCCGTATTGTTTCCATCTCTGCTGCTTGTATCTGTTTAGAAGCCAAAGGAGGGATGGTGCTGATAAGGATAAGTCCTTACTCCCCAAACCAGCTCCAGCTGAGAGTCTGGGAGGATTAAGGGATGAGAAGCCGACTTCTGCATGAGCCCAAATGGGCTGTCCAGGTGCGTCTGCACTTATTACATCTCACTTAAATCGTTAATGGCAAAAAGATTTCAGTCAGTCCTTTGTGACTTCCTACCATGAAATAAAGCAACATTTTCTTCACTCAGAGACTTTCCTAGACACTGAGACAATTCTCCTTTCTTTTATTTTATTTTCTTTTTTTTTTTTTGAGATGGAGTCTCACTCTGTTGCCCACACTGGAGTGCAATGGCGTGATCTTGGCTCACTGCAACCTCCGCCTCCCCGGTTCAAGCCATTCTCCTGCCTCAGTCTCCTGAGTAGCTGGGATTACAGGCGTGCGCCACCACGCCGGCTAATTTTTGTATTTTTAGTAGAGACAGAGTTTCACCATGTGGGCCAGGATGGTCTCAATCTTTCGAACTCGTGATCCGGCCGCCTTGGCCTCCCAAAGTGCTGGGATTATAGGCGTGAGCCACCGCACCTGGCGACAGTTCTATTTTTAAGTAAACTAAACAAAGGAACAAAGCCCCAAGAACTCTCTGTACTAAACAGAGCTTTGTAATTTATGAGTTTCCCTCACTGTGTGGTGGGGAGTGCTGAGGGTGGGAACATCATGCCGGGAAGGCGGGCCTGCTCTTGTGAGGGACCATGTCAGAATAGGAGCGGGGAGCTGAGCACCATTTTTTTTCTCAATCAAGTGCTACAGACACAGCACATGGAGCCTGTGGGTACTTCAAGGGCCTGTGAAAATATGTGGGTTCAAAACATAATTATCAGCCTCAAAATGTCAAAAGAAAAACAACTACCGTTATAGGACTTTTTCCTTAGTTCATCTAAAAACGGGGTCGTTGTTACATGGCCATGAAATATTAGGCATCCAGATACTTTGAAGGGTGAGAAAAGTGGAATTTATTAGGCAAAAAGGAAAAAAAAAAATCTTAGAAGAGCGAGAGAGTTTCCTGTCAACTGGCCCCACCTCATACAGACTGAATTCTCGGGTACCACACCTCAGGAACAGGAGAGAAAGGCCAGGCTCCTCTCTGCTGCAAAGGGCATGAACTTCCCGCCACTCCACCCCATTCTCCCAGTGTACCGGCTGGGCGGAGGTTTTCCAGGCACCTTCCCCCATGATACTTGGCTGTCTCACTACAATATTGATTTATAATGTGTGGTTAAGTATTCATAGGACATCACCAATGACACTTTCATCTATTGCCAATTTTAATAGTCATAAATGTATTGATTCCTTGGAAAGCAATTTGAAAGTTCTGATTTTCTCACTGCACAAAAATTCTTAAACATATACACTATTTGTAGAGCAATCAGAGCCAATCATAACATGAGTTACTTGTAGCCACATAATTTCAAAAGCAAAATCTCTTTGAAAATGTCTGTATGCCTGGCACGGTGGCCCATGCCTGTAATCCCAGCGCTTTTCAAGGTCAAGGCGGGTGGATTACTTGAGATCAGGAGTTGGAGACCAGCCTGGCCAACATGGTGGAACCCTGTCTCTACTAAAAATACAAAAAATTACCCGGGCATGGTGCTGCGTGCCTGTAATTCCAGCTACTTGGGAGGCTGAGGCAGAAGAATCGCTTGAACCCAGGAGGCGGAGGTTGCAGTGAGCTGAGATCGCTCCACTGCACTTCAGCCTGGGCAATAGAGCCAGACTCTGTCTCAAAAAAAAAAAAAAAGAGAAAATGGTTGTAGGCTAGGCATGATGGCTCTCGCCTGTAATCCCAGCACTTTGGGAGGCCGAGGCAGGTGGATTACTTGAGGTCAGGAGTTGGAGACCAGCCTGGCCAACATGGTGAAACCCCATCTTTACTAAAAATACAAAAATTAGCCAGGTGTGTTGTCGGGCGCCTGTGATCCCAGCTCCTCAGGAGACTGAGGCAGGAGAATTGCTTGAGCCCGGGAGGCAGAGGTTGCAGAGAGCCAAGATCAGGCCACTGCACTCCAGACTGGGTGACAGAGCAAGACTCTGTTTCAAAAGAAAAAAAGAAAGGAAACAAAGGAAAGGAAATGAAAGGAAAGGAGAGGGGAGGGGAGGAGAGGGAGGGAGGGAGGGAAAGAGAGAGAGAGAAAAAAAAGAGAGAAAGAAAGAGAAAGAAAAGAAAAGAAAAAAGAAAATTGTTCTAATAAAAAACATGTGTAGGATGTAAATGATTATGACATGTGATATAACATGCAGTGGGACCCACTGAAAGTATCCAGAGCCAGGGCCAGCTTTGCAGGCAACTGACCTGTGCATTTAGCACGAGGTCACAAGTTCATAAGGGCCCCGAGACTGGTTTAATGCTCTGCTCTCATCTTGGAAGTCTTTCTTCCTTCCTTCCTCCTTCCTTCTCCCTTCCCTTCCCTTCCCTTCCCCCTTCCCCCTTTCCCTTTCCCCTTTCCCCCTTCCCTTCCCGTCCCCCTCCCCTCCCCTTCCTTCCTTCTCTCTTTCTGTCTGTCTTTCTGTCTTTCTTTCAAGACAGGGTCCCATTTTGTTGCCCAGGCTGGAGTACAGTGTGACCATGTAGCTCAGTGCAGCCTCTACTTACTTGGTCCAAGTGACCCTCCCATCTCAGCCTCCAGAGTAGCAGAAACTACAGGCATGTACCACCACACCAGCCTTGGAAGTCTTCGTAATTTTTGAACAATGAGCCACACATTCTTTTTTTTTTTTTTTGATATGGAGTCTCACTCTGTCACCCACGCTGGAGTACAGTGATGTGATCTCAACTCACTGCAACCAACGCCTTCCGGGTTCAAGCAATTCTCCTGTCTCAGCCTCCTGAGTAGCTAGGACTACAGGCATCCACCACCATGCCGGGCTAATTTTTGTATTTTTAGTAGAGACTGGGCTTCACCATATTGGTCAGGCTGGTCTCAAACTCCTGACCTCGGGTGATCCACCCACCTTGGCATCCCAAAGTGCTGGGATTACAAGTGTGAGCCACCACACCTGGCCATGCCACACATTGTTATTTTGCTCTAGGCCCTACAAATTACGTAGCTGGTCCTGTCCAGACTTTACAAAGATTTTAAAACAGCCCTGTGTGGAGCTCTGTATCCAGTAAAGCTGTGTTGCTTCCCTTTGCAACACAAAGGTTTGTTTTTTAGGTCCTGTGTTTAATTCACTTGAAAAATGTGTGAGATTTTGTGTTTTTTACAAAGTAGCTAGATTTTAAAAGTTAGGGAATTACTGTACTATATAGAAAGACAAAACTCCTAAGCAAAGATACAGACCCACATTACTAAGGCATTAGAAACAGCAACAAGAATTTACGAAAAATAAAATGTACTTCAAAATTAAATCCAGGCTAAGCACTTCAAAAGGTCCAAATGGCTTCCAGGCTAGGAACCAAGAGTGAACAAGCATTACCTCCACAAATTAAATTTGAAGTGGCTGTAGGACATTTTCATCTAATTTAGATAAAGTTTTAAAATGGTCCTATCCACAATCCATCAAAGTACTGTCTAAACAAAGGCCAGCATTTTCTGTTTGGGGAAACCAGGGGAGGAAAAACCTTCGGGCCACATCCTGCTGATATCATTGAGAGGCTCAATGGCAGGATAAGGCCCTGAGTGTTCGGTCGGCCACACTGAGCCCTGAGCCGCAGCTTTTCTCCCACGCCCTGAGGAGTTGCCAGGGCCAGGTGAGGACTCTGCCATTTGTTGGATATGAAAGGAAAGCTCAGGGTAAGGCTTGGTGAGTGAGTACTCCCTCTGGATGAAGTCCAAGTGGTCCTCGGGCAGTACGAAGGGAAGGCTGGGCATTAGAAAGATGTGGGCTCATTACCATCTTCGTCACTTCTACTACTTCAATAACATTTATTTTAATTTGCTGGCTCATGAGTTTTTTGTTTGTTTGTTTAAAAATGTATGTTCATCAGGCCAGGCGCGGTGGCTCACGCCTGTAATCTCAGCACTTTGGGATGCCAAAGCGGGTGGATCACCTGAGGTCGGGAGTTCGAGACCAGCCTGAGCAACATGGAAAACCCAGTCTCTACTAAAACTACAAAATTAGCCGAGCGTGGTGGCACATGCCTGTAATCCCAGCTCCTCAGGAGGCTAAAGCAGGAGAATCACTTGAACCCTGGAGGTGGAGGTTGCAGTGAGCTGAGATCGCACCATTGCACTCTAGCCTGGGCAACAAGATCGAAACTCTGTCTCAAAAGAAAAATATATAAGTTCATTGGCCGGGCGCGGTGGATCACATCTGTAATCCCCGCACTTTGGGAGGCTGAGGCGGGTGGATCATGAGGTCAGGAGTTCAAGACCAGCCTGGCTAAGATGGTGAAACCCCATCTCTACTAAAAATACAAAAATTAGCTGGGCGTGGTGGCAGGCACCTGTAATCCCAGCTACCGGGAGGCTGAGGCAGAAAATTGCTTAAACCCAGAGGCGGAGGTTGCAGTGAGCTGAGATTGCACCACTGCACTCCAGCCTGGGTGACATATATATGTATGTATGTTCATCATGGACAACTTAGAAAAATATTAAAAAATAGAAAGAAGAAGAAATGACCCATAATTCTATTTCTTGAAGAAAAACCACTAGATCATTAATACTTGGGTGTGTTTTTTCTGGTCTCTTTTCCACAATATTGTTCATTTTTACCTAGAAGTGTAGAAAATATATACCCTGGCTGGGTGCAGTGGCTCACGCCTGTAATCCCAGCACTTTGGGAGGCCGAGGCGGGCAGATCACGAGGTCAGGGGATCAAGACCATCTGGCTAACACGGTGAAACCCTGTCTTTACTAAAAATACAAAAAATTAGCTGGGTGTGGTGGCGGGTGCCTGTAGTTCCAGCTACTGGGGAGGCTGAGGCAGGAGAATGGCGTGAACCCGGGAAGCAGAGCTTGCAGTGAGCCGAGATCACGCCACTGCACTCCAGCCTGGGTGACAGAGCCAGACTCCATCCCAAAAAACAAAAAAAAAAAAGAAAGAAAATATATACCCATATTATATATTTAATTTTGTCCTTTTTCCTCTTAAATGGCATGGTACAATCAGGATAAATAGGAAGGTTGATATAACAGGGTTGAAATAAGTCCAAATTATAATTTATTAAGTTAAAAGTGACTAAGCTTATCAAATAAGAAACAGAAATTTTCATATTGGTTGATAAAGAAAAGCCAGACCTTGGCCAGGCATGGTGGCTTACGCCTGTAATCCCAGCACTTTGGGAGGCTGAAGGGGGTGGATCACCTGAGGACAGGAGTTTTGAGACCAACCTGGCCAACATGGTGAGACCCCGTCTCTACTACAAATACAAAAATTAGCCAGGCATGGTGGTGCATGCCTGTAGTCCCAGCTACTCAGGTGGCTGACACAAGAGAATCGCTTGAACTTGGGAGGCGGAGGTTGCAGTTAGCCAAGACTGCACTCCAGCCTGGGCAACAGAGCGAGACTCCGTCTCAAAAAAAAAAAAAAAATAAAAAAGCAGCAAAGATGGCAAGATAAGGAATTAAGGAGAACATATTCAGAGATAAATTGTTAATAAGAGAATGCCATGAACTTTTTTTAACATTTTATTATATTTAATTAATTTATTTATTTTTAGACAGAGTTTCACTCTGCTGCCCAGGCTGGTGTGCAGTGGCAATCTTGGCTCACTCAGCAACTGCTGCCTCCTGGGTTCAAGCGATTCTCCTGCCTCAGCCTCCCGAGTAGCTGGGATTACAGGCATGCACCACCAAGCCTGGCTAATTTTTGTATTATTAGTAGGGATGGGGGTTTTACCATGTTGGCCAGGCTGATCTCGAACTCTCAACCTCAGGTGATCTGCCCGCCTTGGCCTCCCAAAGTGCTGGGCTTACAGGTGTGAGCCACCGTGCTGGGCTATTTTATTTTATTTTATTGAGATGATTTCACTCTTGTCTCTCAGGCTGGAGTGCAATGGCGCGATCTTGGGCTCACCGCAACCTCCGCCTCCCCAGTTCAAGTGATTCTCCTGTCTCAGCCTCCTGAGTAGCTGGGATTACAGGCGTGTGCCACCAAGCCCAGCTAATTTTTGTGTTTTTAGTAGAGACGGGGTTTCGCCACGTTGGCCAGGCTGGTCTCAATCTCCTGACCTCAAATGATCATCCTGCCTCGGCCTCCCAAAGTGCTGGCATTACAGGCGTAAGCCACCATGCCTGGCCTTATATTTTTGAGACAGGGTCTCACTCTGTCATCCAGGCTGGAGTGCAGTGGTATGGTCTTGGCTTACTGCAGCTTTGACCTCCTAGATTCAAGTGATCCTCCCACCTCAGCCTCCCCAAATAGCTGGGACTACAGACACACACTGCCACACACGACTAATGTGTTTTTTGGTTTTTAGTAATGATGAGATCTCACTATGTTGCCCAGGCTGGTCTGGAACTCCTGGGCTCAAGTGATCCTCCTGCCTCAGCCTTCAAAGTGTTGGGATTACAGGCGTGAGCCACTGTGCCTGGTTTATTTTTAATTGACAAGTAATTGTTTTTTTGTTTTCTTCTTTTACAATACAACATGATATTCAAGACAAATAATAACTGTACATATCTATACAGTATAATATGATGTTTTGATATGTATTGACAATGTGGAATTATTAAATCAGGCTAATTAACAAATCTATCACTTCACATATCATTTTTTGGTGTGATGAAACACTTAAAATCTACTCTTCTAGCAATTTTGAAATGTACATTGTGTTTATTGTCATCACCATCCTGTACAATAGGTCACTAAAGCTTATTCCTTTTTTTTTGAGACAAGCTCTTGCTCTGTTACCCAGGCTGGACTGCAGTGGTGCGATCATGGCTTCCTGCAACCTTGAACTCCCGGGCTCAAGCAGTCCTCCCACCTCAGCCTCCCGAGTAGCTGGGACTACAGGCATGCACCACCACATCCAGCTGATTAAAAACATGGGATTTTTTGTAGCAACAGGGTCTTGCTCTGTTGCCAGTACTGGTCTCCAACTCCTAGTCTCAAGCAATCCTCCAGCTTCAGCCTTCCAAAGTGCTGGAATTATGCTTGTGAGCCACTGCATCCGGCCAAGCTTATTCTTTCTGTCTAACTAAAACTTTGCATATTCTTTGATCAATAGTTTCTCTTTCCCCCGCCTCCGGTAACCATCATTCTACTCTCTACTTTCATGAATTTAACTGTTTTTTTTCTTTTTTGAGATGGAGTCTCAGTCTGTTGCCCAGGCTGGAGTGCAGCGGTTTGATCTTGGCTCACTGCTATCTCCGCCTCCTGGGTTCACGCCATTCTCCTGCCTCAGCCTCCAGAGTAGCTGGGACTACAGGCGCCCGCCACCACGCCTGGCTAATTTTTTTGTATTTTTAGTAGAGACGAGGTTTCACCGTGTTAGCCAGGATGGTCTCGATCTGACCTCATGATCTGCCCCCTTGGCCTCCCAAAGTGCTGGGATTACAGGTGTGAGCCACCACACCCGGCCATGAGTTCAGCTTTTTAAGATTCCAAATATAAGTGAGATCGTGTCATCTTTGTCTTTCTGTGTCTGGCTTATTTCACTTAGCATAATGTCCTCTAGGTTCATCTATGTTGTTGCAAATGATGGGATTCACCCCTCCCACCCTTTTTAAAGGGTAATAGCATTTCATTGTGTATGTATACCATGTTTTCTTTATCCATTCAACTCAGGATGGATTCCGAGTTGCTTTCATACCTTAGCTATTGGGAACAGTGCTGCAATGAATACGGCAGTGTAAATGCCTCTTTGGTATACTGCTTTCAGTTTGTTTGGGTATATATACACAAGTAGGATTACTGGATCTTATGGTCATTCCACTTTTAGTTTTCAAGGAACTTTCATACCCCATACTGTTTTCCATAATGGCGGTATTAATTCACATTCCCGTCAACAGTGCACAAAGTTTCCCTTTTCTTGGCACCCTTGCCAACACTTTAATGTAGTGTAATGTAATCTTTAAATCTCTCATTTTTGATAATAGCCAGTCTAACAGGTATGAGGTAATATCTCAATGCAGTTTTAATATTTTGGATATTAGCCCCTTATTAGATGTAGAGTTTGCAAATATTTTCTCCTAGTTTGTGGGTTCACTCTATTAATTGATTTTTCTTCACTCTATTAATTGATTTTTTTGTTATGCAGAAGTGTTTTAATCTATGCAATTCCATTTGTTTATTTTTGCTTTTGTTACTTGTGGTTTTGGGATGATGTCCAAGAAATCTTTGCCCGGGCCAATGTCCTGGACCATTTCCCCTATGTTTTCTTTTTCTTTATTTTCTTTTCTTTTTTTTTTTTTTTTTTTTTTTTTTTGAGTCTCGCTTTGTCACCCAGGCTGGAGTACAATGGCATGATCTCAGCTCACTACAACCTTCGCTTCCCAAGTTCAAGCGATTCTCCTTCCTCAGCCTCCAGAGTCGCTGGGAATACAGGCATGTGCCACCGTACCCGGCTAATTTTTTTATTTTTAGTAGAGGCGGGATTTCACCATGTTGTCAAGGCTGGTCTCATGAGCCACCTACCTCAGCTTCCCAAAGTGCTGGGATTACAAGTGTGAGCCACTGCGCCAGGCCCCCTATGTTTTCTTCTAGTACTTTTACAGTTTCAGGTTGCAGACCAGAAACCTGATTAGGTGCTAATATTCATGTGCTATTAGTATATCTTTTTATTTTTAGAGTTGGGGGTCTTGATTTGTTGCTCAGGCTGGATTGCAGTGTCACAATCATAGCTTGCTACAACCTCAAACTCCTGGGCTCAAGTGATCCTCCAGTCTCAGCCCCCTGAACTGCTGGGTGTGCAAACAGATGCCACCACACCCAACTCTATCAGTAATTCCTGTTGGAGGTTTACCCCTGCAGGGTGAGACTACTTCTTCTTCTTCTTTTTTTTTTGAGATGGAGTTTTGCTTGTGTTGCCCAGGCTGGAGTGCAATGGTGGGATCTTGGCTCACTGCAACCTCCGCCTCCCAGGTTCAAGTGATTCTCCCGCCTCAGACCCTGAGTAGCTGGGATTATAGGCGCCCGCCACCAGGCCCGGCCAATTTTTGTATTTTTAGTAGAGACGGGGTTTCACCATGTTGGCCAGGCTGGTCTGGAACTCCTGACCTCGTGATCCGCCCGCTTCGGGCTCCCAAAGTGCTGGGATTACAGGCGTGAGCCACCGCGCCCGGCCGGGTGAAACTACTTCTTAGGTAAATGGGTAGGCTTCATTGTCCTGGGAGAAAGATTATACTCATACATGGCTTAATGATAGGAATATATTCTGGGAAATGTGTCCTTAGCTGATTTTGTCATTGTACGAACATCACAGGTGTACTTACACAATCTTAGATGGTGTAGCCTACTGCACAGCTAGGCTACAAGGTGTAGCCTTTTGCTCCTAGGCTACAAACTTGTAAAGCATGTTGCTGTACTGAATACTGGAGATTATTGTAACACAATGGTAAGTATTAGTGCATCTTAACATAGAATAGGCACAGTAAAAATATGGTATTATAATTTTTTCAGTAGCCAATTACCGGAGGTATTATCATCTTATGGGACAACAGTCATTTATGCAAAACGTCATTGACTGAAACCTCTTTATGCAGCATATGACTATATTTACCTTGGAATTATCTCCACTGTTCAGCAGAGTCACATGATTGGTGTCTCTTAATTATATAAAAACATGAAAGTTTTTTGTGGCTGGGTGCAGTGGCTCATGCCTGAAATCCCAGCACTTTGGGAGGCCCAGGCTGGCAGATCACTTGAAGTCAGGAGTTCGAAAGCAGTCTGGCCAACATGGTGAAACCCTGTCTCTACTAAAAATACAAAAATTAGCTGGGTGTGGTGACACTCACCTGTAATCCCAGCTACTCCGGAGGCTGAGGCAGAAGAATTGCTTGAACCCGCAAGGCAGTGGTTGCAGTGAGCCAAGGTCATGCCACTGCACTCCAGCCTGGGCAACAGAACAAGATTCCATCTTAACAACAACAACAAAATAATAATAATAAGAAGAATGTTATTATGTAGGATGACTGGACCCATGTTTCAGGGAATAAAGTTTAATAATTAGACTTTTGCTCTTTTGAGTGGTTTCAAGTCTCTGCTGTGGAGGAAGCGAGGCAGGGGGAAGGTGGGTCTGGCCTGAGAGGCAACAGACTCCAGAACATTCCAGACACAGCCCTTCAGAGGCTGGCCAGTATTAAGGAAAGTGGTTAGGTATAGGGTCCAGCCCTACAGGGCTTAGTGGGTGTTCTCCCTGGGTGCGGAGACGAGAGATTGTAAGAAATAAAGACACAAGACAAAGAGATAAAGAGAAAACAGCTGGGGCTGGAGGACCACTACCACCAAAACATGGAGACTGGTAGTGGCCCCGAATGGCTGGGCACACTGATATTTATTGCTTGCAAGACCAGGGGGGCAGGGTAAGGAGGCTGAGTCATCCAGTGATTGATAAGGTCAAGCAAGTCATGTAATCCTGGGACAGGGGGCCCTTCCCTTTTAGGTAGCCGAAGCAGAGAGGGAAGGCAGCATATGTCAGTGTTTTCTTCTATGCATTTATCAGAAAGATCCAAGACTTTAAGACTTTCACTATTTCTTCTACCACTATCTTCTAAGAACTTCAAAGAAGAACCAGGAGTATGGGAGGAATATGAAAGTGGACAAGAAGCGTGACCACTGAAGCACAGCAACACAGGGAGGGGTTTAGGCCTCCAGATGACTGCGGGCAGGCCTGGATGATATCCAGCCTCCCACAGGAAGCTGGTGGAGCAGAGTGTTCCCTGACTCCTCCAAGGAAAGGGAGGCTCCCTTTCACGGTCTGCTAAGTAACGGGTGCCTTCCCAGGCACTGGCGTTACCGCTTGACCAAGGAGCCATCAAACGGCCCTTATGCAGGCATGACAGAGGGCTCACCTCTTGCCTTCTAGGTCACTTCTCACAATAACCCTTTAGCACCTGACCCTATACCTGCCAGTTATTCCTAGGTTATATTAGTAATACAACAAAGAGTAATATTAAAAGCTAATGATTAATAATCTTTATACTAATGATTGATAATGTCCATGATCATCTCTATATCTAATTTGTATTATGACTATTCTTATTCTAACTATTTTCTTTATTATACTGAAACAGTTTGTGCTTTCAGTCTCTTGCCTCGGCACCTGAGTAATCCTTTGCCCACAGTTAGGTTTGCGAGGTGAAACAGTGGATGCTTGTGGCTTTTCCACAGTATGTGTACTCAGGCCAGGTTGACTTGGAGGAAAGCCATCATCTGATACTCTAAAACAGCACCATCCAGCCCTGGAGGTAACTGTGAAGCACAGGGTTCGAGCCTCCTCCATCATCCTCAGGGCACCGTGTGTTTCAGGATACTCTGGGCACTGTCTTCTTAGAGCTGTAATCTCTAGGATTTTTCACTTTCTAGACCAGCTCACCGGCACCACCTTCCCCTCAGTAGCTAAAGAACTGCCAACCCAAGCTGGCAGGGAAAGCTCGGACCTCAACCCTTAGAGCACACTGGGGACTGACTGGGCACATTATAGCCCACTGCTCCACTAAGAATTACACACCAAGAGTGCATAAAACAGCCTAAGAGGCCGGGTGCGGTGGCTCACGCCTGTAATCCCAGCACTTTGGGAGGCCGAGGTGGGTGGATCACAAGGTCAAGAAATAGAGAACATCCTGGCCAACATGGTGAAACCCCATCTCTACTAAAAATACAAAAATTAGCTGGGCGTGGTGGCACATGCCTGTAGTCCCAGCTACTCGGGAAGCTGAGGCAGGAGAATGGCTTGAACCCAAGAGGTGGAGGTTGCAGTGAGCCGAGATTGTGTCACTGCACTCCAGCCTAGTGACAGGGCAAGACTCTGTCTCAGAAAAAAAAAAAAAAAAAGTCAGGTGTGGTGGCGCATGCCTGTAATGCCAGCTACTTGGGAGGCTGAGCTGGGAGAATAGCTTGAACCTGGGAGGCAGAGGTTGCAGTGAGTCAAGATCACACCATTGCACTCCAGCCTGGAAAACAGAGTGAGGCTCTGTCTCAGAAACGAACAAACAAACAAACAAAAAACAGCATCAAAAGGAGATGGAGGCCAGGCATGGTGACTCACACCTCTAATTTTAGCACTTTAGGAGGCTGAGGCAGGAGGATCACTTGAGTTCAGGAGTTCAAGACCAGTCTGGCAACACAATGAGACCTCGTCTCTATTAGGAAAAAAAAGAAAGAAACAGATGGAGACATTCCTTTTTCTACTTGCTTTCAGAAATAATACTTTTTTTTTTTTTTTTTGAGATGGAGTCTTGCTCTGTCACCCAGGCTGGAGTGCAGTGGTGCAATTTCGGCTCACTGCAACCTCCACCTCCTGAGTTCAAGCGATTCTCCTACCTCAGCCTCCCAAGTAGCTGGGATTACAGTCACCTGCCATCATGCCCAGCTAATTTTTGTATTTTTAGTAGAGATGGGGTTTCGCCATGTTGGTCGAGCTGGTCTCAAATTCCTGACCTCAGGTGATCCACCTGCCTCAGCCTTCCAAAGTGCTAGGATTACAGGCGTGAGCCACCGCGCCTGGCCAGCTTTTTTTTTTCTTTTCTTTTCTTTTTTTTTAAGCAGCAGATTGAACTAGCAGGCACAAGATTCTCCCTTATCTCTTGAAGATTAGTTTACATTTTATTTGTAAATAAAATTGTGAGTGATGGCTTCCTGTACACATTCAGCAAATACTGCTGATGGGTACATAAGAGCTGTTGTTCTTATGTAATGTGTCATTGAATAATCTAGTTCTAATTTAATTTTTCTCTACAATAGGTGTCTATGTAATCTGTGCCAATTTTAGTCCTTTAAGGTCAAATATACTTTATTTATTTTTATTTCGTTGAGATGGAGTTTAGCTCTTGTTGTCCAGGCTGGAGTGCAATGGTGCAATTTTGGCTCACTGCAACCTCTGCCTCCCAGGTTCAAGCGATTCTCCTGCTTCAGCCTCCCGAGTAGCTACAGGCATATGCCACCACGCCAGGCTAATTTTTGTATTTTTAGTAGAGACGGGGTTTCACCATGTTGGCCAATCTGGTCTCCAACTCCTGACTTCAGGTGATCCACCTGCCTCAGCCTGCCAAACTGCTGGGATTACAGGTGTGAGCCAGCGTGCCTGGCCAAGGTCAGATATACTTTAAAATTACAATTATCAGAGCCTTGGCAGTTTTAAAAAATGGATGTCTCTGCTAGACAAGTTGATTTTTTCTACTGTTCTGATTATAATGTCTATATTGTAGGTTTTGAAGGGCCATGGCTTTCCTGCCTGTCATTCTACCCAACATAGCTGTGGTGTCCCCATTTCTAGTTGCCCTAAGGCACCTGTTTGCTTTTGCAATCTGGCTTCATACACGTCCAGCCTCGTGGTGCTAGATTACATCAACCACATCAGAAATGTTTACTCAGTGACTGTTCCTTGATCTGCTGCTGACTCTAACATGACATCTGAAGTGGAGAGAGAGGCAGACCAAAGTGGTACAATGTTCATGGGCATTGGCAAATCTTATTTTTTTTTCCATTTTGGAGAATGTACTTCACCTTTCTCTGGGCTTTATTATCTGTAAAAAGACAATAATACATTCCTCAGAGTAGTATTGTAAGGATTTAGTGAAACAGTAAAAAGGTACAATTACTCATTCAGTGAAGTATAGCTACTGAAAGAAAAAAAATCATATTTTGCCATACATTTATACATTTCCTTTCTATGATATAATATTTGGTCTGAAGCATAATTCTAAACTGAAGCTAATTTCTTGGGATCCTGGATTTTTTGTTATGTTTTTCTTTTTCTTTCTTTTTTTTTTTTTTGAGACAGTCTCATTCTGTCACCCAGGCTGGAGTGCAGTGGTGTAGTCATGGCTCACTGTAGCCTCGACCACCCAGGCTCAAGTGATCCTCCCATCTCAGCCTCCTGAGTAGCTGGGACTACCAGTGCATACCACCATGCCTAGCTGATTTTTTGGGTTTTTTTTTTGTAGAGACAGGGTTTTGCTATATTGCCCAGGCTGGTCTTGAACTCCTGGGCTCCAGTGATCCTCTTGCCTCCGCCTCCCAAAGTGACAGGATTACAGGCATGAGCTACCGTGCCTGGCCTGTTATGTTTTTCATATACATGTTGATATTTCTTTCTTTTCTTTTCTTTTTTTTTTTTTGAGGCGGAGTTTTATTCTTGTTGCCCAGGCTGGAGTGCAATGGCACCATCTTGGCTCACTGCAACCTCCACCTCCCTGGTTCAAGCGATTCTCCTGCCTTAGCCTCCCAAGTAGCTGGGATTACAGGCATGCACCACCACACTTGGCTAATTTTGTATTTTTAGTAGAGATGGGGTTTCTCCATGTTGGTCAGGTTGGTTTCCAACTCCCGACCTCAGGTGAACCGCCTGCCCCAGCCTCCCAAAGTGCTAGGATTACAGGCATGAGCCACTGTACCCAGCCAGATGTTGATATTTCATTTGCTATGTATTGCTGAGAAAGTTAACATCAGTGATGGTTTTGTTTAGGAACAGGTTTGTTTTTTTGAAGATAGACTTCTGGAATTCACAAAACCTGTTAATCTGTATATTGTAATTACAGTACTTCTTTTTTAAAACAAATGTTTAATTAAAAACAAACAAACAAACAAACAAACAAAAAAACCTCACTTTAGGCCAGGCTCAGTGACTCACACCTGTAATCCCAGCATTTTGGGAGGCCAAGGTGGGAGGATTGCTTGATGCCAGGATTTGAAGACCAGCCTTACAACATAATGAGACCCTGTCTCTACAAAAAAAGTTTAAAAAATTATCCAACTGTGGTGGCATGTGCATATAGTCTCAGCTATTTGGGAATCTGAGGTGGGAGGATCACCTGAGCCCTTGAGGCTTGAGTGAGCTATGATCACTCCACTGCACTCCAGCCTGAGTGACAGAGAGACCCTGTCTCTAAAAAAACAAAACAAAAAACTAAAAATCAAAAAACAAAAAAAGTAATGAACTCAGTTGCGGTGGCTCACATTTATCATCACAGCACTTTGGGAGGCTGAGGACAGAGGATCCCTTGAGTCCAGGAGTTTGAGACCAGCTTGGGCAATGTGGCAAAACCCCATTTCTACAAAAAATACAAAAAATTAGCCAGGTGTAGTGGCGCACACCTGCAGTTCCAGCTACTCCAGAGACTGAGGTGGGAGGATCACCTGAGCTCAGGAGGTTGTGGCTGCAGTGAACCGTCATCACACTACTGCACTCCAGCCTGGGTGACAGAGCAAGACCCTATTTCAAAAAGATAAAAAATAAAAAATTAATGAACTCATTTTAGAAAAGAAAGGTTTGCTTTGATTTTTAATTACCCACAATACAGAACTAATCACTGTTATTATTTTGGAATGTTTTCTTCCAGTCTTTCTTAGTTTCATGCATTCTTGTACATAATAGGTATAATGGTTTTATATCATTATATGAATATTTTCTATTGTCTTTGTTTGACAAGACCCTAAGACAAGAGTTCGAATGTCAAGAGATTATTGGTAGGTGATCCCAGGAAACACCCACCAGGGAGTGGGGAAGTGAGACAGGGGAGGGAATGAAGCCAATAAAGGGTATATCATCAGACATGTCCCAGTCTGGGCTACTGGAGAGTAATCCTGCTGAGGAAATTTAGGAGACAGTATAAACGCAAACCTCAGTTACCTGAGGAGTGAGTGAGTGAGTGCCGTTATTTATACACCAGCTCTTGTCTATCTATTAGTTGATTGTTGCTGGAGGAGGGCAGAGGGAGACACTAACTCCCTGGCCTGCCTTGTACTTGGGCTAAACCAACTCTGGTGGAGCAGAAGGATTTGAGGCAGAGATGCCGGAAGTCAGGCTAGTGTGAAATGGTAAGGGCCTGGGGGTTCTGGTCAGGCACTGACAACATCTACTACACCCATCATATTAGTTCATTCTCACACTGCTGTAAAGAAATACCCGAGACTGGGTAATTTATAAAGGAAAATGCTTTAATTGACTCACAGTTCCACATGGCTGAGGGGGCCTCAGGAAACTTACAGTCATGGCAGAAGGTGGGGAAAAAAGGACCTTCTTCACATTGTGGCAGGAGAGAGGGGAGCAAGGAGTGAAGGGGGAAGAGCCCTTTATAAAATACTCACTATCATGGTAACAACTGCCTCCACGATCCAATCACCTCCCATCGGGTTTCTCCCTCAACATGTGGGGATTGTGGCAATCACAATTCGAGATGAGATTTGGTTGGAGACACAGAGCCAAACCCTATCACCTATGTTGTTAAAATTGGCTATGGAATAGTCCACGGTGTGGAGGACTGCTTTCCCAAGGATTTCTCTCCTACAATTACATATTTTCTCTCTCTCCTCACAGCAACATTTCTCAGAGAAGTTGTGTATAACCTCTGTCTTTACATCTTCACATTCCATTCTCTCCTCAATATATTTTAATTAGGGTCTGTCTCCCTCTCTTTAAAATACTGATTTGATCAATTCACCAAAGGTCCCCACGTTGTTAAATACAGTGGCTGCTCTTCTGTCCTCAATTTCCCAGCCTCTCAGAAGCATGGGCTCCAGCTTTCCTTTCTTGAAACATTTTCTTCACTTCTGTGACTCTATTTTTCTTCTCACTTCAGTCTCCTTTGATAGGTTCTCTACCTGGAAATGTTGGGGGGCTGACTTTCTGTTTTTAACTAATGTGTCCAAATATTATCATTTTAACATGTAATCCATGTAAAAAAAATCATTCATGAGACGTTAAACACATTTTTCTTGACACTGTCTTTGAAGTCAGTGTGTTTTATACTTCCAGAACATCTCAACTGGGACCAGCCACATTTCAAGTCCCAAAATGCTCATGTGGATACTGCTACCATATTGTACAGCCAAGGGTCTACGGTATTAGCAAACACTTTTATGGGTGCAAGTGAACATATTTTTCAGTAATTGGAAGGATATTTTTTGCAGGTGTCTTAGTTTGGGTTCCCACAGCAGCAGACTTGAGACAGGATTAGATTGCAAGTAGTTTATTTGGAGGTGATCCCAGAAAACACTTGTAGGGAGTAGAGAAGTAAGACAGAAGAGGGAAGGAAGCCAATACAAGGGGATTTCAAAAAGTTCATGGAATCACAACCAGTTACAGATTTCTTTGCTCCTTTTCCACTCCCACTGCTTCACTTGACTAGCCTAAAAAAAAAAAAAAAAGTTCATGAAAAAAATGGACTTAACAGATAAAAATAAAAAATATAAACTTTATTTCTCAGTGTAAGCTCCATCAAGTTTGAGACACCTTTGTAAGCAATGATACCAGTCATTAGTCCATCCCTAAAGAATTGAGAGTCCTGGCCGGGTGTGGTGGCTCACGCCTGTAATCCTAGCACTTTGGGAGGCTGAGGCGGGTGGATCACCTGAGGTTGGGAGTTTGAGACCAGTCTGACCAACATGGAGAAACTCCGTCTCTACTAAAAATACAAAATTAACTGAGCGTGGTGGTGCATGCCTGTAATCCCAGCTACTCAGGAGGCTGAGGCAGGAGAATCGCTTGAACCTGGGAGGTGGAGGTTGTGGTGAGCTGAGATCATGCCATTGCAGTCTAGCCTGGGCAACAAGAGCAAAACTCTGATTCAAAAGAAAAAAAAAGTATTGAGAGTCCTGGGAATTCAACCATACAGTATTATCAGTAATATCTAAAGAAAAATGAGTGCCCTTTAAATATATTTTAAGATTAGGAAGCAAAAACAAGTCAGAAGGCATCAAATCATAACTGTAATGTGAATACTAGTGATTTCCCATTGAAACGCTTGGGAAATTGTCCTGGTTGGATGAGATGAATGAGCAGGAACATTGTCGTGGTGGAGAAGGACTCTGGTGAAGCTTTCCCAGGCATTTTTCTGCTAACGCTTTGGCTAATTTTCTCAAAACACTCATAGCAAGCAGATGTTATCATTCTTTGCCCTCCAGAACATCAACAAGCAAAATATCTTGAGCATTTCAGAAAACTGTTGTGTGACCCTTGCTCTTGACTGCTCTGTTTGTGCTGTGACTGGACCGCTTCTGCCACTCAGTAGCCATTGCTTTGATTGTGCTTTGTCTTCAGGATCGTACTGCTAAAGCCATGCTTCATCTCCCGTTATAATTCTTTGAAAAAAAATACTTCAGGATCTTGATCTCACTTGTTTAAAACTTCCACTGAAAGCTCTGCTCTTCTCCATAGCTGATCTGGGCAGAGCAGTTTTGACACCTATTGAGTGAAAAGTTTGCTCAACTTTAATTTTTCAGTCAGAGCTGTGTAAGCTGAACCAATTGAGACGTCTGTGGTGTTTGCTATTGTTAATATGGTGTTGGCTGCTGTTAATTGTTGGTCTTCTTCAATTAGGGCACAAACAAGATGATTTTTTTCCATAAAAATTGATGTGGATGGTCTGCCACTGCAGGCCTCATGTTTAACATCTTCTCATCCCTCCTTAAAATAAGTTATCCATTGGTATTTTTTTCTCTTTTCCTTTTTTTTTTTCTTTTTAAGACAAGTTCTCACTCTGTCACTGAGGCTGCAGTGCAGGGGCATAATCACAACTCACTACAACCTTGACCTCCTGGGCTCAATCGATCCTCCTGCCTCAGCCTCCCAAGTAGCTGGGATTCCACCACTATTCCTGGCTAATTTTATTAATTCTTTTGGTAGAGATGGGTTTTCACTATGTTGTCCAGGTTGGGTCACGAACTCCTGGGCTCAACCAATCCTCCCACCACAGCTTCCCAAAGTGCTGGGATTATAGGGGTGAGCCACCACGCCTGGCCAAGTTATTCATGATTTTTTTTTTTTTTTGAGATGGAGTTTTGCTCTTGTTGCCCAGGCTTGAGTGCGGTGGTGCGATCTCAGCTCACTGCAACCTCTATCTGTTAGGCCTCTGAGCCCAAGCTAAGCCATCATATCCCCTGTGACCTGCATGTACACGTCCAGATGCCCAGTTCCTGTCTTAACTGATGACATTACCTTGTGAAATTCCTTCTCCTGGCTCATCCTGGCTCAAAAGCTCCCCAACTGAGCACCTTGTGACCCCCACCCCTGCCTGCCAGAGAACCCCCTTTGACTGTAATTTTCGTTTACCTACCCAAATCTTATAAAACAGCCTCACCCCTATCTCCCTTCGCAGACTCTTTTTGGACTTAGCCCGCCTGCACCCAGGTGAAATAAACAGCCTTGTTGCTCACACAAAGCCTGTTTGGTGGTCTCTTTACATGGACACGAGTGAAACTACCAAGTTCAAGTATTCTCCTGCCTCAGCCTCCTAGGTAGCTGGAGTTACAGGCACCTGCCACCACGCCCGGCTACTTTTTTGTATTTTTAGTACAGACGGGGTTTCACCAAAGTGGCCAGGCTGGTCTCAAACTCCTGACCTCAGGTGATCCACCCACCTCGGCCTCCCAAAGTGCTGGGATTACAGGCCACTGTGCTCAGCCAAATGGTTGCATTCTTCTGAGTTTCTGATAAGTCTCTCCAAAGGAGGCAATTAGAATATGCATCTATCTCTGTGAGCAGAGGGGTGACTTTGAATAGAATGGGAGGCAGATTTGCCCTGAGCAGTTCCCAGCTTGAAGTGGCCCTAATATTTTTTCCTTTGACAAGTCATTCTTTCTTTTTTTTTGAAGGGTGAGGCAGGCAGAATTTATTAAGCGAAAGGAAAGCTCTTGGCAAAGAGAGGGGTTCTCCAAGCAGGTTTCCCCCTCACAGTTGAATACCAGGGCTACCATGGATGAGCTGAAGAGGCCAGGCCCCTCCCCTGCATAAGGCACAAATTCCTGGTGGATCCCCCCCATTCCCCCAGTGCACATGTGGGTGTGCCCAGGCAAGCCATAGGTAGTATCGCAAAAGGCAACATTCGATTGGTTAAAAGGCATTATTCAGAAATAATCATAGTATCCCCAGGTCTAATGCAACCCCTGTCCCCCATTCTACAAATTAGGAGACTGAGGCCAACACAGTGAAGTGACTGGCCCAGTATCATATAGCATGTCACACAGGAAACCAGAGGAAGGGTTAGGCTTACAGGTGGCATGATGGAATTAGCAGTAGAATGCTGTCATGTTTCACCAAAAGCAAAGCTTTAGCCTCACTTAGTGGAGAAGGGAATTGTAGACAGGGAAGTCAAAAGTCACATATTAATTGAAGCAGGCCGAAAAATGAGAGGGAGGTGGCCACTGTGTTCATGCCAGAGAGAACACCTTTGAGTGAGTGACAGAAAGGTGCCCTTTCCAGGGGCTGAGGCAGTCATACCCAGAGCATATAGCTTGGCCAAGGAGCCCAGGATCCCAGCACCCATCCCATGCCTCGTCCCCTCACCTGCGGGCCTTTATACTCACAGCCATAGACAGCGGCCTGCATGGCACTACCAAGAACTACCAGGAGACAAGAAAAGGACGCTCTCTAGAGAAGCCTTCAAAGAAAGCTTATGGCCAGGCCTGGAGGCTCGTGCCTGTAATCCCAACACTTTGGGAAGCCAAGGCAGGATGATGGCTTGAGCCCAGGAGTTCAAGACCAGCCTGGGTAACATAAGACCCTGTCTCTTTTCTTTTTCCCCCAGCTAAACTGTGCATTTATTTATTTTATTTTGTTTTTTATTATTATACTTGATAAGTTTTAGGGTACATGTGCACAACGTGCAGGTTTTGTTACATATGTCTACATGTGCCATGTTGGTGTGCTGCACCCATTAACTCGTCATTTACATTAGGTGTATCTCCTAATGCTATCCGTCCCCCCTCCCCCCACCCACAACAGTCCCCGGTGTGTGATGTTCCCCTTCCTGTGACCATGTGTTCTCATTGTTCAATTCCCACCTATGAGTGAGAACATGCAGTGTTTGGTTTTTTGTCCTTGCGATAGTTTGCTGAGAATGATGGTTTCCAGCTTCATCCATGTCCCTACAAAGGACATGAACTCATCATTTTTTATGGCTGCATAGTATTCCATGGTGTATATGTGCCACATTTTCTTAATCCAGTCTATCATTGTTGGACATTTGGGTTGGTTCCAAGTCTTTGCTATTGTGAATAGTGCTGCAATAAACATACGTGTGCATGTGTCTTTATAGCAGCATGATTTATAATCCTTTGGGTATATACCCAGTAATGAGATTGCTGGGTCAAATGGTATTTCTAGCTCTAGATCCCTGAGGAATTGCCACACTGACTTCCACAATGGTTGAACTAGTTTACAGTCCCACCAACAGTGTAAAAGTGTTCCTATTTCTCCACATCCTCTCCAGCACCTGTTGTTTCCTGACTTTTTAATGATTGCCATTCTAACTGGTGTGAGATGGTATCTCATTGTGGTTTTGATTTGCATTTCTCTGATGGCCAGTGATGGTGAGCATTTTTTCATGTGTCTTTTGGCTGCATAAATGTCTTCTTTTGAGAAGTGTCTGTTCATATCCTTCGCCCACTTTTTAATGGGGTTGTTTGTTTTTTTCTTGTAAATTTGTTGAGTTCCTTGTAGATTCTGGATATTAGCCCTTTGTCTGATGAGTAGGTTGCAAAAATTTTCTCCCATTTTGTAGGTTGCCTGTTCACTTTGATGGTGGTTTCTTTTGCTGTGCAGAAGCTCTTTAGTTTAATTAGATCCCGTTTGTCAATTTTGGCTTTTGTTGCCATTGCTTTTGGTGTTTTAGACATGAGGTCCTTGCCCATGCCTATTCTTAAGACATCTTTAGGCTGGGTGCTGTGGCTCTCACCTGTAATCCCAGCACTTTAGGAGGCTGAGGCTGGCAGATCACTTGAGCTCAGGAGTTTGAGACCAGCCTGGGCAACACAGCAAAACCCCCTCTCTACCAAAAAAATACAAAAGTTAGCTGGGCATGGTGGTGCGTGCCTGTAGTTCCAGCTACTTGGGATGCTGAGATGGGAGGATGGGCTTGAGCCCGGGAGGTTGTAGTGAGCCAAGATTGCACCACTGCACTCCAGCCTGGGTGAGAGCTAGACCCTGTTTCAAAAACAAACAAACAAACAAACAAACAAACAAAAAAGAAGACATCTTCCTCGTCTTTGCAGGCTCATTCCCTGGCCTAGCTGTCATGTATCCAGAAGGCGTTCACTAACGATTTATTGAATGAATGGGAAAAAACCCCCATCCTTTAATTTGTATATTGCCTTCAGAGTGTATTCACAAGTTGTGAGACTCACAATAATCCTGTGAAGAAGGAAGAGTGGGGATTCTGATCCCTATTTTGTTTTTACATGTATTTTTATGTTTTTAGAGACAGGGTCTCTCACTCTGTCTCCCAGGTTGGAGTGCAGTCGTGCAATCAGAGCTCACTGCAGCCTCAAACTCCTAGGCTCAAGTGATCCTCCCATCTTACCCTCCCGAGTAGCTAGGACTACAGGTGTGTGCCACCATGCCTGGCTAATTTAAAAAACATTATTATTACTATTATTATTATTATTTTTTATTTTTATTTTTTGTAGAGACGGCATCTCATCACATTGCCCAGGCTGCTCTCGAACTCCTGGCTTCAAGTGATGCTCCTGCCTTGGGCTCCCAAAATGTTGAAATTATAGGTGTGAGCTACCATGCCCTGCCTGACCCCATTTTATTGTTGTTGTTTTTTTTTGAGATGGAGTCTAGCTCTGTCACCTAGGCTGGAGTGCAGCAGCGAGCTCTTGGCTCATGGCTCACTGCAACCTCTGCAGCCCAGGTTCAAGTAATTCTCCTGCCTTAGCGTCTCAAGTAGGTGGGACTACAGGCGCATGCCACCAAGCCTGGCTAATTTTTATCTTTTTTTTTTTTTTTTTGAGACAGAATCTCGCTCTGTCGCCAGGCTGGAGTGCAGTGGCATGATCTCGGCTCACTGCAACCTCTGACTCCCTGGTTCAAGCAATTCTCCTGCCTCAGTCTCGCAGGTAGCTGGGATTACAGGCACATGCCACCACGCCCAGATCATTTTTGTATTTTTAGTAGAGAGGGGGTTTTGCCATGTTGGCGAGGCTGGTTTCTAACTCCTGACCTCAGGTGATCTGTCTGCCTCCGCCTCCCAAAGTGCTGGGATAACAGGCATGAGCCCCTGCGCCCGCCCCGACCCCATTTTAGACCTGAGAAAAATAAGGGTCAGAAAGGTTAGGTAACAAGTGAAAAGATATAAAGCCCTGGCCCCCTGGTTCCATATCCACTCCTCTCTGCAGTCAGACACTGCTCTATAGTATCTCTTCCAAACACCACATTGTTAATGTTCAGAAAAGAATGTTAAGAAGTTCCAAAAGATCTTAATTAAGAAAAAAATAAGCCTCTGCAGGAGCCGAAGGGACTGAGCACTTTGGCAATTTGGAGATGGCTAATGACGGTTCTTACACAGTTGTTGGGGGTAGGGAGAGCATTCTGGGACAGTCTGACAGAGGAAGTCACTAGACTTCTAACTTTAGTAAACAGGTTCTCTAGCTTGGAAGTAGAACTGGTAGCTCAGCATTTACTGGGCTAGAAAACTTAGGAAGTTTCAAAGGGCACTGTAAATCAGGTGAAGGCTGACTATTTTGGTTTATAGCTTATATTATCTGAGAAAGAGCTATCAGAAAGGTAGGTTATTGAATGATCATAGCTTTCCCACAGTAGTCAACTTAAAATATTGTGTTCCTTTTTGTGACAGAAATTCTGAAACATGAGCTGGTATGCTGGCGAGTGCCTACAATCCCAGGTACTTGGAGGGGTTGAGGCAGGAGGATCCCTTGGGCCCAGCAGCTTGAGTCCAGCCTGGGCAACATACTGAGAGCCCATCTCCAAAAAGAAAACCATTCTCAAACATGCATGAAATGTAAGAAAATAAACCCCTATGACACATCATTTGGCTTCAAAAATTATCAATATTTTGCCATTCTTATGTGCTTGACTTTTTTTTTTTTTGAGACAGAGTCTCACTCTTTAGCCCAGGCTGGAGGGCAGTGGTGTGATCATAGCCTACTGTAGCCTCCAACTCCTGGGCTTAAGCAATCCTCCCACCTGAACCTCCAGCTGGGACTACAGACTCACGCCACCACACCCATCATATTTTTACATTTTTAGTAGAGATGAGGTCTCCCTTTGTTGCCCAGGCTGGTCTAGAACTCCTGGGCTCAAGCAATCCTCCCACCTGAGCCTCCAGGTTACATGGGACTACAGACTTACTCCACCATGCCCATCTAATTTTCACATTTTTAGTGGAGATGAGGTCTCCCTATGTTGCCCAGGCTGGTCTAGAACTCCCGGGCTAAAGCAATCCTCCTGTCTCCACCTCTCAAAGTGCTGGGATTATGGGCTTGTACAGCCTGGAGTGCAGTGGCACCTTCTTTTTTTTTTTGAGACGGAGTTTCACTCTTGTTGCCAAGCTGGAGTGCAGTGGGATGATCTCGGCTCACTGCAACCTCCGCCTCCTGGGTTCAAGTGATTCTTCTGCCTGAGGTTCCTGAGTAGCTGGGATTACAGGCATCCACCACCACACCCAGATAATTTTTTGTATTTTTAGTAGAGATGGGGTTTCACCATGTTGGCCAGGCTGGTCTCGAACTCCTGACGTCAGGTGATTCACCTGCCTCAGCCTCCCAGAGTGCTAGGATTATAGGCGTGAGCCATTGTGCCCAGCCCAGTGGGCACCTTCTTAACTCCTTGTAGCCTGGAACTCCTGGGCTAAAGCCATCCTCCTGTCTCAGCCTCTCGAGTAGCTGGGACTACAAGGGTACGCCACCACACCTGGGCTAATTTTTAAAACTTTTGGTAGAGACAGAGCCTCACTATGCTGGCTAGCCTGTGCTTGACTTTTAAATATGTGTTTGTGTAAGGCTTTCTTTAAAAGCTATTAACTATACTATTTTAGCAAATATACATGGGAAATTATCAAGGAACAATAAAATGATCTTGTTCCAAGCACCATGAACTTGGAGCCTTTCATTTTTTTTCATTCAGGGTGGATATGAAGAGCAGCTGCTGACCTTGTTAAGGTAGCCACAGAAATGACTGAAGACTTAGAGGTGGGAGTACACAAGCTTGGAACAAGATTTTGTTCATTCATTCCTACAGCCATTCAACCAGCATATTCTGGGCACTTCTCATGCACACTGGCCATCCACCAGGGAGACAGGCCATGCTTAGACATAGGCTTATTGCAAATCATGTTTTATCCTTTCTTGGCTCTAAGACTGGACAAGTTCTGCCTTTCAGCTTCACCTTCCTCATCTATAAAGTAAGGATAACCTTGAATGGGGCACTGATAGAATTAAAAGTGAGATAATTGGTCGGGCGTGGTGGTACATGCCTGTAATCCTAGCACTTTGGGAGGCCACGGTGGGAGGATCACTTGAGCCTAGGAGTTTGAGACCAGCCTGGGCAACAAAGTGAGAAATTATCAAGGAACAATAAAATGATCTTATTACAAAGAAAACCAAATTCTCAAACATGCATGAAATATGAAGAAAATAAACCTCCATGACAATCATTTGGCTTCAAAAATTATCAGTATTTGAACTTGGAGCCTTTGATTTTGATTTTTGCATCTCTACAAAAATTACAAAATATGAGCCGGGTGTGGTGGCGGGTGCCTGTAGTCCTAGCTACTTAAACTGAGTTGGGAGGATTGCTTGAGCCCTGGGAGGTCGAGGGTGCAATGAGCCATAATCGTGACACTGTGTGTGAGACTGCCACACACACACACACACACACACACTAGTGAGGCTACGCACTCAGAAATGCACATGAACATCACTGGTATTCTGGAACCCACGTGTCGTTTGCCACTGTTATCTGTTAGGCTTTAGGGCTTGACGACAGAAATCATCAGGCAGTCTCTCTTTCCTCTTATATTCCTTTCCCAATCTAAGGGGGCAGCAAAAAGCTCAGAGGTCCACCGTAGCATGCAACATGTGAGATGCCTAAAGCCCGCCCCCATCGACGACAGCATTCATCCATCTCCCGAATTCATCTGGGTCATACTCTCGAGTTACCCGGCTTTCTTGAGGTCTTGCAGCTCTACAAGGATAATCTGTGGCTAAACTTTGCTGTCGTCCAAGGTCAAATGTTTGGCTCACAGGTTGAAGAGCCTCCCATGGCACCGTCGTTTGGTCCTGAGAAGGGAAAGGCGCCCAGGGGGCGGGCTGCTAGAGCACGAGGCAGCTGTCTCCCAGTCTTCCCAAACCCGTAGCCGAGGGGGCGTTTCTGCGGCGCAGGGGCGGGCACAGCCGACGCCTCCCTGCTCCACCTTCTGTGTCGGCGCCTAGACTCGGATAGTGAATTTCGGAAAGTTTCACTCGGGTTCGTGCACGTGGGCACCTCCGGACCCGGCCTCCTTGCCGCGCGCTCTGCTACCCTCTCCATCCAGCGGCGCAGGCGGCCCTCGCCTCACCCCTGGGCGTAGCTCTGGGCTCCCTTTGGCGTCGCCAGCTTCGCCTCCTCCCGCCGCGTCTCCTCCCGCCGCGTCACCCGTCGGTCCCGGCCGCGCTCGCACGCGGTGCGCAGCTCCCGGGCTCCAGGCGGCGGCGCGTAGCGGGCGCCCCCGAGGCGGCGGGCCTGAGAGGCGGGGACGGGGCGTGCCGCCGGCGCCCGGCTCCCGGAAGCGGCTGCTTCACAGGCTCCAGCCGAGCGGACAGGCGTGGCGGCCGGAGCCCCAGCATCCCTGCTTGAGGTCCAGGAGCGGAGCCCGCGGCCACCGCCGCCTGATCAGCGCGACCCCGGCCCGCGCCCGCCCCGCCCGGCAAGATGCTGCCCGTGTACCAGGAGGTGAAGCCCAACCCGCTGCAGGACGCGAACCTCTGCTCACGCGTGTTCTTCTGGTGAGTGTCCCCGCCCGAAACAGGTCACCCTGCAGCCGCTGGCGCCGCGGACGCACTCTCCCGGGGCCGCGCCCGATGCTGCCCAAGCCCTCTGCGGCTGGGGGCGAGGGGAGCGCTTTCCTACGCCACGCGGTCCACGCCGGGGCTTTCTGCTGCGGGTGGCGCCGCCCCCACGCCGGCCGCGTGGTCCCTGCCTGCGCCCCGGGGCGCGGCGCAGGGGGACGCGGGGACGCGGGGCCAGTGGCTTTGCTACTGGAGGCCCTGCGGGCCCTTAGGGCTCGGGGGAGGAGGAGCAGGAGGTGGGGAGGCGGGGAACCCAGGCTGCCGAAAGGGGGAGTCTCTTGCCCAGCGGGAGAAGCGACTGCACCCCTTACACGCCCACCCTTCGCTGGCTCCCGCCTCCTGCTCTGGGACTCGCAGTCTCCTGAACTCAAACGCACCTTTTCCTTTCTTTTTAAGTAAGCAGCTTACGAACAGTTTCCTTTATCTGATCTCAGCCAAAGCCTAATTAGTGTCCTGGACCTATGCCATCTCCCAGTAGTGTCCCCACCCCTTCCGATATTCCTTACGAGACAGCTCGATCCAACTCCACGTCCCGTTGTACCTCTCTGTGTCCCGGTGTCTCTGTATCTTTTGTCTCAGTGACCAGGGCTCTCCTTTTGCCTCTTTGTGGGAATCTCACTGTGTGTCCATGTGGGTCGTGGTACCTAGTTATGGCAAGTTTCATGTGGGTAAAATAACACTATTATTATTTTTCATTTATGAATGGGGACCCTGTTCTTGAACAAGATTTTCCAGGATTTGCTTTTAACTGGGACATGCACCGCCACGACTGGAGTCTGTCTTTGACCAGCTTCTTTCCCCTGTTTCCAATACTTTCACTTCCACGTAGGAGGACAGCTCGGAGGTGGGGTCCCTGGAATCGCTAACCTTCAGAGAGGTGATCCATGGTCTTGATGCAGGTGGTTCCTACCAGGAGTTCTACCTTCTTAAAACCACCCCAGGGCTCCTGAGCTGGGAGGGCCCACAGCCCTACCCATTTTGTGCAAGGAAACAAACGGAGAAAGACTCGGGTGACAGTAGTAACTAAAATTTCCATCTTGGCCTGGCGCGGTGGCTCACGCCTGTATCCCTGCACTTTGGGAGGCAGAGGTGGGTGGATCACGAGGTCAGGAGTTCGAGACCAGCCTGGCTGACATGGTGAAACCCCGTCTCTACTAAAAATACAAAAATTAGCCGGGTGTGGTGGAGCACGCCTGTAATCCCAGCTACTCAGGAGGCTGAGGCAGGGGAATTGCTTGAACCCAGTAGGCGGAGGTTGCAGTGAGCTGAGATCGCCCCACTGTACTCCAGCCTGGGTGACAGAGTGAGACTCCGTCTTGGGGGAGTGGCGGGTGTGTGTGGGGGAATTCCGTCTGCTAACTACATAAGCCTGAACCTTTGAAGGGCTTCAATCTCACTTGGATGATTATTAGATCTTCTGTTTCTTGACCTCTGCCGCCTCATCTTTCCCACATGTTGATATTGCCTTTTATTATGGGACAACCTAGGGTGGGGGTCTCCAATTTTTTGGGTTCCCTGGGCCACACTGGAAGAATTGTCTTGGGCCATACATAAAATACACTAACACTAATCATACACTAACACTAATGATAGCTGATGAGCTAAAAAAAAATCGCAAAAAAAAATCTGATGTTTTAAGAAAGCTTACGAATTTGGCAGCCCATGGGCCTCAGGTTGGACAAGCTTGACCTAGGGGATTCCAAGAGGATGAGTCGCTTACTCTTGTTTCGATTGTGGTACACTCAGTGGGTGTAGGAACTTCTCTTGGTTGTTTGGCGGCCTTTCTCTTAAGGAGAGGGGCACGTGGAGGAGGAAGGAATATGGGTGTGGTTTCTGCAAATAATAACTTGAGGTAGACAAATGGTCTCCTCAACTTCAGGCAGGGCAAGGAACTTTTTTTTTTTTTTTTTGAGACAGGATCTTGCTTTGTGCAAGCTGTGACCCAGGCTGGAGGGCAGTGACACATTCATAGCTTGCTGCAGCCTCCAACTCCTGGGCCGAAGCAATCCTCCTGCCTCAGCCTCCCGAGTAGCTGGGGCTCCAGGTGTGTGTCACCATGCCCGGATAATAAAAAAAAATTTTTTTTGTAGAGATAGGGCTCTCTATGTTGTTGCTCAGGCTGGTCTTGAACTCCTGGGCTCAAGTGTTCCTCCCGCTTCGGCCACCCAAAGTCTGGGATTACAGATGTGACTCCTGCCTCCTTATATTTTTCTCCCCCTGCATTTTCAAAATGTAGGTGGCAGGGAAATAGGAAGTGATGCGCTCCCATTGATGACTTGAGTAGGTGTTCATTTCCGGTTTCCCTGATGGAAGGGAAGGAGCTAGTAGACCTCTGTTTTACTCCGAGGACACTTAAGCTGAGAGTGGTTAAGTTGCCTGGACTCACACAACAATCAAGTGTCAGAGCAGGCTCCAAAGCTGGGCAGACTGGCTCCCCAGCCTCTTTGGAGCTGCTGTACTGAGCTGCTTCCAGTTCAGGTGCTGTCGGAAATGCATGGAGAAGGCGCTCCCTGTTCTGGAAGGCTAGAGTTTCTCAAGGGAAATTCTTAAAGTACCTGCAGTTGGAGATGATGCATGTGTAACAACTATTAGTGTGCTTTAGGGCAGCTGTTCTCAAAGCATAGCACTCAGAGCAGCAGCATCGGCATCACTTGGGAGATTCTAAGAGATGCAGATTCTCCAGCATCCACTCTGGACTGATTCAGTAAAACTGGAAACACTGGGTGTGTGGGTGGGGGTGGTGAGGTTTCAAGTGCTCCAGGTGATCCTGATTTGAGGCGCTTACTGCTTCCAGCTACTCCTTTCATTGGAGTATTATTACAGTATTATGCTTTTCTTTATTTTTAATTGTTAAAATTTCTTTATTTCTTTTTTTTGAGACGGAGTCTTTCTCTGTTGCTCAGCTCTGTCACCCAGGCTGGAGTGCAGTGGTGCAATCTCTGCTCACTGCAACCTCTGCCTCCTGGGTTCAAGTGATTCTCCTGCCCCAGTCTCTCAAGTAGCTGGGACTATAGGCGTGCACCCTCACACCCAGCTAATTTTTGTATTTTTGGTAGAGATGGGGTTGCACCATGTTGGCCAGGCTGGTCTTGAACTCCTGACCTCAGGTGATCTGCCCGCCTTGGCCTCCAAAAATGCTGGGATTACAGGCATGAGCCACTGTGCCTGGGCCAGTTTGAGGGATTTTAAAGTCTGAGGCCTCATAGTGAGAAAATAATAATAATCATCATCTGAGGAATGCGGAGTCCTTTTAAATTATCAGGCCCAGAGAGACATTAAAATGACACAGCAGTCACCTCGTAGTTCCCACCCCCTTGAGCTATTTACTTATCACTCGAAAGTACTTCATATTGCCACATAGCTACAGATTAACCTAACAGTGCCCCAAGGACACTGTAATCCACAGCTCAGGAGTTTGAGCTCCAGCGATCTGCCTGCCTCGGCCTCCCAAAGTGCTGGGATTACAGGCATGAACCACCACACTGGGTCTGTAGTAAATTCTTGAGTTATATTTTGTGCCTTAGCCTCCTGCTTTTAGGTCAGTATTTGTGTACCCTTCCCACTGCCAGTGGAAAGCTGAAATGAGCCCATCCAGGAAGTGGCTGCCTGGAGACAGGGCCCACCTTGTAGGGAAAAACTGCTTTTTCACCTTCTTGTTGAGTGTTTGCTTTTCTTCTCAAATATCATCTGCTTTCTGAACTTGTGAACTGGCAGCTGCCTACCTAAATGATGCCAATAACTGGCTTACTGACTTTTATTCAAAGTATTTTCCCGGGATTTTGGTGTATTTATAGCATAATTTGGACTTGGAGTCTAAAAGGAGTCATGCATTATGGCTGTTGGCAATTGTGGATTTTTAAAGGTAGTATTTTCACCTATTTCTTTCTTTTTTCTTTCTTTTTTTTTTTTATGAGACAGAGTTTTAGCTCTGTTGCCAGGCTGGCCGTGGTGTGATCTCGGCTCACTGCAACCTCCGCCTCCAGGGTTCAAGTGATTCTCCTGCTTCAGACTCCCAAGTAGCTGGGATTACAAGTGCCCACCACCATACCTGGCTAATTTTCATGTTTTTAGTAGAGACAGGGTTTCACCATGTTGGCCAGGCTGGTCTCGAACTCCTGACCTCAGGTGATACACCTGCATCGGCCTCCCAAAGTGCTGGGATTACAGGTGTGAGCCACTGTGCCTGGCCTTCCATTTTCTTTTAGCTATTGTTTCATTTCTAACAATAAAGGCAGCTAGAATTTCTTTTGGTATTTGATATGAGATAGTCCCCATTTTTTCCCCAAACAGCTCGTTTTCCCCATTATCATTTATTGAATAATTCCTCCTCTTTCCCGTTAGTGGAAATAAGTGGCATAGCCTATGAACTGTGGCCAGCTGGGCACAAGATGGGTCAATCCCTGAGACTCTCCTAGGAATTGTCCTGCTGCCCCCTGGTGCCCGGCAGGCACTTTGCATTCCTCTGCCCACACCTGATCCAGAGGTGATCTGGGGTCAGCAGCAGGGTGGAGGCTAACAACGAAGGACTTTTCCCTAAATATGGGCATTGAGAGGGATCTCCAGATGCATCTGGCCCACAGAAAGTGGTTAAATCCTTGCTCCCCTGTTGCTGGCCATATCTCAGTGGGTGAAGTGTCATCTTGCAAAGCCTGTGCTGCTGTGGAAACTGCCACTGGTGACCAGACAGACTCTCTGGAGACCTGCCCTAGAGAGCTGATGACATGACTATAGAAGCAAACACAAGTGGCTGAGGGCAGGGGATGGCTTAGAGAGGAAGGGTGTGTGAGGCCCTCAGTCAATGCATCAAATGTTTAATTTTATATTTTCTTTTTCTATAATAAAAAAAATATTTTTCTTGTAGAGATGAGGTCTCACTATGTTGCCCAGGCTGGTCTCAAAATCCTGGGCTCAAGCAGTCCTCCTGCCTTGGTTTTCCCAAGCGTTGGGATTACAGGAATGAGCCACTATTCCTGGCCATTTAATTTTGTGTTTTTGTGTGTGTGTGTGTGTGTGTGTGTGTGTGTGTGTGTGTGTGTGTGTGTTTTGAGACAGGGTCTTGCTCTGTTGCCCAGGTGGGAGTGCAGTGATGCAATCATGGCTCATTGTAGCCTCAAATTCCTAGGCTTAAGTGATCCTTCCAGCTCAGCCTCCCAAGTAGCTGAGCTACAGGTGCACGCCACCACACCTAGCTAAAGTGTTTTTTTTTTTTTTTTTTGACGGAGTCTCACTGTCACCCAGGCTGGAGTGCAGTGGTGTGATCTCAGCTCACTGCAACCTCTGCCTCCTGGGTTCAAGTGATTCTCCTGCCTCAGCCTCCCAAGTAGCTGGGACTACAGGTGCCTGCCACTATGCCCAACTAATTTTTTTGTGTGTTTTTAGTAGAAATGGGGTTTCAGTATGTTGGCCAGGCTGGTCTTGAACTCCTGACCTTGTGATCCGCCCTCCTTGGCCTCCCAAAGTGCTGGGATTACAAGCATGAGCCACCGCACCTGGACACCTAGCTAATTTTTTGAGGGGCGGGGGACGGAGTCTTGCTCTGTTGCCCAGTCTGGAGTGCGGTGGCGTGATCTTGGGTCACTACAATCTCTGCCTCCAGGGTTCAAGTGATTCTCCTGTCTCAGCCTCCTGAGTAGCTGGGACTACAAGCGCACGCCACTGCATCCAGCTAATTTTTGTATTTTCAGTAGAGATGGGATTTCATCATGTTGACCAGGATGGTCTTGATCTTCTGACCTTGTGATCTACCCACCTCGGCCTCCCAAAGTGCTGGGATTACGGGGGCGAGCCACTGTGCCTGGCCAGTAATTTTTATTAATACATTTTTGGTAGAGACCAGGTCTCGCTGTGTTGCCCATGTTGGTCTTAAACTCTTGGCTTCAAGTGATTCTCCCGCCTTGGCCTCCCAAAGTGCTGACATTGCAGGTGTGAGTCACTGTGGCCGGCCAAATAGTAAATTTCTGTGTCTGCAGAATCACAGTCTCTTGGGGTTGAGCATCCTGAAATCTGCATTTTTTAAAGCATTATTTCCTGGTTGATTCAGATGCTGAGATTTGGGAGCCACGTTTCTCAGGTCTTTCTCAGTCTTTGGTGTCCAATTCTACTTGATCGGTGTCTGGGAGGCCAAGGTTACTGCCTTGATCCTCTGCGGTTTAGATTATTCATTTAGCAAACATTTGAGTGCCTTATTTTTATTTTATTTTTTGTTTTTAATTTTTTAATTTTTGAGATGGAGTTTCACTCTTGTTGCCCAAGCTGGAGTGCAGTGGCGTGATCTCGGCTCATTGCAACCTCTGCCTCCGGAGTTCAAGCGATTCTCCTGTCTCAGCCTCCCAAATAGCTGGGACTACAGATGTGCGCCACCATGCTCAGCTAATTTTTTGTACTTTTAGGAGAGATGGGGTTTCAACATGTTGTCCAGGCTGGTCTTGAACTCCTGACCTCGGGTGATCCACCCACCTGGGCCTCCCAAAGTGCTGGGATTACAGGCGTGAGCCGCCATGCCCAGCCTGGACTATGTTTTCTACCCCAACCTTGTGGTCAGAGGTGACCATGAAACTGAGACCTGGCCAATAGGAAGTGGTTGCAAAAGGTGTCTCGCTTCCACGACTGGAACACAAAAACCAGCCCCATGCAACGCCTCTCCAGCTGAATAAAGAGGCCTCCTGGAGAGGAGGAGGACTGAGAGGAGGCCGAGCCGCAAGATGGTGAAAGTCCAGCTAGGAGTAAATGTATGGTGTTGTTCACCACCCTAGATGGCCCAAAAGGGGACTATAGCATGACAATAGGCATGGTCTTGGTTTCTTGTTTTCTTTTTTGAGACGGAGTCTATCTCTGTCTTGCAGGCTAGAGTGCAGTGGCGTGATCTCGGCTCACTGCAACCTCTGCCTCCCGGGTTCAAGCGATTCTCTTGCCTTAGCCTCCTCCCAAGTATCTGGGATTACAGGAGCTCAAAACCACGCCCGGATAATTTTTTATTTATTTATTTATTTTGTATTTTTAGTAGAGAAGGGGTTTTGCTGTGTTGGCCAGGCTGGTCTCCAACTCCTGACTTCATGTGATCCACTGCCTCGGCTGGTGATTTTGAATTAAGCCATTGAGAATCAGGGCTTGTTTAATAGCTAGCATTATTTGCACGATACAGTGGCTGCCTCCCTCATTGTGTGAGCTCTTTGAGAACAGGAATGGTACTTTATTGTAATGGATTTGCACCTGGCAAGAAAGAAGGCACCCTGCCTTCTTTCATGGTGGCACATGCCTGTAATCCCAGCTACTTGGGAGACCGAGCAGGAGAATCGCTTTAACCCAGGAGGTGGAGGCTGCAGTGAGCCAAGATTGCACCACTGCACTCCAGCCTGGGCTACAGAATGAGACTCTGTCTCAAAAAAAAAAAAAAGCAAAAGAAAACGTAGTCCAGGCTGGGTGCGGTGGCTTATGCCTGTAATCCCAGCACTTTGGGAGGCCGAGGCAGGTGGATCACAAGGTCAGGAGTTCAAGACCAGCCTGGCCAACGTAATGAAACCCCGTCTCTACTAAAAATACAAAAATTAGCTGGGCGTGGTGGCATGCACCTGTAGTCCCAGCTACTCGAGAGGCTGAGGCAGGAGAATTGCTTGAACCCGGGAGGCAGAAGTTGCAGTGAGCCAAGATCACGCCACTGCACTCCAGCCTGGGCAACAGAGCGAGACTCCATCTCAAAAAAACATAGTCCGTGTGTCCAGCAGTCGCTGCTGCAGGAGTTCATCCTGAACCCGTGTTGGGTGTGCTGGAGTAGAAGTATGGAAAAGCTGTGTGAGGGTGGGGATTTTGTTTTTGTTTTTGTTTTTTGAGATGGAGTCTCTGTCGCACAGGCTGGAGTGCAGTGGCATGATCTCGGCTCACTACAACCTCCGCCTCCCGGGCTCAAGCGATTCTCCTGCCGCAGCCTCCCAAGTAGCTGGGATTACAGATGTGCACCACCAGGCCTGGCTAATTTTTTTGTTGTTGTTAGAGACAGGGTTTTGCCATGTTGGCCAAGATGGAGATCTCTGGGGAGGGGTTTACCTTCCTGTTGGAGCTTGGATGGAGAAGGTGGGAAATCGTTCCTGGCAGGGGATGAGATGTCCAGGTCACAGAACTGCAGTTGGAGAAAGTGTTGCCTGAGACGTGTGGCGAATGACCACCCCTCAGTCGCTATGTCGTCCCTGCCAGCCGGTAGCGTTTGTTACACCCAAGGTTGCCCTCCCCTCTTTCATCCCAGCAGATGTTCAGACTTTGCTTCTCCCACTTCCAGCCCCTTACTCATGAGTACTTACAGCCCTTTTGTGGCCTGCGACGTAGCTCCTTGTTCCATTTCTGGGTTCCATGACCACTTCCGTGCTGGTCTGTTTCAGGCCTAGTCCCTGTCTGCTCTTTTCTCTGCGCTAGCTCCTATCTTCCCCTTTTCCTTAGTGTCATAGAATTAGTGGGTTGAAAGGAAGAGATCTTCTAGCCCACACTCAGTACAGGAATCCCTTCCAGATACTGGGCAGTGGGGAAATGCATTATGTGACTCTCATGACTTTAGATTCGAATGCCAGAATTATGTTGTATTGAGCCACAGTTTT
Organism: Homo sapiens; assembly: GCF_000001405.40. Taxonomy (NCBI): domain Eukaryota; kingdom Metazoa; phylum Chordata; class Mammalia; order Primates; family Hominidae; genus Homo; species Homo sapiens. Next base: position 95,292,595 of record NC_000013.11, on the reverse strand, counting down.
CTTTCCATGCAATTTCTACTTGTGTTTACTTACTTCTAAGAAAAGCATTACAGAATTTAATGAAGCAAAGAATGATCTGTGAATCAAGCAGCTCCTAGAACCAAAATAGGTTCAGAGCCGCTCTCCTTTGTTTTTTTGTCAACACGCAGAGCAAGTTGGCTACCTCCCTTCATATGCTCGCCTCATAGTATTCAAAGACAGCTATCATGGCCACATTAAATCTTTGTTTCTTTGTTTGAGACAGGGTGTCACTCTGTCACCCAGGCTGGATTGCAGTGGTGCGATCTCAGTTCACTGCAACTTTCACCTCCTGGGCTCAAGCCATCCTTCCACCTCAGCCCCCTGAGTAGCTGGGACCACAGGTGTGTGCCAGCATGCCCAGCTAATTTTTTATATTTTTTGTAGAGATGAAGTTTTGCCATGTTGCCCTGGCTGGTATTGAACTCCTGGGCTCAAGTGATCCTCCCGCCCTAGCCTCCAAAAGTGCTGGGATTACAGGCATGCGCCATGGTGCCTGGACAGGAGTTTATTTTTGACCCTGTTAAGTTTGAGATGCCTGCTACACATTCAAGTGGAGATGTTGAATAGGCATTCAATTGGTCATGAGTTTGGGGCTCATGGAGAAGTTTATCTTATTATTATTATTTCTTTAAATGGAGTTTCACTGTGTTGCCCAGGCTGGCGTGCAGTGGTATGATCTTGGCTCACTGCAACCTCCACCTTCTGGTTCAAGCAATTCTCGTGCCTCAGCCTCCCGAGTAGCTGGGATTACAGGCACGCGCCACCACACCCAGCTAATACTTGTATTTTAGTAGAGATGGAGTTTCATCATGTTGGCCAATGTGGTCAGGAAGTTTATGTCAATTTGGGCATCATCAGTGATACATGCAGTTGAGCTATATTGGACACATGGCCAATTGACCTCACAGTCCGCAGGGCTTGTCCCCATGTAACTGCTCTTCTATCCCTATGCAAATTCATTTTGTAGATGCTAACGTTTAGCAGCTCATTGTTGCTGTTGAAAGTTCTTGGAACACTTTCGTAGTCTGAATGCTAGAAAGGATGGGTCCTAGGAATGTCCTCTAGGTTGTGGCAGATCCACTAATCAACACTGTGGTTGCTAGATTAACTTGGCCACAAGTGTCAAGAGAGGTCGTGTCATATGGAGGTCTGCTTTATGGAAGTCAAGAGGTATTGGAGTATTGGATCACCTGGGCACTTCTGTCTTTTTTTTTTTTTTGAGACAGGATCTTGCCTTGCCAGCCAGCCTTGGAGTGCAGTGGTGCATTCATAGCTTATTGGAGCCTTGACTTCCCAGGCTCAAGTGATCCTACTGCTTCAGCCCCCCAAGTAGCTGGGACTACAGGTGCGGGCCACCACAGCTGGCTAATTTTTCTAATTTTTTGTAGAGGTGGGGTTTTGCCATGTTGCCCAGACTAGTCTCGAACTCTTGAGCTCAAGTGATCCACCTGCCTTGGCCTCCCAAAATGCTGGGATGACAGGTGTGAACCGTCATGCCCAGCCTGGGCAGTCATTCAGAAACCCTACCAAGAAAAGGGTTAAAGTCATTTGGCATGGTTTCCTCTTTTTTTTTTTTTGAGACAGGGTCTTGCTCTGTCGCCCAGGCCGAAGTGCAGTGGCGCAACCTCAGCTCAGTACAACCTCTGCCTCCCGGGGTTCAAGCGGTTCTCCTGTCTCAGCCTCCCGAGTAGCTGGGATTACAGGTGCTTGCCACCACACCCGGCTAATTTTTGTATTTGTATTTTTTATTTTTATTTATTTTTTTGAGATGGAGTTTTGCTCTTTTTGCCCAGGCTGGAGTGCAATGGCGCGATGCTACTGTGCCTGGCCTCACGATTTCCTCTTTTTTTTTTTTTTTTTTTTTTTTTTGAGACAGAGTTTTGCTCTTGTTGCCCAGGCTGGAGTGCAATGGCACGATCTTGGCTAACTGCAACCTCTGCCTCCCAGGTTCAAGTGATTCTCCTGCCTCAGCCTCCCCAGTAGCTGGGATTATAGGCATGTGGCACTACGCCTAGCTGATTTTTGTATTTTTAGTAGAGATAGGGTTTCACCATGTTGGCCATGCTAGTCTCGAACGCCTGACCTCAGGTGATCCACCTACCTTGGCCTCCCAAAGTGCTGGGATTACAGGCGTGAGACACCACACCCGGCCATGATTCCTCTTAACACAAGCTGGCTCTTGGTGCTGCTTTTCATGAATATACTCTCAAATTGCTCCCTTCAAATGATTGTTGATGTGCATTATTTCTTTTAACCTTATTAGCTTTATTTTTTCTAAATTCTTTTTAGATTACATAGCAGTTTCTTAGCCCTCACCATGATTGGATCACCTGGACAGCCATAAAAATATGGATGTCTGTTCCCCTTATAGGCCAATTGGAAAAATAATTTCTGGGGGTGGGATCCACGCATCTATCTATCTATCATCTATCTATCTATCTATCTATCTATCTATCTATCTATCTATCTATTTTTTTTGAGACAGAGTTTTGCTCTTGTTGCCCAGGCTGGAGTGGAATGGTGTGATCTTGGCTCACCGCAACCTCTGCCTCCCGGGTTCAAGCAGTTCTCCTGCCTTAGCCTCCTGAGTAGCTGGGATTATAGGCATGCGCTACCATGCCTGGCTAATTTTGTATTTTTAGTAGAGATGGGGTTTCTCCATGTTGGCCAGGCTGGTCTCGAACTCTCGACCTCAGGTGATCCGTCAGCCTTGGCCTCCCAAAATGCTGGGATTACAGGTGTGAGCCACCGCGCCCCGCACATCAATATTTTAAAAAGGTTCTCTACGTTTCTGATGGGCACTGAAGCCCAAGAACCACTGATCAACTGCTTGCCAAAGTCAAAAATATTTCTGTGCATATTTCCATTTTTCTGGCCAAAGGTTCGCTGCCCCTTTTTCAGGTTCCTCTCAAAGGACTTGTCTGATCTCAAAGCATGAGAACCATTACCACAATAGGACTTACTCCCCTCTGTGGGTGCTCAGCCAGTGGCTGAGGGAGAAGGGGGATTGCTCCGTGCCAGGGATGTTGTTAGAGATGCCGGGTTCTTCGATTTTTATAGTAACCCCTTGTTGAGGGTGGCTCTGCTCTTGTGTTACATACAGGTGAAGGAAACTGAGAGAGTCCAGGTAGCATAATGAGGGTCACCCAGGCAGGACATGATGGAGTTGGGAACTGAGTCAAGTCTGACAAATTCCAAAGCATGAGCTGCAGCCTCTGCGTCACTATGTTTATTTTCTCACCCTGGGTCAGAGATTAATTGAGCTCATGAGAGTACTTGACAGGAAATCTCACACTTGTGAATTCAGAGCTCGTGAGCATAAAATTGCTCTTCTAATCACTTGCTTTTATTTGCTGATCTTTATTGGTGCATTTTATTGGTCAGGATGTGATTGAGATTATGTAATAAACCCAACTGACCGCTTCTTTTAACTTCTGCTATTGAAGTAATCCCTCAGATTACTGTCTTGAGAGACGGAGAGTGCATACAGTCCAACAGTGTGTACTCTTCCTCTTTAAAGACAGTAGAAAGGTATCCATCTTGTTTTAAATAGTAGCAGGGAGGTTTATCAATGGCTTAACATGGTAGGCTGGGCCTGGAGAGCTCTCAATGTAACAGAGCTCAAATGTGGCATTTACATGAATTCTAAGTTGATTAAGCGACACAATTTGTTCAACTATAAAACATAATACATTCTTAATAGATTTTACCTATTATTGTATATGTAAGTTCCTAGTACATATTAGGCTGTAGGTAAATGGGATGATGAGGGTTCTTGCTAAATTTATCCCCCATCCTTTTTTTTTTGAGTCAGAGTCTTGCTCTTGAGCAACCTCCACCTTCTGGGTTCAAGCAGTTCTCCTGCCTCAGCCTCCCGAGTAGCTGGAATTACAGGCTTGTGCCATGACACCTGGCTAATTTTTGTATTTTTAGTAGAGATGGGACTTTGCCATGTTGGCCAGGCTGGTCTTGAACTCCTGACCTCAGGTGATCCGCCCACCTCAGCCTCCCAAAGTGCTGGGATTACAGGCATGAGCCACTGCGTCCAGCCTAAATTTACCCTTTTATCATGCCTTTTTTATTGTCTTAAGTCTTTAAGTCTTATTTAAGTCTTGACTCATTTGCGACTTTTTTACTAAATTGTTAGCTCTATTAAGGCAGAAACCAGTATCTTCAATGTCTTAATCTCTCAGTGACTGGTTTAACATCTTGCAATTAATATGCTTAATTAATGTTTATAAGCTATTACTTTAGTCTTAATCTCAATTTCTTGAATTTAGAGTTGCTGACACCTGTGTCTTAGGTAGGACCAAGTGAGAAGCTAGTTATTGTGACAGCCTCAGACTGGAGCCAGAAGACCCATGATCTTGTATATATTAGCTGTGTGTGACCTTAGGCAAGACACATGACCACTCTGGGCTTCAGTATCCTATTCTATGATTTAGAAAAATTAAACCTACTCATGGCATGTTTTAAGAACTATATTTTAAAAATACATTATAAAATATTTATTTATTTATTTATTATTTGTGTGAGGCAGAGTCTCACTCCGTTGCCCAGGCTGGAGTGCAGTGGTGCGATTTCGGCTCACTGCAACCTCCGTCTCCCGGGTTCAAGTGATTCTCGTGCCTCAGCCTCCCGAGTAGCTGGGACTATAGGTGCATGCCACCATGCCTGGCTAATTTTTTGTAGTTTTAGTAGAGACGGGGTTTCACTGTGTTAGCCAGGATGGTCTTGATCTCCTAACTTCGTGATCTGCCAGCCTTGGCCTCCCAAAGTGCTGAGATTACAGGTGTGAGCCACCTCATCTGGCCTATTTATTTATTTATGAGGTCTTTCTGTGTTGCCCAGGCTAGAGTGTAGTGGCTATTCACAGGCACACTACATCCTCAAATTTATGGCCTCAAGAGGTCCTCCTTCCTGATCCTCCCAAGTATCTGGGACTGGCTCCAAGAGGTGTATTTTAAGGAAAAAGTTTTTTTTTTTTTGAGACGAAGTCATGCCCTTCCACCCAGGCTGGAGTGCAATGGCGTGATCTTGGCTCACTGCAACTTCTACCTCCCAGATTCAAACGATTCTGCTGTCTCAGCCTCCTGAGTAGCTGGGATTACAGGTGCCTGCCACCATGCCCAGCTAATTTTTGTATTTTTAGTAGAGACGGGGTTTCACCATGTTGGCCAGGCTGGTCTTGAACTCCTGACCTCGTGATCTGCCCACCTTAGCCTCCCAAAGTGCTGGGATTAGAGGCGTGAGCCACCATCCCTGGCCAGTTCTCTTTTTTTGGAGACAGAGTTTTGCTCTGTTGCCCAGGCTGGAGTGCAGTGGCACAATCTTGGCTCACTGCAACCTTCTGGGTTCAAGTGATTCTCATGCCTCAGCCTCCCAGGTAGCTGAAACTATAGGCATGTGCTACCATACCGGGCTAATTTTTTGTATTTTATTAGAGATAGGTTTCACCATGTTGCCCAGGCTGGTTTCAAACTGCTGAGCTCAGCCAATCTGCCCACCTTGGCCTCCCAAAGTGCTAGAGTTACAGGCGTGAGCCATCGTGCCCGGTCAATGAAACAATAAAGTTCTATACACTTATTTTTCTTTTCTTTTCTTTTTTTTTTTTTTTTGAGACAGAGTTTCACTCTTGTTGCCCAGGCTAGAGTGCAATGGCATGGACTCAGCTCACTGCAACCTCTGCCTCGGGGTTCAAGCAATTCTCCTGCCTCAGCCTCCTGAGTAACTGGGATTACAGGCGTGTGCCACCACACCTGGCTAATTTTTGTATTTTTAGTAGACAAGGGGTTTCACCATGTTGGCCAGGCTGGTCTCGAACTCCTGACCTCAGGTGATCCACCTGCCTCAGCCTTCTAAAGTCCTGGGATTACAGGCGTGAGCCTCCGCGCCCGGCCTTATACACTAATTTTTCTCCCTCACCTCCAATCAAGCAGGGAAAGTGAATATGGAAGTAGGTCAGTGTATAATGTCCCATCTCTGGTGAATGGAGAAGTCACCTGTTTGTAAGTCCCCCCAGAAATGAAGATCTATTAAAAAAACAAAGGCCACAAAGGGAAATTTAATTCATACTCAGAAGTGGGCCACTATCTATGGAAGTACTTGGAAAATAATAAGGTGCGTTATTATTACATCTTTAAGAAGTTTTCCTGGGCTGGGCACTGTGGCTCATGCCTGTAATCTCAGCACTTTGGGAGGCCGAGGCAGGCGGATCACCTGAGGTCAGGAGTTGGAGATCAGCCTGGCCAACATAGTGGAACCCTGACTTTACTAAAAATACAAAAATTAGCTGAGTGTGGTGGTGGGCGCCTGTAATCCCAGCTTCTGGGGAGGCTGAGACAGGAGAATCGCTTGAACCTGGGAGGCGGAGGTTGCAGTGAGCCGAAATTGTGCCACTGCACTCCAGCCTGGGTGACAGAGTGAGACTCCGTCTCAAAAAAAAAAAAAAGTTTTTCTGGAAAGCAGTTTCACAGCAGAGCAACAAGGCTGAAATTGCCCCAGTCAGCCTTTGCTGGCTGACTTCCCTTTTTCCGTTAATAGCACCACCACACCCAGTAACTAAGGCTTGCGTCCTCAGTTATCTGCACGTAGGGAAGAGTCTGGTCAGTGATAAAAGGTAGTTGGTCAGTTGCCACGTCTTGACTGGAGGCACGCAATGATTCCAGATTCCAACCCAGTCAATACACTGCAGGCTTTATCTTTACAAGGCATAGCTCTGCTGCTTTCTGTTCCAGAACCTTTGGTGGCATCTTCTTTGGCATTTAATACTCTCCTTTTCCTGGTCCTAACTTAGCTTTCCTACATTCTCAGATATCCATTGTTCCTGGACAGTCAATATATGATGCCTTTCCCCTGATCACACCTTATATTTGCTGTCCTGTTCCCTTAGCTCATGTTATATACCCTGGCTAGAGTACCTACCTCTCAGCTCGGCTGCTAAAATTCTCCCTGAAAACCCATCCATTAACCAACTTCTAGTCCATTATTCAGAGGATATGGAACTGCTATTTATTTATTTATTTGAGATGGAGTCCCGCTCTGTTGCCCAGGCTGGAGTGTAGTAGTGTGATCTTGGCTCACTGCAACCTCTGCCTCCTGGGTTCAAGTGATTCTCCTGCCTCAGCCCCCAAAATAGCTGGGATTACAGGCACCCGCCACCATGCCCAGCTGATTGTTGTGTTTTAGTAGAGATGGGGTTTCACCATGTTGGTCAGGTTGGTCTTGAACTCCTGTCCTCAAGTGATCCTCCCGCCTCAGCCTCCCAATGTGCTGGGATTACAGGTGTAAGCTACCACGCCTGGCCCCTATTTATTTATTTATTTAAGAGACGGAGTCTCACTCTGTTGCCCAGGCTGGAGTACAGTGGTGTGATCTCAGCTCATTGCAGCCTCTACCTCCTGGGCTCAAGTGATTCTCTAATCACAGCCTTTTGAGTAGCTGGGATTGCAGGCATGTGCCACCATGTCTGGCTTACTTTTGTTTATTTTTTGTAGAGACGAGATCTCACTATGTTATCCAGGCTGGTCTCAAACTCCTGGACTCAAATGATTCTCCTTCCTCGGCCTCTCATTCTGCTAGGAATACAGACATGAGCCACCATGCCTGGCCTGGAACTACTGTATATTTAGACATTATAATTATGTACTGCTTCCTGTAGGCAGGGGGGCTATTCTAAGTACCTTACCAATAAATATTATTAAATACTAATAACAAACCTTTGGGGTGGGTACTATTATTTCCCACGGTCACACAGCCTTTGAGTGGCAGAGCCTAGGTTCAAACCAGGTAGGTAACTTAGCACAGAGTCCCTGCTCTCAGCTGCAGCGTCATGTACCTCTTGATTATAGGTGCTGGGAATACAGTGACCCTGGTCCCTGCCCTAAGGGGCTTATGTTCCAGTGGGAGTCAAACCATATACATTTTTGAGTCTCTGCTGTTTGCCAAGCACAGGGGACAGGGGTGTCTGCCGAAAAGGCCGTGTCATCTGTGTAGCTGCTAGACACTGTCAGTTCCCTGTGGGCAGTGTCCTTGCCTGTATATGTCCCAAGTACCTGACCTAGTCCTGGCACAAAGTGGCTCAGTTGGCTGGGCAAGGTGGCTCATGCCTATAATCCCAGCACTTTGGGAGGCTGAGGCAGGTGGATAGCTTGAGCCTAGGAGTTTGTGAACAGCCTGTGCAACATGGTGAAACTCTTGTCTCTACAAAAAATACAAAAATTAGCCAGTCATGGTGGTGCACACCTGTAGTAACAGTTACTCAGGAAGGCTGAGGTGGGAGGATCACCTGAGCCCAGGAGGTTGTGGCTGCAGTGACACATGATCGCACCCCTGCACTCCAGCCTGGACAACACAGTGAGACCCTGTCTCAAAAAAACCCCAAAAAACAACAACCAAAATCTCAAACAAAACCAAAACAAAAAACAAAAAACCTGCCTCCCAGGTTCAAGTAATTCTCCTGCCTCAGCCTCCCCAGTAGCTGGGATTACAGGCATACGACACATGCCACCACGCTCGGCTAATTTTTTTGTATTTTTAGTAGAGACGGGGTTTCTCTATGTTGGTCAGGCTGGTCTCGAACTCCCGACCTCAGATGATTTGCCTGCCTCGGCCTCCCAAAGTGCTGGGATTACAGGCGTGAGCCACTGCACCTGGCGCCACTCTTTTTTTTTTTTTGAGACGGAGTTTCGCTCTTGTTGCCCAGGCTGGAGTGCAATGACGAGATCTCGGCTCACGGCAACCTCTGCCTCCTGGGTTCAAGTGATTCTCCTGCCTCAGCCTCCCTAGTAGCTGGGATTACAGGTATGCACCACCACGCCCATAGAGACGGGGTTTCTCCATGTTGGCTAGGCTGGTCTTGAACTCCTGACCTCGGGTGATCCACCCACCTCGGCCTCCCAAAGTGCTGGGATTAGAGGTGTGAGCCACTGTGCCTGGCCCCCTCTCTTAATCTCTGCATTCTGCTGCCACTCAGCATGAGATGCTCTTCAGAAAAAATATCCTTCTGGCTGCAATATAAAGTTAGGGGAGGGCAGGAATGGAGGGAATGAGTTAGGAGCTAGCTACAGTCCTAGTTGCTTGGGAGGCTGAGATGGGGGCATTGCTTGAGCCCAGGAGTTCAAGGCTGCAGTGAGGTATCATTGCACCACTGCACTCCAGCCTGGGAGACAGCAAGACCCTGTCTCAAAAAAAAAAAAAAAAAAAAAAAAAAAACCACAGAAAAACTTCAAGGTGGCTCTAGGATTAGCAGCATCAGCAGCAGCCTGTGTTTTAATCAGTCCTCCAAGTGATTCTGATGCATGCTGATGTTTGAGACCCACTGCCACAGGACCAGTTTTTAAACTTTTTTTTTTTTTTTTGAGTTGGAGTCTTGCTCTGTTGCCCAGGCAGGAGTGCAGTGGCGCTATCTCAGCTCACTGCAGCCTCCGCCTCCCAGGTTCAAGCGATTCTCCTGCCCCAGCCTCCCAAGTAGCTGGGACTACAGGTGCGTGCCACCGCGCCAGGCTAATTTTTTGTATTTTTAGTAGAGATGGGGTTTCACTGTGTTGACCAGGATGGTCTTGATTCCTGACCTTGTGATCCACCTGCCTTGGGATCCCAAAGTGCTGGGATACAGGCTTGAGCCACTGTGCCTGGCCAGTTTTTAAACATTTTGATCACGTTCTACAAGTTTTACATATGTAATGACCAAGAGATATATTCTCTTTCTCTCTCTCACACATAACATATTTAACATACTTTAGGCTGGACACGGTGGCTCACACCTGTAATCCCAGCACTTTGGGAGGCCAAGGTGGGCAGATCACAAGGTCAGGAGTTTGAGAGCAGACTGGTCAACATGGTGAAACCCTGTCTCTACTAAAAATACAAAAATTAGCCAGGCATGATGGCGTGCACCTGTAATCCCAGCTACTCAGGAGGCTGAGGCAGGAGAATTGTTTGAACCCGGGAGGCAGAGGTTGCAGTGAGTCGAGATTGTGCCACTGCACTCCAGCCTGGGCGACAGAGCAAGACTCCTTCTCAAAAAAAATAAAAAATAAAAAAATAAAAGAAAAACATACTTTAGTAAAAGTTTCAAGAAACAGTGTCCTGTCTTAGGAAACATGTGACACACTGGTATTTTCGATTCTGTTTCATTAAACAAAGTGCTTTGAGACCTGTCAGAACCCCTGCTCTTGAGCAAATCAAGAAGGTTGCTGTGCTGCAAGGGTGCACTTCCAAAGCCACCTTCAGTGGGACTTTCCTGTCTTTGAAGAAGCCTTTCACTTCCAGAGCTTGACCCAGGGAGTCCTTGTTTCTCTAAGTCTGGACCTGCTCCTTTATCACCCATATTACGGGCTGAATTATGTCCCCCCAAAGTTCGCATGTTGGAGTCCTGATCTCTAGTACTTCAGAATGTGATTGTATTTGAAGACGGGGATTTTTTTTTTTTTTTTTTAAGATGGAGTCTCTCTCTGTTGCCCAGGCTGGAGTGCAGTGGCTCTGTTGTCCAGGCTGGAGTACAGTGGTGTGATCTCAGCCCACTGCAACCTCCACCCCTCCCAGGTTCAAGCAATTCTCCTGCCTCAGCCTGACGAGTAGCTGGGACTACCGGTGCGTGCTACCACATCCGGGTAATTTTTGTATTTTTAGTAGAGACGGGGTTTTGCCATGTTGGCCAGCCTGGTCTCGAACTCCTAACCTCAGGTGATCTGCCCTCCTTGGCCTCCCAAAGTGCTGGGATTACAGGTGTGAGCCATAGTGCCTGGCCTGATTGTGATTTTTTTTTTATGGCAGCCTGAGCAGACTATATTACAGCCCACAAGCCTCACAAAGATATTGCCTGGAGTTAGTGCCACTGGTTGTCATTTTCCAGAGCTGCTTTGTAGGGCAGTAATGTGTCCTCTGTTAGACTGAACTCGCCAAGGAGTTTGACCCTCTATTCCACCTGCTTATTATAGAACTACTCCCTCTTTTCCTCATATTTCTTGGGTTGAGTTTGGGTAAGATTACTAAAATTCTTCAGATGTGGAACCAATCTTCATAAACACTTCAGAATACTTTGCTTCCTTCTGAATTACTACAGACAAGCAGTCTGGGAGGTCCAAGTCTGTATAATTATTGTTCTTAACATTCTGTCACTCATTATTGTTGGTGTTCGTTTCTCAATGCCAGATGAGGTGTGTCTTGGGCAAAAGCCTGTCCAGTGTAAGCTGTTCTGTTCTTTCAGGCAGAATCACTCAGACTTATGCTCTCAACTTTCTCTCTCTCTTTTTTTTTTTTTTTTTTTTTTTTTGAGAGAGTCTCTGTCGCCCAGGAGTGCAGTGGTGTGATCTTGGCTCACTGCAACGTCCACCTCCCAGATTCAAGTGATTCCCCTGCCTCAGCCTCCCAAGTAGCTGGGATTACAGGCTTGCACCACCACACCCAGCTAATTTTTGTATTTTTAGTAGAGATGGGGTTTCACCATGTTGCCACAGTGCCTGGCCTGAACTTTCTCTTTTACAGCCACATGCAAATTACCTGAACTATCTGGCTTTTGGGAAAACCCTGTGCAAGTTCTTAGCATCCAGTATTAAAAGAAAAGAGATGGCTCTGTTCTCTTAGCAACTCAAAATCCTCTTCCTTCTCCCCCTTTAAAATATAATGTAGTCCTTGTTTTTCCTTAAAATAAATATTTTAAAGAGAAAATTGGTCCATTTGAAGAAGCCAAAATAGGATCTCTTCCCCTCTCCTTGTTGCTGTCTCTCTCGAGTGGATTTTGGTCATTTCTGCTAAGTTTGCCCAGAAAATAGGCTGAAGTCTGTGGAAGGGAAATTCCACAAAGCTGCCTCATGTCCACAGTTCCTCGGGAGGAATTCCTTTCCTGTAAGGAGGAGGCACATTTTCTGAGAGTCCCTTCCAGGAAGGATGAGGTGCAGCAGGAAGGAATCCCACAGAGAGCCGTCTCACAGACACAGAAAAGGGAAGGAATTGCCTTTGACTTCTGGGAATTGGATGGTTTTTTTTTTTTTTTTTTTTTTAATAGAAGGCAAAACAGCAAATGGCAGCTACTAGTGACTGACTATATCAGGTTTTGGAAAAGTGGGCAGTGAGGGTTTTGTTGATTGGATTGAACTCTGCTTGGCAAACCATAGATGACCCTGAGTAAGCCTTAGGCCTTTTTTTTTTTTTTTTTTGAGATGGAGTCTCACTCTGTCACCCAGGCTGGAGTGCAGTGTCATGATCTTGGCGTACCACAACCTCTGCCTCCTGGGTTCAAGTGATCCTCCTACCTCAGCCTCCTGAGTAGCTGGGATTACAGGCACCTGCCACCACACCTGGTTAATTTTTTGTATTGTTAGTAGAGATGGGGTTTCACTATGTTGGTCAGGGTGGTCTCGAACTCCTGATTACAAGTGATTCACCTGCCTTGGCCTCCCGAGCCTTAGCCCTTTTGATTCCCTGACATCAAATGCTACTTCTCTTGGATAGTTATACTGTGAGAAGTTGGTGACGGGCAAAACGGGAGCCCAGGCCAGTGTCAGAAACTCACCCAGAGTCGCAGGGACAAAGCTGTTGTGTGGGTTCTTCCCTGTGAGAATCTTAAGGATGGAAATGGTGAGCACAAACCTTGGCATTTAAGGACCGACAATGCTGAGATGTTGTGGTGGGTCCTTGAGTAGGGCTCAAGTGTCCTTCCAGGGTGGTGGTCCCAGGGAATTGGGCCAGAAACAAGGCCACCCAGTCTCAGCTCTGTTGTTCCTGGGGGGCCCTGTGGCTCCAGGAGCTCGTGAACATGGCGAACCCCACTTCCCCATCCCCTTTCTGCCTTCTCTTCTGTTCTCTTGACAGTCTCTGTTTTCTACCCACTGGGGTCAGCAAATCAGCCCCTTTTACCGGTTTCCACAAAAATCCACAAAAAGCACTGTGAGGACTTGGGGATTTCTTGAAGATTTGGGTTGAGGTATTTCAGGAGGGCCTTGCCTCGCCCCTTTCCACTCCATCTTCCTCTCTGCTCCCCACTTCTCTGGAATAAGAGGTACTGCCCTCCTTATTTCAGCGCTGTCATTCTGATCACTCTAGGACCGGTTGAGACTTTTTCGTGAACAGTTTCCTACCTTTTTAGGCAACCATCTGTAAGACAAGGTAGAATGCTACCATAACCATGATTAACATTTGCAAACACTCTGCCACAGTGCAGCCACTTTCTTTGTCTCCAGCTGAAGAAATTGAGGTGCACAGAGGTTAAATTTGATGCTCAAAGCAATACAACTAGAAAATATAGGAGGCTGGGCTGCCTGATTGATTCCCAGCTTAGAGATTGAAAGTCACATGCGAAGCGCTTTAGCAGATAGAGAAGGGGGAGTCATACTCCAGTGTGCATTTTAGTTTGTGCTTTTCTGTCCTTGAATTAAGAAGTGTGACGTGTGCCTCCAACAGCATAGCATGCTACAGAAATGGATTTCTTTTCCTGGGGTTGATAATCTGCTGGCCAAATCTTTATCTCTGTAGTATCCTGTGTTTCCTGGTGCATTTTAGCATTTGGTTAAATTGTAGGGAAAAGGGTTTGTGTTCTTTATATCTGGATTGTCTATTAGATCACGTTTTTTTGTGTTGTTATTTGCGTCTTTTTTTTTCCTGGAAGGAAGTGATTGGCTGTAACAGTTTCTCTCCCACTCCGGTCTCTGAGGAAGGAAAAAAAAAATACCTTGGTTTCATATGAAATTAGACTAATAGAATTTCTAATTATCTGAGTTCATTGAGTTGTTGTCAGTCTGTGTTTTTTTTTTTTTTTTTTTTTTTTTTTCCGAGACAGGGTCTTGCTCTGTCTCTCAGGCTGGAGTATAAGTGGTGCGATCATAGCTCACTGCAGCCTCAACCTCCCTGTGCTCGGGCTCAGGTGATCCTCCCACCTCAGCTTCCTGAGTAGCTGGGACTATAGGCATGCACCACCATGCCTGGCTAATTTTTGTTTTTGTTTTGTAGAGGCAGGGTTTTACCATGTTGCACAGGCTGCTTTCAAACTCCCTGGCTCATGCAATCCACCCACCTCAGCCTCCCAATGTGTTGGGATTATAGGCGTGAGCCACCGCCCCTTGCCTCTCTGTCTGGGCTTGGTCCTCCTGGGAACCTCTGCCTTGATCACCCATCTAGAAGAATGGAGGACCTCTGCCGTTTCAGTCATCCTTTTCACCTGTACCAGTTGGCCCAGGAGAATCCTGGTTTATATCCCTTATCACACTGCCACTATTAAGCTCCCCCTTTCACTCCTAAGAGTATCCCAGGTTAGATGATATGACCATGAATGGAGCTGAAGTTCATATTATACATAATATGAAGTATACATAAGGTATACGGGCCCTCTAAAGCCATGGGGCATAAGCACAAACTGTGGGCACAGTGATGTAAATATTTGCTAAACTTTTATCCAAAGTAATGATTGGTAAAAACCTGGTAGCATCTCCACTTGAGCAGACATCTTCAGAAATAACCTGTAACCTGTGCTTTATACATAAGAACAATGGCATGCGGCGTTCTCTCCTCCGTCCCTGGGTTGACCGCGGTGGGGTAGGGGGTCAGACTTGCCTTCTCCAGTGGGGCAAGTCCCCTTGGTGGTGACTGTCCTGGCTGTTGTTCCAATCTGAGCTAGTTTCTTCATAAGTCAATTGAAGGTGCAGTATTACCCTGCAGGGTGGACCAAGGAATGTGTTAGCCATGCTTGCTGCCTTTCTCCAGGACCTGAAGCCCCGCCACCCTCTCCTGGGGTCCCTTTTTCTCTCCCTTCTGCGGGACACGTTTTGTGATCTCTGCGCAAACAGAGGCAACACACTTAGTCATTAAGGATTTTTCTGTAAGTGCATTAGCCTTAGGCTTCAGCACTTGCTGTTCTCTTTGCTTGGAACTTGTTGACCCTGCTCTTGTCACTGGGGGCTTTGTCCTCCTGGGAAACTCTGCCTTGACCACCCATCTAGAGTAAACGCCCCCATTCACTACCATGGCTCCCTACTTTCTTTGTGGATTTTTTTTTTTTTTTTGAGAAGTCTCACTCTTGTTGCCTAGGCTGGAGTGCAATGGCATGGTCCCAGCTCACTGCAACCTCCACCTCCTGGGTTCAGGCGATCCTCCTGCCTCAGGCTCCCAAATAACTGAGATTACAGGCGCCCGCCACCATGCCCGGCTAATTTTTGTATTTTTGGTAGAGACAAGGTTTCACCATGTTGGCCAGGCTGGTCTCGAACTCCTGAACTCAGGTGATCCACCCTCCTTGGCCTCCCAAAGTGCTTGGATTATAGGTGTGAGCCACTGTGCCTGGCCTTCTGTGTGGATCTTACTGTTACTCTGACCCCCTCTTTTTAGTGTGATTGCCTTTCCCTCTCCCCTCTCCCTTCCCCAATGTGAACTCTGTAAAAATGATCCTAGGTCTAGAACCTATAAGAGTGCCTGTTAGTGGTGGGTGCTTAAGAGTTAATTTGAATTAATGAGGTTAATAATTCTTGTTTCCCTATAGTCCTGTTGTTGAGATTCCTGGTTAGAAAAAAAAGTGAGTTGTGGGTTGTATACTTTGTTTATTTATTTATTGTATTTATTTATTTTTGAGACTGAGTCTCGCTCTGTCGCCCAGTCTGGAGTGCAGTGGTGCGACTTCGGCTAACTCCAACTTTTGCCTCCCGGATTCAAGCGATTCTCCTGCCTCAGCCTCCTAAGTAGCTGGGACTACAGGCGTGTGCCACCACACTCGGTTAATGTTTGTGCTTTTAGTAGAGACAGAGTTTCACCATGTTGGCCAGGCTGGTCTCGGACTCCTGGCCTCAGGTGATCTGCCTGCCTTGGCTTCCCAAAGTGTTGGGATTACAGGCGTGAGCCACTGCGGCTGGCCCGTGGGTTGTATCCTTTTTTATTAATAAAGGCATCTCTATATGCTGTGGTTTGAGAGGGGTTGAAGGCTACTTCCCATGGGAATGAGTGAGGAAGAGCCTATTGCACTCTGGTGTCTTTGAGGGAAAGAGAGGCGGGTGGCTGCCTTCTCTGCTCTTGGGTTCCACAGCTGGGGATTGGGAGGTTACTCTTTTATCAATTGGTTTTTTCTTTTTTTCTTTTTTTTTTTTTGAGGCAGGGTCTCACTCTGTCGCCTAGGCTAGTGTGCAGTGGTATGATCACAGCTTATTGCAGCTTCGTTCACTTTTTTTTTTTTTTTTTTTGGAGATGGGTCCTGTACTGTCTCCCAGGCTCGAGTGCAGTGGTGAGATCATGGCTCACTGCAGCCTTGACTTCCTGGGCTTAAGTGATCCTCCCACTTCAGCCTCTGGAATAGCTGGGACCACAGGCGTGTTCCACCATGCCTAGCTAATAAAACAATTTTTTTGTAGGGACTAGGTCTTGCCATGTTGCCCAGGCTGGTCTCAAACTCCTGGGCTTGAGCAATCCTCCTGCCTTGGCCCCTCAAAGCAGTGAGATTATAGGCATGAACCATTGTGCTCAGCCCTGAGATTTGTTTTAAAAAGTGCCCTGAGATTCACTATGGAGTATTCCCTCTTGATTTATTTCCTACCAAGTAAGCCCTTTAACAGACCATGTATGGCAGCTTTTTGAAGAATGTTTTAGGTCTTTCTAAATATGCAGCTATTCAGGCTAAGGATTGGCATGTTTGTAATTGACCTAATGATTCAAAGAATGGACTGGTTCAGCTGGAATTTTCCTAAAATCTATCCCATTGACAGAGTATTGCACAATTAGAAAAGTGTATGATTTATAATTAGCGTACCCACTTTAACTCTGAATAACAGGCATAAAGGTTATTATATTTTGAATCAGTGTTAACAGTTTTAGACAGCTGTTCTTTGTTACTTGATTTTTTTTTTTTTTTGAGACAGAAACTTACTCTGTCACCCAGGCTGGAGTGCAGTACAGAGATTTCTGCCCACTGCAGCCTGTATTTTGAGGCACAGTTGTTTTTGCTCATTAGAGTGCTGCTGAGAGAGTTGATTTCCTAGTTCTAGAGTCACCGCCAAGAGTCCTAAACATTTTCCTATAAGAGAGATGGTAAGGATGGTTACAAAGAAGTAGGCCTGATTTGGTGTAGAAAATTGGTTTCATGTTCAAAGCCAACAAGGGGATGGGGGAGTTTTGGATCAGACCTTTGATTCTGGCGCAGAGCCACAAGGGCTTTGTGTGTTTTGTTTACAGAGCTTAAGCAATCTCAGTTATTAGCTTGCGGATAATTACCAGAAATGTGAACTTAAATCTGTGCTTATTTATTTAACTCCTTGCCTTTTCTCCTAAGAATGTAGGGTGGTGGCATTATAAAAATTAAAGAAAAAGCAAGGCTCCACCACTTTCATGGTGATTCTACTTTACCTGCAGTAAAATCACAGCATGATGGCCAAATTGCCCTTCCTCTCCAAACTTCATACCATTTACTATAAAATAATTTGGATCATAGGGTGATGTAGGCCTGGGGCTGAAGTCTGTGTCAGAATGTTCCTGTGGAGGTTTATATGTTAAAAATTAAAATGAAAACCTGTTTTATTTTATTTTTTGAGACGGAGTCTTGCTCTGTTGCCCAGGCTGGAGTGCAGTGGCACAATCTCGGCTCACTGCAACCTCTGCCTCCCGGGTTCAAGTGATTATCCTGCTTCAGCCTCCTGAGTAGCTGGGATTACAGGCACCCACCACCACACCTGGCTAATTTTTGTGTTTTTAGTAGAGACAGGGTTGTACCATGTTGGCCAGGCTGGTCTCGAACTCCTGACGTCAAGTGATCCGCCTGCCTCGGCCTCCCAAAGTGCTGGGATTACAGGCATAAGCCACCATGCCTGGCTTATTCTATGTTGTTTTTTGTGATGGTCAGTGAGATGTGGCCACAGGAGGAGGCAGAGGAGGTGCTCAGGAAGGCCAAGGTTATTATACTCACAGGTCTTAGAGACGGGAAGCATGTCATGCCCTGCAGGGCCACATGGGGAAGCATCAGTCTTGGTCCCCCCTGTAGGAGCCTGAAGGGGCAGGAGTGAGGGGAGAGCCTGGGCCATGGTCTTTCTTGAGCTTTCAGGGACAGGGCAGGGGAGTGCATGTGAACAGTTTAGAATTGGCTAGTTTGAATAATTTTGGCAGGCTGTAAGCTACAGGCATGGTTTCTAGTTGCTTGTTATCAGGCTCTGGCATGATATAGGTGAAGAAATACTGCTTCCTGGGGTGGACAGGCTAGATAAAGACGGCATAGCTCTGGGTTGGTTGGTTTGCATATCAGAGCTGTGCTCCTGGCTGGGCCCTTCTGGTTCTAAGAACTGGCCAGCTCTGGGAAGGACAGTCTCTCCCCAGCCAGAGAGGTTTCCAAAACGTCAAGACATCATAGTATGCACAAAGTAAAAAATATAAACAGTACAAAGGCCCTGAACAGGGTCACCCTGCTGTATGAGAAATCTACTGGCCTGGCTGAAGGGGAAAGTTGCTTGGGCAGAACAGTGAAAAGCTAAAGCAGGCTTGTTAGTTGTATGAGTCTGTTTTCACGCTGCTGATAAAGACATACCTGAGACTGGGCAATTTACAAAAGAAGAGGTTTAGTGGACTTACAGTTCCATGTGGCTGGGGAGACCTCACAATCATGACAGAAGGCACGGAGGAGAAAGTCACGTGGATGGCAGCAGGCAAAGAGAGAGCTTGTGCAGGCAAACTCTTATTTTTAAAAGCATCAGATATCGCGTGAACCCCGGGGGGCGGAGCCTGCAGTGAGCCTAGATCGCGCCACTGCATTCCAGCCTGGGCAACAGCAAGACTCCGTCTCAAAAAAAAAAAAAAAAAAACAAACCAAAAAAAAAACCCATCAGATCTCGTGAGACTTATCCACTATCACAAGAACAGCACAGGAAAGACCCGCCCCCATGATTCAATTATCTCCCATTGGATCCCTCCCACAACATGTGGGAACTGTGGGAGCTACAAGATGAGATTTGGGTGGGGACACAGAGCCATATCAGTAGTGTAAACCTGGAGCCAGCAGGAAGAGGCATTTGACAGAGCAGGAGGGTCCATGGTGCTCAGTCAAAGTCTTAGGACAAATAGTCCCCATGGAACAGAAGGCAATGCACCTGGCCTTGTTGCGTTTAATTTTAACTTTGCTGTATTTTCAATGATCTGCTCCTCCAGGGAACTGGTGGCACACCCTGAGTCTGCTAGGTGGGCTAAAGACTCACAACCTGAGGGAAGGGGCCAGGAAAGAAAGGAAGCCATGGCCTAGAGGGTGTTATTTGGGACCCCACGCCCATCCAGGCCGACAGAGCTGCGGTAAGGCTGAGCAAAACACACTCGCACCTGAACCTCACTCTGACGTTGTGGGAGGCCCTACCTTGTCAAAGCTGAAAGAAACGTCAGGAAAAGAAAATGCCCCCAAATAATTGTAACACATGTGCTATTGGTTTGGCGACTTTGGTAAAAGGTTTGGAAGTTTCAGGGAACATTCCAGATAAGCAGGGACCATCTTCTTCATAAATTGCTCTTTGAATTAGGATAAAAAAAATCAATTGCCATAGATAAAATTTCTGGGATTTTTATGAGCCCAACCTGTTTTCCAGGTTAATTATGCCTAAATATCTGTTTGTTTTCTTTCTTGTCATATAAAGTCATTGGGGTCCTGTAGGGGGTGTGTGTGTGTGTGTATGATTTTGTGTTAGGTAGCAGGTGTTTAGGTTTGTCCAGCACATGTTTATTTTATTTTTTTATTTTTTTATTTTTTGAGACGGAGTCTCGCTCTGTCACCCAGGCTGGAGTGCAATGGTGACATCTTGGCTCACTGCAACCTCTGCCTCCCGGGTTCAAGCGATTCCCCTGTCTCAGCCTCTCGAGTAGCGGGGATTACAGGCATGCACCACCACACCTGGCTAATTTTTGGATTTTTAGTAGAGACAGGGTTTCACCATGTTGGCCAGGCTGGTCTCAAACTCCTGACCTCAGGTGATCCACCTGCCTTGGCCTCCCAAAGTGCTGGGATTACAGGCGTGAGCCACCGTGCCCGGCCCCACATGTTTAGTACTAGATGCTAAAATCAATCTGTGGCCTTGTGGAGTTTATAATCCACTGAATTAATTTAGATTAATTCACAGGATTAATTTAGATTTCATGTTTGAATATGAAATTTGTGGTCATTTAAACAGAAACTGGGCTGGAAAGTACTTTTTTCTCTGTCTGTGAAAGGTTTTTTTAGGGCAAATGAACAGTATAAATTAGATTGCTTAGAGAATGTTGTAAACACATTTTACCACAGACACTTTATGTGCACAAAGAGGCTTGGCGTGTTGGCTCACACCTGTAATCCCACACTTTGGGAGGCCAAGTGGATCACCTGAGGTCAGGAGTTTGAGACCAGCCTGGCCAACGTGGTGAAACGCTATCTCTAGTAAAAATACAAAAAATTAGCCGGGTGTGCTGGCGGGTGCCTGTAATCCCAGCTACTCAGGAGGCTGAGGCAGGAGAATCACTTGAACCTAGGAGGTGGAGGTTGCAGTGAGCCGAGATCGTGCCATTGCACCCCAGCCTGGGCAACAAGAGCGAAAGTTCGTCTCAAAAAAAAAAAAATATGTGCTTAAAGAACATGCTGGAGCATTTCCTCTGAGGAAGTTATCTCAGGTACTAGAGATTAATCAGCCTGCACCTCTTTGTGTATATTCAATAATTTAGATTTTTTGTGAGTTCAAACTGGCTTTTTCTTAAAGTTGGTGGGGAGAGGCATGTGATCAGACTTCTTGGGTGGTTAGGAGCTTTTTGGATTGAGTCCCGTCTGTTTTCCAGGCTGTTGGCTAATGGTGATTAAAGGCCCAGGGAATCCTGCTTGTCTCCTTCCAGTTTCGTGCAGAGCTATGTCACGCTGCGTGCTCTGTTTCTGTTAGGACCAATGTCTGTTTGTTATATAAATAGAAAAGGAACATAAAGCTAAGGAACCAAGAAGGTTCCATTACAGATCAGTGTCTCAACGTATCCTTGAGGTTTGGTACAAGTTCTCCGCTTCCTGAAATTTTTGGACAAACATTGTGACATTCATAAATACCGGACTGCTAGGATATTGAGGGCTGAGGTAACGCAAATACTTGCTGTGGTTTTATAGAGTAATAATCTGTTAATCATAGCTGTGGCCTTAGAGAATAAACAACCTCTGTGTAGGCTTCTTTGTAAGAATGGCACAGCTGACGGGGACCTCTGCGAACCAAAGGCCAGCGTGTGACCTTCTTATCCTCTGCTTCCTAGGCCAGCAGTGACTGCCTTTGGAGATCTCATTGTTTACAGCCCTGTCTCTGACTCAGGGTGGCAGATTATGTTTTTGGTAGAGCCCAGCCAGCCCCTATCACATTGCACACTAATGTAATCCGTCGGCAGCTGTCTCTGTATTCATTATTTAGCTGCACTAACTGGAGTTAATCATAGATCTGAGCTAAACTTTGTTATGGGTCAAGAGAGAAAGGCCATCTGGCTATTTCTTGGGTCGTCTTGGGTGTATTTTTCCACTGCTTATCATTTGACCACCATCTGTTTTTTGAGACGGAGTCTGGCTCTGTCCCCCAGGCTGGAGTGCAGTGGCGCGATCTCGGCTCACTGCAAGCTCCGCCTCCCAGGTTCACGCCATTCTCCTGCCTCAGCCTCCCGAGTAGCTGGGACTACAGGCGGCTGCCACCATGCCAGGCTAATTTTTTGTATTTTTAGTAGAGATGGAGTTTCACCATGTTAACCAGGATAGTCTCGATCTCCTGACCTTATAATCGTCTCGCCTCGGCCTCCCAAAGTGCTGGGATTACAGGCGTGAGCCACCGTGCCCGGCCCATTTGGCCACCATCTATGAGGCATCTGAAAGAAGAGAAACTCATGCGTGGTGGCTCTGCCTGTAGCTTCCCTACTCAGTGTGGTTTGCAGACAGTAGCATTGCCATCATCTGGGGCTGGGGAGAAACACAGGTTCTCATGCTCTGTCCCAGACTTAGTATCAGAATCTCTACTAGATCTCATGCGTGGGCCCTGGCCAGCCCCCTGTTGTGTGCTTGGTTGACGCTGGGCTGCTGCTGGTAGACCTCCCTTTCTCTTCTGTGCCACAGGGTCTCACCAAACTGCAAAGGAGGTGGGTAATAAAGTCAAACCCTGTGCCAGGAATGATGGGAGAAGGAAGGGTCAGACCCACAAATGGGCCAAGGAATGGATTAGGTGAGCTAAGCTGTGGTTGTAGTTCAGCAGTCACTATTACGCCCACCTTTTCTTATTCCTTTCCTATTTTTCTTTTCTTTCTTTTTTTTTTTTTTTTTCACAGCCTGGTAATGTGGAATATTTACTTTTCTTAAATCACTGTATTAAAAGATGAAAAAAGTCATTTTTTCTCTTCCCCTTCCCACAGTCATTGTTGATTAGAGAAAATACTAACAAAATATATTAATTTAATTTCCAACTACAGATAACACCAATATTAATAGTTGGGTGACTGTCCCTCTTTTCATGGAGAAAACCTAATGCCTATCAAATGCCCAACGTTGAAGAGCTATACAAATGTGGATTTTCTGGTCGTCTTCCTCCCTCCCTTCCTTTATCCTCTCTTATGACAGAAAATTACAAACATGTACAAAAGTAGAGGGAACAGTAATGAACCCCTGAATACCAGTCTGTCAACAATGATCAATTCCCAGCCAATCTTAACCCTCCTTCTACTCATTTCCTGCCCTAGAAGTGTTACTTTTTTTGGCACATCTGATGAGTGAAGTGAAGAATGGTATTTCATTGCTCTGTTTTTCTTTTCTCTATTCTTTTCTTTTCTTGCAAAACCCCACACTGTCACCATGCATTTGTTATGTAATTTTCAGATGTATCTGTAGGAAATGGTCAGTATACGATTATATATACACTGTTAAATTATCCATTGAAATCACATTGTGTACCTTCTCACTACATTTTTTAACCTTTATGTTATAAAGCAGATACAGAATATTATACAAACAAATGTGTAACGTGGATAATAAATTATAAGGTTAACATCCTGGTAAGTAGCAACCAGATCAAGAAATAAGATTTTGCTGGTCCCTGTTCTGTGTCCTGTCTCAATTCCAGGCTCCTCCCTTCCCTCAGAAAGAACTGAAAGTCAACTTCAAACTCTTTGTGGTCTGTATTACTTTTAAATCTTGATCAATGTTGTGTGTATATATATATATATATATATATATTTTTTTTTTGAGATGGAGTCTCGCTGTGTCACCCAGGCTGGAGTGCAGTGGCGCAGTCTCAGCTCACTGCAGCCTCCACCTCCTGTGTTCAAGCAGTCCTCCTGCCTCAGCCACCAGACTAGCAGGTGAGCTGCTTGTGCTGCTGACAGGTTGTAGGCTCTGTATTTGGAAGATTTAGGTATGGCAAATCAGGGTGGCCCAGCCCACCCTGACTTCTAGTCAACCAGCTACAAATTCTATGCTTCCCATGACCCCCTTGGGTTCAATAATCTGCTAGAATGACTCACAGAACTCAGGAAAGTGCTACACTTACAATTACAGTTTTACTACAGCAAATGGCTGCCAATTGGAACCAAAGGGAGAGTCCCAAATACAAAGCTTTCTTGTCCCATCTCCAGGGAGTTGAGACCTGTCACTTCCTAGCCTATTAGTGAAGGGGTGGCCTTCCCCTCCACACCTGTGGGTGTTTCTCATCGGGTGGGACGAGAGACTGAGAAAAGAAAGAGACACAGAGACAAAGTATAGAGAAAGAAAAGTGGGCCCAGGGGACCGCCGCTCAGAATACGGAGAACCCGCGCCAGGACCCGCGCCCCAGGCACCGGTCTCTGAGTTCCCTCAGTATTTATTGATCATTATTTCTCGGAGAGGGGGATGTGGCAGGACAATAGGGTAATAGTGGGGAGAGGGTCAGCAGGAAAACATGTGAACAAATGTCTCTGTGTCATAAACAAGGTTAAGAAAAAGGTGCTGTGTGCTTTGATGTGCACATACATAAACATCTCAATGCATTAAACAGCAGTACTGCCGCCAGCATGTCTCACCTCTAGCCCTAAGGTGGTTTTCTCCTATCTCAGTAGATGGAATATACAATTGGGTTTTACACTGAGACGTTCCATTGCCAAGGGCCAAGGGACGAGCAGGAGACAGATGCCTTCCTCTTATCTCAACTGCAAAGAGGCCTTCCTCTTTTACTAATCCTCCTCAGCACAGACCCTTTAGGGTGTTGGGCAGGGGTACGGTCAGGTCTTTCCCTTCCCACGAGGCCATATTGTAGACTATCACATGGGAGAAACCTTGGACAATACCTGGCTTTCCTAGGCAGAGGTCCCTGCAGCCTTCGCACTGTTTTGTGTCCCTGGGTACTTGAGATTAGGGAGTGGTGATGACTTTTAAGAAGCACGCTGTCTTCAAGCATTTGTTTAGCAAAGCACATCCTGCATAGCCTTAAATTCATTAAATCATGAGTCAACACAGCACATGTCTCTGCGAGCACAGGGTTGGGGGTAGGGTTACAGATTAACAGCATCTCAAGGCAGAAGAATTTTTCTTAGTGCAGAACAAATTGGAGTCTCTTAGGTCTTCTTCTTTCTACACAGACACAGTAACAGTCTGATCTCTCTTTCTTCTCCCCACATAGTAGTGTCTGACAATGCCCAGAGTATTGCCAGCCAGGAAATCTCATCCAGGTTTTGGTGTCTGGAGTTTTTATTGGAGCTTCATTACATCGGCACGATTGACGGGCTCATTGGCTGTGGGATTGATCTCAGTCTCCAGTACCCCCTGCCCTGGAGGTTGGGCAATAGCAGTTGGCTCCAAGCCCAGCCCTCTCATCACAGGATTGGTCTTTGTGATATGCACAGCCCCCATCCTGAGTCATCTGTTAGCATCAGCTGCTAGGGACCCACTATGTTATATTATGTCCCTGATAATTTATGTTAGTGTAAACCATCAGGGACCACACTTCTATTACTTGGAGCATTCCAAGGATTTAGAAGAACCAGGGATAAAACCCAGCCAAATTCTTTATTATATGACTTCCTTCCCCTCCACTCCTTACTCTTCATTTCTCTGGCCCTGTTTACTTTGACCACCCAGCCCCTTGTCACCATGCCTGTAGAGCTTTGCAGAAGACAAGTCAGGGGAGCTGGTGTATTAGTCCATTTTCACACTGCTGATAAAGACATACCTGAGACTGGGCAGTGTACAAAAGAAAGAGGTTTAATGGACAGTTCCATGTGGCTGGGGAGGCCTCACAATCCTGGCAGAAGGGAAAGACACATCTCACATGGTGGCAGACAAGAGAACTTGTGTAGGGAAACTCCACTTTATAAAACCAGCAGATCTCGTGAGACCTATTCACTATCATGGGAATAGCATGGGAAAGAACTGCCTCCATGATTCAGTTGCCTCCCACCGAGGCCCTCTCACAACACGGGGGAACTGTGGGAGCTACAATTCAAGATGAGATTTGATGGCCAGGCGCAATGGCTCACACCTGTAGTCCCAGCACTTTGGGAGGCCGAGGTGGGTGGATCACTTGAGGTCAGGAGTTTGAGACCAGCCTTTCCAACATAACATGGTGAAACCCCATCTCTACTAAAAATACAAAACAAATTAGCTGGGCATGGTGGCAGGTACCTGCCTGTAATCCCAGCTACTTGGGAGGCTGAGGCAGGAGAATCACTTGAACCTGGGAGGTGGAGGTTGCAGTGAGCTGAGATGGCACCATTGCATTCCAGCCTGGGCGAAACTCCGTCTCAAAAAAAAAAAAAAAAGATGAGATTTGAGTGGAGACAGAGCGAAACTCCATCTCAAAAAAAAAAAAAAGAGATTTGAGTAGGGACACAACCAAACCATATCAGCTGGTAATGCAGTGCACAGAAACAGGAGAGAGCCCAGGGGCCAATGCTACCCAGGCACCTCACCAAAGGGATAATGCCCCATTTACTAATGGGGGAAGATGGCCTGGCTGGCTCCCGAGAGCCTGTCGCTTGTTGGTGCGAGGGCTCTGAACTCTGCTGTCTGGACTAGTCTCAGCCCTGTCACATGCAAACTGCGTGCCCCAGGACAGCTACATGTCTGCCATATGCCTGAGTTTTCCCATCCTTAGGGAATGGTGATAACAGCACTGTATGAGTTTGCTGAGGCTGCCATAACAAATTCCTACATACTTGGTGGTTTAAGACAATAGACATTTATTCTCTTAAGTTCAGGAGGCCAGAAGGTAAAAAATCCAGGCTGTGTTCCCTTGGTATGGTGGGGACAATATTCCTTGCCTCTTCCAGCTTCTGGTGGCTGCCGGCCGTCCTTAGTGTCCTTGGCTTGTGGCTGCATCACTTGAGTCTCTACCTGTGTTTACATCTCCTTCTCTTCTCTTCTGTCTGTCCCAGGTCTCCCCCGCCTCTTTCTTGGAAGGACACTTGCCATTGGATTTAGGACCCACTTGGATAATCCAGGATGATGTCTTCACTCCAACATCCTCAGTTTAATTCCATGTGCAAATACCCTTTTCCCAAATAACATTCAATTCTTTACCAGGAAAGGTAATACTCACAGGTACTGGGGGTCAGGACTTGGGCATATCTTTTTGGGGCCACCATTAAACCCCCTTCAGGAGCCTACTTCACAGGATTGTGAGGATTGCGTTAAAATGCTTGAACCAGTGCCTGGCACACACTAAGTGCTGTTAGTGCTGGCGACTGGGGGGGACAGATACAGCCCGACCTTTTGTGTAATCTTGGCCCCTTATTTCCCCCCATTTTAGTCTTTCCCCCTTCACAGTTATCTAAGTCTGCCTTGGGTAAGCATATTTAATTTTCATGCTAAGACATATTTTCAATCTGTACGGAAGCCATGCACTTGCCTCTCCTTCAGAGCTGGGATTTTTTTTCATTTTGCTGGCTGTGAGCACACACACGCCCACAGGTGCCTAAGCCTCTTGTATGTGTGTTTTGAACTGTGTCCTCTGAGTTCTGTGTCTGGGTGCATGCTCTCCTCTTAGCGTGGGTCTCCTTCCCCTGTGTAGCACTTCACAATGTTAGGCATTTGTCTGTGATAGCAGCTGTTCAGTAATTTCCTACTTGCCCAAATTCCTGGACTCAAGCAGTCCTCGAGCCTCAGCCTCCCAAAGTGTTGGGATTACAGGCATGAGCCACTGTACCTGGCTAATTTCATGTTTTACCTTGTTAACCTTTTATTTTTATACTTTTAATCTTTTTTTTTTTCTTATTGTGTCATGCTTTTAAACCAGTACTCTAGAGTTTTAATCATTGTCTTTGAAATACTTTAACATCTGGTAGTGTCTTTTAACTTTTTATTTTGAAATAATTCAACCTGACAGAAAAGTTGCAAGAGTGGTGCATACATACCACTCCTGTATATCCTTCATCCAGATTCCCTCCTGTTAGCTTCTACCATAGTTGTCAATGTCTCTTTCTCTGTTTATATTATTCCTTTGTTATCTGAACTACTTGAAAGTGGATTGTAGTCTGGATGTGGTTGTTCCCACCTGTAATCTTAGCACTTTGGGAGGCTGAGGTGAGTGGATCACCTGAGGTCAGGAGTTCGAGACCAGCCTGGCCAACATGGCAAAACCCCATCTCTGCTAAAAATACAAAAATTAGTCAGGTGTGGTGGTGCACACCTGTAGTCCCAGCTACTCAGGAGGCTGAGGCAGGAGAATCGCTTGAACCCAGGAAGCGGAAGTTGCAGTGAGCTGAGATCACACCACTTCACTCCAGTTTGAGAGAAAGAGCAAAACTCTGTCTCAAAAAAAAAAAAAAAAAAAAAAGTGGATTGTAGATCTGAGGCCCCTTATACCTAAATTTTAGTGCATGTTTCTTAAATAAAAAGGCACTTTCCATCATAGTTATAGAACACCCAACAAAATTCAGAAATTTATCTTCAAACTCCATAACCAGTTTCCCTATATTAATTTTTTGGGCCCAGGATCCTATAATGTATTTAGCGCTCATATTTCTTTAGTATCCTTCAGCCTCGAACACTTCTGCAGTCTTTTATTGTCTCTCATGTCCTTGATAGTTTGAAAAATATTCAGGTCATCACATTCTAGAATATTCTTCAAAGACACAAAAAAATGTGATGTGACTTCATAGCAGAAATACCATAAAAATAAATACAGTATCCTCAGTGCATTGTATCCGGAGGCACACAGTGGTGATGGTAACTGTTATCACTCTGTTAAGGTCTTGTCTGCCACGTTTCCCTGTTCTAAAGTTGATTATGCAATACTTTATGCTTTTAGGTAAGTGTTTTATGGGGAGATAATTGGAGGCTATGAAAATATCTTGCTTCTCATGAAACTTTTACCCACTGATTTTAGCAACCGTGGATGGCTTTTCAATAACTGAATCACTTATTACTGTGGAAGTTGCCAAATGATGATTTTTTTTTTTCTGATTCTATTGTTAATTCTGTTCTTAATTGGTTGGCATTCTACAGTAAGAAATATTCTGTTTTCCCCATTTATTCACTCATTTATTTATAGCACTATGGACTTATGAATAATTTTATTTATTAGATTTGAATCCATTACACTTATGATTTATTTTGGTGCTCAGATTGTCCCAGGTTTGGCCAGTGGGAGCTCCTGGGTCCTTTGGACATGTTGTCGGGATTCTTTGAACATTTCATTACTTTTGTGGCACAAAAAGATAGTTCAGACATGTCTTGTACTTCTTCTGCCCCGATCTTGGATTCAGCCATTTCTCAAAAGAGCCTCTGCATTAAAAAGAAAAGTTACATATTCTTTTTCATAAGTGGATACTATATTTAGAAAGAGTGCTGGGTACTATGCATTTTTTTTTTTTCTTTTTTGAGACAGAGTCTCTGTTACCCAGGCTGAAGTACAGTGGCACGATCTCGGCTCACTGTAACCTCTGCTTCCTGGGTTCAAGTGATTCTCCTGCCTCAGTCTCACAAGTAGCTAGGATTACAGGTGCATGCCACCATGCTGGGCTAATTTTTGTATTTTTAGTAGAGACGGGGTTTCACCATGTTGGCCAGGCTGGTCTTGAACTCCTGACCTCAGGTGATTCACCCACCTTGGCCTCCCAAAGTGTTGGGATTACAGGCGTGAGCCACTGTGCCCGGCCTAGGCATATTTATTGTTATGGGATCTCATTGCTTCTAGGAACTCTAAGCGGACAAAGCTAGAATGTATTTGCATACACAGATCAACACATATTATTTATATATTTGTGTGTATGTGTATATATATACACACACATATACATATACAGTTGGTTCTTGTTACTAGTGGAGCTCTATAAAGTCTCCACAAACACAGGACTAGTGAATACTGAACCATTGCTTCCAGGCGAAATACAGGGTTAGGTTCCTATGCGCCTTTGGTCACATTTTTGTCAGCCATTTAATATATAACCTTGTTTTATGCATGTGTCTGCTTAGAGACACCTTTTTTAATATATAATTAATCATTAACCTTGAATTAACAGCCAGCAGCACTATAGTTCATGCCTGAAGGAAGCTTCTGTAACACACGTTTTTTTCTGTAGGGCACATTACACCCGCCTTGCGCTTTGATGCACTAGACTGCACTTGAGCATGATGCTTGGGGCCACTTTAGACAGCGAAGTCACCCACAAAAGTCCCCAAAATGTGAAGAACATGGTACTGAACAGCCCACAAGAAGGACAGTTGTTTCTACTCTAAGAGCGGGAATAAGAAGGCAGAGTGTCAGCTGGGCGTGGTAGCTCACACCTGTAAATCCAGCACTTTGGGAGGCCAAGGTGGCTGGATTGCTTGAGGTCAGCAGTTCGAGACCAGCCTGGCCAACATGGTGAAACCTCGTCTCTACTAAAAATACAAAAAAATTAGCCGGGCATGGTGGCGTGTGCCTGTAATCCCAGCTACTCAGGAGGCTGAAGCAGGAGAATCGCTTGAACCCAGGAAGCGGAGGTTGTGGTGAGCCGAGATCGCACCACAGCACTCCAGCCTGGGCAACAGAGTGAGACTCCGTCTTGGGAAAAAAAAAAAAAAAAGTCTAAGTGTCATTTCGTTTGACTTCAGCTGGGAGCATGCATGTTGGGTGACTCAAATATTTTGCTACTCTGTGCATGTCCGTGAAGGACTGCAAGACACCTGGAGGACTGATTTTTGGGGTTACAATTTAGCAAGTAGGCAAACTCACAAATACAGGATTTGTCACTAAAGAGGATCAGTGTATATTGATTTCTCTATCTTTATTTAGGTATCTATTTATATAGATCTGTATTAGGAAACAAATTAGATAGACTTCACACCAGTGCTTCAAATCACAGTTCAAAAATCTCATGCTTTGTTCTGGTTCTCCCTCTTTCCATATTTGTATCTTCATCCTTCAGTAGTGAGAAACTTGACTCCTGCTGTCCTCAACACGTTGACTTCTTTGCTCAGTCCTCTTGTTTGTCACCAGGGCCCCAGCCACGTGGGCCATCTCCTTGCAGAGAGTGTTCCTGGGACCTGGTGTGCGGGGCCCCAGGGCTGTGCTCCCAGGCTGCTGCTTGTGAACTTGCTGAGAGCTGCCCCCCAGGCATGTTGCCCTAGGCTGGCCTCCCAACCTAGTGGATACTTTTGATCATTGTTCACTGTAACCTCAAGCCCCTGGGCTCAAGCATTCCTCCTACCTCAGCCTCCAGAGTGGCTAGGACTACAGGTGTGTGCCACTGTGCCCAGCCAATTAAATTTTTTTTTTTTTGTGTGGAGAGAAGGTCTCACTATGTTGCCCAGGCTGGTCTCGAACATTTGGGCTCAAGAGATCCCCCTGCCTCAGCCTCCCAAAGCGCTGGTATTATAGGCATGAGCCACCATGCCTGGCTTGAAGTTAATTTCTTATTAACGTTTTCAGTATCATTAGAATATAGTAATGCAGTAGATTTTTGACTGTTTATTGGTATTGTACATCTTGCACCTCTAATGTGCTAGCTTACTGTCTTCAGTCAATGTAGGATTGGAGTTCTAATTGTGTAAAACTCTGTATATAAGGTTTATTACTTTTTTTTGTGTTTTTTTCTTCTTCAATAGCCATGTCACCATTAATACTAGTAAATGGATAAGCCATTCCTTTCTAATATCTTGTTTTAATGACAATGAATTTAAGATATGTTTTGTGGATAAGAAGAGCTGCTCATAGATACAGCTTTTTATGTTACTGCTATGCTAGTTCTAGGTAATTTCTTTTTTTTGATAGGGAGTCTTGCTCTGTCGCCCAGGGTGGAGTTGCAGTGGTGTGATTTTGGCTCACTGCAACATCTGCCTCTTGGGTTCAAGTGATTCTTCCGCCTTAGCTTCCTGAGTAGCTGGGATTACAGGCACGCACCACCACGCCCAGCTAATTTTTGTATTTTTAGTAGAGACGGGGTTTCGCTATTTTGGTCAAGGCTGGTCTTGAACTCTTGACCTCAGGTGATTTGCCCACCTCGGCCTCCCAAAGTGCTGGGATTACAGGCGTGAGCCACTGGGCCTGGGAATTCTAGGTAATTTCAGAGTAAAAAATTTGATTTAGAGTTGCTTCTTCCTTTTCTATGAAATAGGACATTTACAAAATTGTTTTTGAAAAGATGACTTGGGTTGCGATGTTTTTCTTGTTTTGAGATCCTAGAGTAAATGAGAAATAGGATGTGGAATTTTAAACTGACTTCTTGTGCATCTGCTTATTTTTGTGGTAGAGTCACAGAGTTACGACCAAGCAGGGGAGGTGAGAATTGTGCAGACTGGGGATATTGGGAGGGTGAAGGGATCTAGTTTGCTTGAATAAAAGGATGCAAGTCACTGTATTGGTGAAGTTTCTTTCAAATCCAATTCCTGACTGATTTCCTTGCCTTCCACAGTTCATCATATACAAAGTAGCTTAAAAACATTCACAATTTCCCTGTTATCTTTAGGATAAAGTCCAACTTTCTGAGTTTAGAACACAAGACCTTTGATTACCCCATTATCACCCCAGACCCCATGCAGCATTTTCTCTGCTGTCTCCAAGCAATAAGTCTTGGCTGTGTGGCTCCATTTTTCTGGAAAATTTGTCCCTTCTTCCTCCTTTGTCTTCTTGGTAAACTCCAAATTCTTTTCCTAAAGTTTGCTCAAACTGTGTCCCTTTCTCCAAACCCTCTCCAACTTCCCAGGTACCTGACTATACCCTCTTTCTTCTCTCTACCGTACAGATGGTTCCCAGACCTGGCTGATAACCAGGATGTGCTGGGTGAGGGGAGCTTTTTAAGGACCGCCACTTGGGTTTCATCTTGGCTTGTTCTGATTCAGTCATTTAGGTTGCGGTTCTAGGTGTCTGTGGGTTTTTGTTTTAAAATTCCCCAGGCATAATTGGGTAACATATTGAAGTTTACCGAAAAACAAAACAAGAAACTCCCCAGTAAAACTCCCCAGGCTGAGGTAGGGATTTTGCTAATGAGCCAGGGTTGGGTTGGGAGTATTGGCGTATATGTCAGACAAGTGCTTCCCATTTGGTGTGTCAAAGCAAGCTGTATGGCACGTTCTCAAACCTGAACCTGCATCCGCATCACCTGGAGAACATCAGAAGATACAGATTGCAGGGCCCCACTCTCAGAGTTCCTGATTCATAGACCTGGAGTGGGTCCTGAGAATTTGCATTTCTAACTCTTCAGGGGATTCTGGTGCTGCTGGTCCAGAGATCACACTTTGAGAAACTCTGCTGTACAGAAGATGAGTCTCGTGAGCTGGGATGTTGATCCCTTAGAAAGCCCAGAAGTAGAGTCTGTGCATAGCCTGTGTCCACATGTGTCCCATCTTTTTTTTTTTTTTTTCCCCACACTACACAGATGTAACATGTCCCATCTTACTGTAATTCTTTGTTAACATAGATGCCTTGAACTCTTGGAGTGGAATTGAACCGGTGGATTTACTAATGGGTTTATATCATTTGCTAACGTGGCTAAAAGACTGCTGTCATTGTCTTGCAACTTCTGTCTGAGGTCAACATTTGATTTAAGATTCTATAGCCTGTCCAGAAAGGCTGTAAAAAACTTTAGTGCGGTGGTTCTGATCCATGTGATTTTGCCACCCTGGCAATGCCTCAGATAATTTTAGTTGTCAGGACTTGGGATGGGGATGCTGTTGGCTTCTTGAGGGTGGGGTTCAGGGATGCTGTTAACCATCCTACAGTGCACGGGACGACACCCCCAACAAAGAGTTTTTCAGCTCCAAATGCCAGTAGTGCTGAGGCTGAGAAACCTTGCCTTAGGGGAAGGCGTTTCTTTTTTTCTTCCTTTTTTTTTTTTTTGAGACGGAGTTTCACTCTTGTTGCCCAGGCTGGAGTACAATGGCGTGATCTCAGCTCACCGCAACCTCCACTTCCCTGGTTCAAGCGATTCTCCTGCTTCAGCCTCCTGAGTAGCTGGGATTACAGGCATGTGCCACCACGCCTGGCTAAATTTTTAGTAGAGATAGGATTTCTCCATGTTCGTCAGGCTGGTCTCAAACTCCTGACCTCAGGTGATCCACCTGCCTCAGCCTCCTAAAGTGCCGGGATTACAGGCGTGAGCCACCATGCCCAGCCGGGGGAAGGCATTTCTAATGAGGTAGAGTGGGTTTTCCTGTGAGATCTGTCATTGTGTCTCCCTGCACCCAGCTCCTGCTCTCCAGAGTCCCTGACTCTGAGCAGCCTACCTCCTTCTCCACCCTGCCCCAATGTAGCCCCCAGGCCGGGCCCAGCAGCCTCCCGCAGGCAGGGCTGGCAGACTCTTCAAGGAAAACTAACCAATGATTAATAATTTGCCACACCTGAAAGTACTTTACAATGCACTATTCTTTCAATAATAAATGATTTATTGAGTGAGGCTAGAGCATCTGTTCAATCATTTACTGACCTCAAGTGACCTGCACATTCCCCTTCTCCTGCAGGCGCTTAAAGAGGGTTGCTGGGCCCCAGATGTGGGTGTTCTCTGCTGCTGCTCTTCAGCCTGGGTGGAGAGTCACTCACTCGTTCACCCCGCAGTTTTGAGTGGCTCGCCTGGTCCCTGGCCCAGTGAACACCATAAAAAAATCCTGCCCTCAGAGAGCTTTTGTTCTAGAGGGGAAAGTGACAAAGTAATTAAGTGCATTTTTTTGTATCTACACAAATAGATTGTAGTAAATGGGTAAAGAAAGTGAGAATGAGGATATAAATGATCGACAATGAGGGTATGTTTGGTTTTTTGTACACAAGGGTAGGACTTTCTGGGGATTGAGACCTGCAGGAGAGAAGATCTAATCATGGGAGAAGATGGGGAAAAGCATTTGCTCGCACGCAAGGGGACAAACGGGAATGTGGGAGACTGTCAGAAACACATCAGGCCAGGGTGGCTGGAACACTGAACGAAGGGGACCCAGTCAAGCACAGCACCCCACCATGAGTTTCATTGTTTTTCTACTGCAGGAGAGCAGCATGGCATGATATTTTTAAGAATCCACTCTGGCTTTTCTATTGAAAGATCACAGGGAAACCAAGGGTGAAGGTGGGTAGGCCAGCTAGCAGGCTGTTGGGGTCCTGAAAATTCATGGTGCCTTGGGCCACAGTGATGGAGGCAAAGGTGTAGAGAGAAAGGGTTCTTGTTGGGACAAATGGGATCTGGTTC
The DNA here is from genome assembly GCF_000001405.40 of Homo sapiens. Lineage (NCBI taxonomy): Eukaryota > Metazoa > Chordata > Mammalia > Primates > Hominidae > Homo > Homo sapiens. The sequence goes on along the minus strand of NC_000013.11, from coordinate 95,258,047 downwards.
TTGTTGGGACAAATGCACCTGGAAAGGCATGTTGGCGCTCCTGCAGGCATGTGTGGGCTCACATAAGTGAGGCTTATGTGTGGGGCATGGCTGTGCGCTGAGTTACGTGACACATGTCTTAAATTAAAGACACTCATATTTATTTCCCAGGGACAGATAAACTTTGAGCAATCTGGGAAAGCATCAAGATAACTGACTAAATTCTATCAGTTGTTTAGCCTTGAGAAGTGTGAATTACATGTTCACATGCATGTAATTCAGCTTCCAGAGCAATTCTTTGACCCCAGTGAAGCACAGTTGACCCTTGAACAACAAGGGTTTGAACTGCAAGAGTCCACTTATGTGCAGATTTTCTTTTTTTTTCTTTTTCTTTCTTTTTTTTTTTGAGATGAAGTCTCACTCTGTTGCCCAGGCAGGAGTGCAATGGCATGATCTTGGCTCACTGCAACCTCTGCCTCCTGGGTTCAAGCGATTGTCCTGTCTCAGCCTCCTGAGTAGCTGGGATGTGCACCGCCATGTCCGGCTAATTTTTCTGTATTTTTATAGAGACAGGGTTTCACCATTGTTGGCCAGGCTGGTCTTGAACTCCTGACCCCAAGTGATCCACCCGCCTCGGCCTCCCAAAGTGCTGGGATTACAGGCGTGTGCTGCGCCCGGCCTACGTGCAGATTTTCTTCAGCCTCTTCCACCTCTGAGACAGCAAGGCCAATCCCTCATCTTCCTCTTCCTCTTCAGCCTATTCAATGTGAAGATGATGAGGATGAAAACCTTTGATGATCCACTTCCATGTGTATCTTCTCCTCAATGATTTTCCACAATGATTGTCTTAATGGCGGTTTCCTTTCTCTAGCTTACTTTATTGTGAGAATGTAGTATATAATACATAGAGCATACAAAATATGTGTTCATCAACTTTATGTTACTGGTAAGGCTTCCAGCCAACAGTAGGCTATTACTAGTTAAGGTTTTGGGGAGTCAAAAATTAATATGTGGTTTTTTGGTTGCACAGGGGGTTGGCACCCCAATCCCTGCATTGTTCAAGGATCAATTGTATATTATTCTCTGTGCTTCTTGGTGCGCAAACTTAAATGAGTAGCTTCAGATGCTCGCTTTGTTAAGGAGTCTTATTCCTTAGTCTGGCAAGTGCTTATTTGAGCTTGGAAGCAAGAGAGAACTATGTCATCTCTTATGAGAGATGAAGTTTAATCGTTTGGAAGAAAGCGCTTGATTTGAACAGGCACTAATTAATGTCCAGATTTTTTTTTTGATTTTTCTTTTTTCTTTTTTTTTGAGACAGGGTCTCACTCTGTCACCCAGGCTGGAGGGCAATGAGACGATCACGTCTCACTGCAGCCTTGACTTCCCAGGCTCAGGTGATTCTCCCACCTCAGTCTCCTGAGTAGCTGGGACTACAGGTGCCTGCCACCACACCTGGCCAGTTTTTTGTATGTTTTTGTCGAGACAGGGTTTTGCCATGTTGTCCAGGCTGGTGTCAAACTACTGGGCTCAAGCAATCTTCCTGCCTCAGACTCCCAAGGTGTTGGGATTACAGGCGTGAGCCACAGTCCCCGGCCAATGGCCTGATTTTCAGAGGATAGTCAACATCATACACTGATGGGCTCAGAAGGATCTTGGCAACAATGAGCCCTGCATCTAGCAGGTGGCCACACGGGCCTTGCTGACTATATAGTATGGCATCTCTGGCTAGTCGTCAGATCCTTCACTTGCTAGTTGCAATGAACAATGCTTTCATCTCCTTATGAGTCAGCCGCATAACTTGGGCTGCAGAAATAATTAATATCCTACTCACTTAGCCGGGCATGATGGCATGCACCTCCAGTCTCAGCTATGCGAGAGGGTTGCTTGAGCCCAGGAGTTTCAATGAGCTATGATTATGCCGCTGCACCCCAGCCTGAGTGACAAAGTGAGAACCTGTCTCTTAAAAAAAAATCTTACTCACATTTCTTCATTTTATTCTGTTACTAAATTGTGTACAAATATGCCAAGTGCATCTTTTTTTAAGGAAGAAGACTAAGATGGCTAATCATGCACAATGGCTGTAGATGCTTGGTACTGGTTGTCGTGTGGGAAAGTGCTGGGAAGATGGGATTATAAAGTGAGGGCCCTGTGAAGAAGTGAAAGGCATGGATTAGCTGGTGGGAGAACAGGGAGACAAGAAGGCTGTGGATGAACCAGAGAAGGCTTTGAAGCTCCGTAGTAGGAAATCTCTGAGGTGCCTATGGCATGGAAGGACCCATGTTGAACCCAGAGTGCAGGTGTGGAGGGGGGTTGGGGGACCCGGAAGAGAGGTGGACAGGGTCCACATTGCCTGTTGCTTAGGTTGACATAGAAACAACAGGTAGTAGAGTGAAGCGGGAAGGGATGAGAAAATGGGCTTTGAGCGTGTTTTAGGAAGGGAGGAACGTTAGAGGAAAAATAACAGAAGATCACAGCTTTACAGGTGCCACCTGAGTTTAATTTACTTGGTCATGGGCCGAGATAAGCTGGGTTGGGACCATGTTGAGAACACCTGTGGTGTGGGTGCTCTACCCTCACGCGAGATCCATTCCAGCGATGCCTGTGTCTGGTGATCGTTGAACTTTAGTGTCTGGTGATCGTTGAACTTTAGGGCATGGAGAATGGCTATTTTGGACTACAGAGAATGGGAGGAGATTGAAGAAATCAGGTGTGTCGGGCTCCCCTTGGAGCCAGGCCATGGGAAACTTTGTAAGGACAGAGGCCCTGGTGAACTTTGGAAGGATTTTGTTTTCTTTTAGGCATTCAGGTTTTGGGGTCTGAGCAGAATTGCTGGAGTGTTACACGAGAAGTGTGCTGGCGGTGGGCTACACCATTCCTTCCTCCCCAGCACTCAGTCACTTACCTACGAGAAAATGCACATTTGCACTGGTGTGTGTCCTTGCACCCTCTTTCTGAAACCCATTTGCAGAATCCAGGCCTTTAGGAAACTTTTGCTATTGCAGACTTACTTATATCTGTAAATTATTTAATATTTATATTTGTAACTGAGAAGTTGATATCATGGACTCGTAATGGATTTTGGAGTTTAAATATGTTAAAATAGGTAATTTTTACAGGATGTGTTCATTCACGTGACAAATCTGGGTGACTTCTATGTGCCCAGCATGTTGTAGGTGTGGGTGGCTTAGCAGCAAACAACACAGAAAAACCCCATCCTTGTGGAGCCTAGATGCCTCCAGGGGAAAACATGATTTCAAAAAAGTGAAATATAATAGCCCTTCTAATGTTGACAGGTGCTGAGTAGAAAATTTAAGCTTGGGCAGGGGCAGAGGGTGAGCCTTATAGGGTCAATGTGACTGTTTCTGGATATACTTTGCATGTTGAAGTAATAGGACTTGGATGGCTTAGATGTGTCCTATCAAAGAGTGACAAAGAAGGGATGGGCTGCAGAGTCACCTGAAGGTTTTCTTTTCTTTGGAAAATCTGGGCAAGGGGAAAGATGTGACGGCTGATAACTGAGAGGGAGAAGCCTGGGAGGAGCAGGATTTTTTTGTGGGATGAAAAGGTGTTCTGTTTGGACATTATTTAGTTTGATATGCTTATCAGACACCCAAGAGGAGGAGGTGTTGAATCAGCAGTTGGTTATGAGTCAGGGGTATTGTATGTGCCCTTAGGCACTAGCAATGTTTTTTGTGTTTTTTTTTAAGCAAAATTATGACCATCATTTCAGAAAACTATTTTATATATATAAAGAGGTTGAAAGCTTATTAAGACTAGATTTAGAAAAAACATATAATACTCTGAGAAATTCTGTGTGTAGTGTCAGGTAGAAAGTAAAGTGTTACCAGTTCTGTTTATAAAACCCCCTTTAGGCCAGGCGCAGTGGCTCATGCCTATAATCCCAACACTTTGGGAGGCCAAGGTGGGGGGATTACTTGAGGCCAGGAGTTTGAGACCAGCCTGGGCAATATAATGAGACTCTATCTTTACAAAAATATACTTAAAAAAATAGCCGGGCATGGTAGCACGTGCCTTGTTATCCCAGCTACTTGGGAGGTTGAGGTGAGAGGACCGCTTGGGCCTGGGAGGTTGAGGCTGTAGTGAGGTATGATTGCGCCACTGCACTCCAGCCTGGGTAAGAGAGTGAGACCCTGTCTCAAAAAAAAGAGAAAAATCCACTTTATACAAAAATTTGCATGAGAGTATTGCCCACATTTGAAGGAACACTTAACCTTCCATGTATTATGTTTATATGGAGACTTGTCTCTGAAGATGGATTTTGGAGTTTATATTAAATTTGTTTTTGTTTCTGTGTTGTTTTTTTTTTGATGGGGTCTCGCTCTGTCGCCCAGGCTGGAGTGCAGTGTGCAGTCTCGGCTCACTGCAACCTCTGCCTCCTGGGTTTAAGCGATTCTCCTACCTCAGCCTCCCGAGTAGCTGGGATTACGGGTGTCCTCCACCACGCCCGGCTAATTTTTGTATTTTTAGTAGAGGCGGGGTTTCATCATGCTGGCCAGGCTGGTCTCGAACTCCTGACCTCAAGTAATCCACCTGTCTCGGCCTCCCAAAGTGCTGGGATTACAGGCATGAGCCATCATGCCAGGCCAAATTTGGGGATTTTTGGAGGATGTGCTCATTCATGTGACAAATCTAGGTGCCTTCTATGTGCCCAGCATGTTGTTGGCTTAGCAGCAAACAACACAGAAAAACCCAGATGCTCTGGGGGGAAAACATGATTTTTAAAAAAAGTGAAATGCAATAGCCTTTCAAATGGCGACAGATGCTACAGAGAAAATTTAAGCGTAGGTAAAGGCAGAGGGTGAGCCCCATGGGAGGGTCAGTGTGCAAAATGGAAACTCAGCATCATTTCTTCAATGGAGCTGTTTTGGAGAAAGCCCGGGGCAGTCATGGTTGGCCGTGCACTAACCTTTCTATCGTGGAGGCGTGGGGAGGGGAGAGGCATTCTCAGGTGTTTTCCTTAGAAACACAGGAAGGTGAGGAAGAACAGTGGAAACTGAATGAGGAATAAAAGGCATTCAGATTTAAAGATACCAAGATTAGAAGTTCAGAGTCTAGGGTGGTCACCAGACAGCAGATACTGTTTAAAATAAGTGTTGAATTCCTGGCACCAGAATTCTAGTCCTTTACTATTTTGTGGCTTCCAAATAGAGAAAGTTCATGGAAGGAAACATAAAGGTCATCTAGTTAAAGTCCTGTGTATCTATTTCACTCTCTTTATAGATGTACAGTAGTCCCCCCAGTCCGAGGAGGCAGGGGAACTACCCTCATTGAAGACCCTCACCTCAGTGGCTGCCTAAAGCCGTGGATAGTGCTGAACCCTACTGATTTTTTTTCCTACTTACACATATCTTTGTTGGTTTGTTTGTTTTGTTTTTGAGACAGTCTCGCTCTGTCACCTAGGCTGGAGTGCAAAGGTGCGATCTCAGCTCACTGCAACTTCTGCCTCCCAGTTTCAAGCAATTCTCCTGCCTCAGCCTCCCAAATAGCTGGGATCACAGGTGCCTGCCACCACGCCTGGGTAATTTTTGTATTTTAGTAGAGATGGGTTTTCACCATGCTGGCCAGTCTGGTTTTGAACTGCTGACCTCAGGCAATCCACCTGCCTCGGCCTCCCAAAGTGCTAGGATTACAGGTGTGAGCCACCACACCTGGCCCTACTTACACATATCTATGGTAAAGTTTAATATTATAAATTGAGCACAGTAAGAGATTAACAATGATAATAAAATAGAATAATTACAACAATATACTCTTCACCATTTCGTTGATAGAAGGTTCACTCTTAAACCAGATCTCAGCAACCTCAGCATACAATTTTTTTTTCCTTTTCTTATTGGCTTGAGAACCTTAACCTTTTCACATAAAGGAAGGCCTTTGTGGCTTCTCCTTGGCATATCCAAATGGCTAGCATCCTTGTACTTGCTCTTTGGGGGCCATTATTAAGTAAAATAAGGGTGACTTGAACACCAGTATTGTGATGCCATGACAATAGATCTGAGCGCCCAGGGTGGCTACTAAATGACTAAAGGTGGGTGACGTCTGTAGCATGGAAATGCTGGACAGAGGGAGGATTCCCATCCTGGGTGGGTTTGTGGGAGATTTCATCATGCTACTCAGAATAGTATGCAATTTAAGCCATAGGAATTATTTCTGGAATTTCCCATTTAATCTTTTCAGTCAACTGTGGGTAACTCAACCTGTGGAAAGCGAAACTGTGGATATGGGGGGATGACTGTATAGCATCGAGAGACACAAGTGAACTCCTTCAGTAGCCTGCCACAGGGGATTTCATTCAACCTGCCCTTAGCCTTCCTTGTTCTCTAAACTCTCAGCTTAGCTCACAGCTTTGCTGTCTGCAGGTCTGAGCACAAACCTGCCTTCTCGCTTACCTCCTGGATCCCGTGATTCCAGGCCTAAGTTCAGGAGGTATACAGCAGAGAGGACCTTCCCTCCCTAGTCTCTTCTTTTAGTATTGTTTATTTCTAATAAAGTTGGGGGAAACTTTTCTTCTTTGATAGACTATAATTTTAGGGTTATGCAAATGCATAATCCATTGAAAAAGGTTTTATTAGGCTTGGCTTCTGAAGAATATAAAATTTTGAACTTGTCCATTAAAGAGAGAACAATCTTGATTCAATGAGTATCAAGTAATGAAATAATTATTTTAGTTCCATCATGGCCAGTTGTTACAGAAAGGTCAGGAAAGAGGAGGAGAAGAGAAATAGAAAGGGCCTTTAAGGAGGCAGAGAGGGCTAAAAGAGAGCTGAAAGGGGACAAAAGGAGAGAGGGAAAGAGAAAGTGAGGGGATTTACCAAAGATAAGTTAGCTTTTATTTCCTCCTTTACTTGTGGCTATGGGGAACATGAAGCTCATAGAAACTGAAGACTCAGGTCAGGGTCACAGAGACAGGGAGCTGGGACCTGTGTTTTCCCTCTTATACCACATTAAGAAACCACTATTGGCCAAGCTTGGTGGCTCATGCCTGTAATCCCAGAATTTTGGGAGGCCAAAGTGGGAGGATCACTTGAGCCCAGGAGTTCGATACCAGCCTGGGCAACATAGAGAGACCTGGTCTCTATCAAAAATAAAAATATTAGCCAGGCACAGTGGCATGTGCCTGTACTCCTAGCTACTTGGGAGGTAGAGGTGGGAGGATTGCTTGAATTCAGAAGTTTGAGACTGCTGAGCTCTGATCGGATCTGAGTGAGCTCTGATCGCTCCACTGTACTCCATCCAGCCTGGGCAACAGAGTGAGACTCCATCTCAAAAAAAAAAAAAAAAAAAAAAAAAGAAACCAGTATTCAGAACTTCTCAAATCCTTGGGGGAAAAAACAACAAAAACTAAATGCCACCACCACCAACAATAAATAACAAAACTCTCTACTAACCCTTGTCTAAGACTCCTGCTTGCTGGAAATGATGCTGGGGGTTGTGATCCTGGGGTGGAGAATGTCTCTGTATTGCTGAAGCTGATGGCTTCCTGTGTTGGGCATTGAGCACGACTATGCTATATTGAGTTTGTATTGAATTTTACCCTAGATCATTGCTCAAGGTACTCTACCCATCTGTCTTATTCAATAATACAATCATTCATTCTTTCCATAACTGTTTATTGAGTATCTATCACATACCAGGCATAATGGGGATTCCAAATAATATGGCAGTAGTCATTGCCCTGAAAGCATTGTACTCCTAGTAGGACAGTTAGGAGGGAAGCGATGCTGCTGTACTAAGTATTGTGGGAGATAAGGGGGAGAAGAGACTAAGTCTGAGGAGAGAAGGGCTACTGGGGCAGAACTGGGTGGAGGAATGGCTCATTTGGCAGTGGTCTGGAATTGTTGACTAGACCCCCTCAGGGACACATTGGTATTAAGGAGCCAACTGACTTAGATTTCCATGTATAAAGTCCTTACATAGATGGTCAAAGATAATTTAGTCTCTTGTCAAAGTTGACTTTTGTCATCAGGCAAAAGCCTTTAGCTCTTGCTGGTACCCACATCTTTTCAGCCCAGCTTTTTGAGATCTGGGCAATGAGAGAGAGTAGGAGGGTCCTTGTTAAGTCCTTACTGATTTGTGTCATCCTCTAATAGAAGCTTTGGGTCTCTTCTGATTGCAGATACTTTAACTCAACAGTGGCATCCCTCCTTGTTAATATTTCTAAATGTTATGCAGTTAACTGTTCAGCCTGTGGAACAGAGTTACCATTCTCACTTTCCTTAATTTTTTAACTTCCTGGAGCCAGTTTTATTCCCTGATTAAAAAAACCTCTTTAGTCCAAAAAGACACCAGTGAATTTTACTTAGAAGTCCTTGCTGAAATATACTGTATGAGGTTCTGCTGGAAGGGAGGTCTCGGGCATGCAGAGGTCATCTCAGGCATGTCTGGGAAACCCACCTAAGTTGAAGCTGGACTGGTTAGGTTACAGTCTTCTGGACACATTTTGGAGGAGGTGAGGAGAAAGAGGTGAGTTGATGAGTTCTTCTTGCCATTGGGTTAATTAGAATTGCTAGTTTGGATCAGCAGGAGGTTTCCGGAATCCTGAACATAACTTGGATACCCCTGCAGTGTGTGCTCCAATCTTACGGGGCATTGAAAGCCCACCATTTCACTGCAGGCAGAAGCCACCAGGCAGTGGGTTCCCCATGGGAAGGGCTTCCTAGATTAGACAATCCCCATGTTAAAATAAAACATGCCTATTAAAGGTGACACATGGCCAGATAAGACAGCCAAGATGAAAGAAGTTTGTGTAATTGAGTAATTGCATCTATCAAAGTTATTAGAGGTTTCCTTATAGGGCACAAATATGTTTCTTCTTCTTTTTTTTTTTTTTAGACAAAGCCTTGCTGTTCTGCTCAGGCTGGTGTGCAGTGGCGATCACAGCTCACTGCAGCCTTGACCTCCTGAGCTCAGTCCATCCTCCCACCTCAGCCTCTGGAATAGCTGGGATCACAGGCTTACACCAGTACATCTGGCTAAATTTTAATTATTATTTATATTTTTTATTGTTTTGAGATAGTCTCACTCTGTTGCCCAGACTGGAGTGCAGTGGCATCGATCTCAGCTCACTGCAACCTCTGCCTCCCAGGCTCAAGTGATTCTTGTGCCGCAGCTTCCCGAGTAGCTGGGATTACAGGCATGTGTCATCACACCTCGCTAATTTTTATATTTTCTTACTAGAGATGGGGTTTTGCCGGGCTGGTCTCGAGCTTCTGGCCTCAAGTGATCCGCCTACCTCAGCCACCTAAAGTGCTGGGGTTACAGGCATGAGCCACTGCCCAGCCTTTTTCTTTATAAGTTTTTAGTAGAAGTGGGCATCTCACTATGTTGTGTAGGCTGGTCTCAAACTCCTGGGCTCAAGCCATTCTCCCTCCTCAGCCTCCCAAAGCTCTGGAGTTACAGGTGTGAGCCACTATGCCTGGTGCATGTTAATTATTATCATTTAATGATTAATGATGTTAATTATTATCATTTAATGATTAATAATGTTAATATCATTTAAGTGATTCCTAATGGATGACCATTTTGATTTTTCTTTTTTTTTAGTAAAAAGAATCTCAAAATATTTGAATAAGTTCTTTCTGTCCTCTGCAAGATTACTATTTTGTCCTTTCGTAACTAATAAATAATTTGTACCTAGATAATTTTGGATTATGTAAATGTCCCATCAAACCTTCACTGACTGGTTTTAGCTCCCATTGAAAATGTTTTCTAACCTCATCATTCTTTATCTGAGAGTTTTTCCTTCTTACCCCATTTATGTCTCAGTAAGGATTCGTGGATTCTTTTGTTATTCAGTGGGTTAGAATTCATTGCTGTCATGATTTATTTGGATGCTTCCATTATCACAGACTTGTCTAGTGGGACCCCGTCAAGCTGGGTCCTCTGTTCTTTGGGCCCATCCTCTTGATTCCTTGAATGTTTCCTTATCGTATGGTATCTCATGGGCCATCTTTTTCTGCCCCAGCCTTTGAATCAGCTATTTCTTCAGGAAGCTCTGGTTCCTTTTAGATAATAATGGTTTTGGAAACCAAGATCTGGGCACCAGCATGCTCTCAGCTACTGGTGTGTCATTGCTTCTGGGGCCTGTCTGTGGATAGAGCTAGGGACTGTGTGTGTGTGTGTGTGTGTGCACATGTTAACTTTTCTCTCTCTAGCTCTATATATTCATATCTGTCTGTCTATATATAGCTGTATGTATTTTAAAGGTAAGTTTAAGCAAAACCCATGGAGGTAGGAGTCTACTTAAACACGGATGTGTAATTCTGGATATATGTCTCTTTTCTCTTGTTAACAGGTGGCTCAATCCCTTGTTTAAAATTGGCCATAAACGGAGATTAGAGGAAGATGATATGTATTCAGTGCTGCCAGAAGACCGCTCACAGCACCTTGGAGAGGAGTTGCAAGGGTAAGTCGGAGGCAGTAAAGTGGGCATTAAGGAAGCGTGGGTGTCTGTGTGTGGGGAGTGGGTTTTGCCTTCCTGGGTCCTGTCTGGAGCCTCCGTTTACCCTTAAGGTGAATATGTGTCACCTTCCTCAGGCTGCCCCTAGGCTCAGCCTACCATGGTGGCCTGGGGGAAACTCCTGTTGCCTGTGCCTCCGTAGAGGTCAGGGGAGCCAGCACCAAAGGCCCGAGATGCCTGAGGTCTGTCCCTCTAGGTGGAAGTGTTGTGGTTGGAGGAGGTTGTCTGGCTTATCTGTGCTACTGATGGGGCTTCAATCCAGTAAAGCTTGGCAGTAACTTGTTTCCCCAGACTTCCCCTCAAGGCCTGTTTTTCTGATGCTCCAGATTCTGTACCACACATAACCTTCAGGAGCCCTGGGAGCAATTAGTAGCATTTATGAAATCGTCACAAAATGCCCTGTCTTAAATGCATACCTGTCACTCTGCCATCTCCCCTGTTTTATATTGTGGCAGGGTTCACTCTTATTTACGAAGCTTTTTCCTCATTGTAGGTTCTGGGATAAAGAAGTTTTAAGAGCTGAGAATGACGCACAGAAGCCTTCTTTAACAAGAGCAATCATAAAGTGTTACTGGAAATCTTATTTAGTTTTGGGAATTTTTACGTTAATTGAGGTAAAAGCTTTTACATACCATGAATTGTTTTTCAGGACACATAGAGTAAATGTGCTCGCCATTGACTGGTGCTGTAATGGATGGGGGAACAGAAGGGAGAAGTGGCCAGATGGGGTTTGAAGGTATTTTAAGGTCTAAGGATTAAACATGTCTAGGAAGTATTAGGTAGTTAGTTCAGTGAGCGTATTTATCCAGGTGAATACTTAAGTGACTGAAGTTCAAGGTCATTATTGTTTTTCTTGTAACCAATTAAAATGCAGTGTCATGGAAGAAGAGTATTTTATTCTATGGTAGGACAATGTTGGTGCTCGGTAAATGTTTTAAATGCTAAGAGTCACTCCTGGTCAAAAGAGGATCCTACAGCCTTGAGGAGTGCGTGCCCTGTGGTTTAGAGGAAGTGATTTTGGATCGGAGCCCAGAATAATGTAAGACATTTTACAGGTGCTCAACAAATAATTGTTCACCAAGCCAAATCTGATAATTGCTCTTCTGGAGAGGTATTGTCACCTCTCCCCTCTCGGGGAAACAGAGCTGAGGGCCTTGCACCTGGGCTGGCGGTGGTGCCCCAGAGGCTGGAGCTGGCTGAAGCACCCAAGAGCTACCCCCTCCCAGTGGGCCCAGGTGCTGGGAGCCAAAATCCCCTCTGGGAAGAAGGTCCGAGGACTGTGCACCCAAGGGGATTCATCACACCCATCCGGTGTGTCTTCCTTGTTGTCGGAGTGGATTGCTGGTTGGAAGGTAGAGTCTTGGTGCCTGGCCCTGCAGAGAATGTATAAATGGACATTCCATGAAAAATCAAAGACAGCCAGAAGGGCAATAACCTCTGTTACCCCGAAGGGCCTCTCTTGAGATCTGCAGAAAGACAGTGTTCTGCCTAGGCACACTGCCAGGTAGCTTGTCCGTTCTGGTCTTTGGCCTGCTAGAGGAGATGCAGAGGGTCCTGCTGGGTGACTTGTGTCCTCTGTGCTACCTTAGGGATGTCAGTGGTCCATTAAAGTTAGAGGGGTGGATGTTGCTGTTGTTACAAAAGGGTGGCTTTAAATGCAGGATGGGGAGTTGTCACGGTGCATTTTGTTGGGAATGAGGTGGGTGGGGGGAGGGGGTTGGTTTGTATGTGGGGGGGTTTGCTCCTGTTGAACATGCTTTTTGTTGTGGAGGGCACGGTGGGCAGTGGGAGGCAGGTAGGTGAGCTCTGCCCTACACCAGAGGAATCTGTCAGACAACAGGGGACTGGACGGTCCTGGGAGATGAATGGTCTCATTGGTGACAAAGGTGTTTTGGCCAGGGTGCCAGATGGTGAATGCCACCTTTGAGAGGGTACCCGCCCTGCCTGCATGCTACTGTGGCTTTGTGGCAGATGGGGTGGACATGCAGAATAACCGGTGGAACTGACTTGAGGGTGGAAGAGGGCTAGGAGCCCCTCAGGTTCTCCCAGCCCCTCTTCAACCTGTGCTGGGGTGTCCCAGCGATAGTGTTTCCACATGGCCCCGATCAGTTTCAGTTGGAAAGAAATAGAATGACAAGTCGGTGTCAATGTGGCCAGTGTGTGCAGGATTTCCTGGCCCAGTTTGGCTGTGCAACCTCAGAGAAGTTGTCTGGTAGCCATGGAGCCTCTGTAAGTGTCTAAGGCTCATGCCAGGTGTCTGGTTAGGTGTAGTGGGAATCAATGGCCTCACATAGGTTTCGAGGCATGCCTCCCTCAGCTACTTCCATTTCTCTAGTTTCCCTTTGTCACCAGCTGCTTATGAAATTGAAAACAGGATGATTTAGAAGGAACTGAGCTTGTCATGCTCAGGGCTGTCCATGCTGTCATGGGCTGCCAGCCACTTGGGGTGGGGTCTCTAACCCACAGATGGTGACTGGACTACAGTGAGATTTGGGTAAGCTTTTGGGAGAAGCAGGCACAGAAGTAGAGGCTGTAGAAGCGTGAATTTCTCCTGAGACTTGAGGACAGGCCCCACTCTGGTGCAAGGAGCATGGTAATCTTTACTGCTGGTGGGCATGTGGGAAGGGGCCCGGATCGAGGGGAGCTTTAATATGGGTACAGTTGGTGGAGAGCTGGTCTTTTAGCGGGGTGGTTATTGGGCAGTCATGGCAGAAAAGTAGGGAGTGGAGGACCTGGCAAATATGGGGGCTCATGCTCAGTACTGCTTAGCAGCAGCAGTGCTAGTAGAAGCAGCAGCAGGATTAGTAGTGGTTGGTACTCAGTAGTAGTAGTAGCAGCAGCAGTGATAGTAGCAATAGTTGTAATAATACTGACAGTGAGTACTTGAAAAATACTATGTACCAGGAACTGCTATGATTTCTTTCTTTCTTTCTTTCTTTCTTTCTTTCTTTCTTTCTTTCTTTCTTTCTTTCTTTCTTTCTTTCTTTCTTTCATGTTATTTTATTTTATTTTGTTTTTTGAGATAGGGTCTCACTCTGTTGCCAGGCTGGAGTGCAGTGGTGCTATCTTGGCTCACTGCAGCTTTGGCCTACTGGGCTCAAGCAGTCCTCCCAAGTAGCTAGGACCACAGGTGCACGCCACCATGCCTGGTTAATTTTTGTATTTTTGTTTCACTATGTTGCCCAGGTTGGTCTTGAACTCCTGGGCTCAAATGATCCTCCCACCTTGGCCTCTCAAAGTGCTGGGATTATAGGCAGGAATCACCATGCTCAGTCAGAAGGCATTCTTTTAACCCTACTTTTGGGAAGAGGACACTGGGTGCCATGTAGTTATATAATGTGCCTAGGGCCACACAAAGTGTAAATGACAGAGCCCAGATTCAGTCTCAGGAGCGCTGACTTAGGGACCTAACCATCTCCAGACTGTCGTAAAGGTGTCTTGAGAACTCTGTCTTCAGAGTATCCAGCACATGCTTCTTGAACTTGGCCTAGGGATAAGTCAGATGCTAAGAGCTCCCTGGAACAGTGGGGCATGGCTGTGGGAAATCAGATTGGGGATTATAAATTACCCTAGGTTCCTAGGTGTCCTGGTGCCGGAAAGTCAGGTGACATGCTAGAGAGTGGCTGGGGTGCTGGGCAGGTCAGAGCACCAAGGTACATTCAGGTTGACCACGAACTCTTTTTTTTTTTTTATGTTTTCGTCTGAGGTGGGGTCTCACTCTGTCACTCAGGCTGGAGTGCAGTGGTGTGATCTCAGCTCACTGCAACCTCCATCTCCCTGGGCTCAAGCAATCCTCCCACCTCAGCCTCCTGAGTAGCTGTGACTATAGGCATGCACCATGCCTGGCTTATTTTTTGTATTTTTAGTAGAGATGAGGTTTTACCATGTTGTCCGGGCCGGTCTAGAACTCCTGAGCTCAAGCCATCGGCCCACCTCGCCCTCCCAAATTAATGGGATTACAGGTGTGAGCCACTGTGCCTGGCTGACCAAGAACCCTTTAGAAACCTGTCTCCCACTGAGTACCATCCTCCACATGTGTGAGGCGTGCAGCCCTGCTGACCCAAGTTCATCAACATCCACGCTGTTAAGACACCATTCCCAGTTGTCTCCTCCTCGGATGGACGAGGGGGAAGCTTGTGGTCTTGCATGGTCACGACATTGACTGATGGTCTGGGCGGATGTCAAGTTCCCTGTTTTTACTTATCAAAGGCTCTGGGTTTCTTGCATAGCAATGATATCTCTGCAGTTTCAGAAGCCTTTGGCCTGAATCGTGAAGTGGGTGTGCAGTTTGCTTGGCAAGGATGAAGACCCCAGATGAGTCACTAGTATGGGGACAGCTCTTCTGTCCTGGTATCTGAACCCTCCCACTAGCAAGGTGGGCCCCAGGTATTAGGGCGGCAGGCTAAGGTGTTAAGATGGACCCACACAGTGCTGGCGGCAGGCACCTCTCATATAAAGTGGAGCCTGGGCTTTTCACAAGAGAGCACTTGTTGGTCCTGTGTTTACACCAATATCTTGGTGGTTTATGGTATAAAATTAGACAGTAGTCAGTTATTCTTTAGAGGATCATGGTGACTAGTGGATGATGCTCATTTTAACCTTGTGTCTTTAACATAATAACTGGTAGAACTTTTAGTTCCGATGCAGTGAAGTTCAGGGAGCTAAAGCTCTTCCCAGTTCAACTCAAAGTAATCCTTGGATTTTTTTTTTTCTTTTCCTTCTAGCAGTGAAAACAGCCTGAATTCTAGTATAAATACTATTGTTTTCCCAGCCTTGCCTATTGACACTTGGCTGTTTTGGAGAAGTTGGAGAGAAATAATTTCTTAAGATGAAGGTAGTGAGTGTAACATCTCAAAAGCATTTCAGGTGTTGTTTTGGGTTTTCAATCATTAAAGCTATTTATTGGCCAGGCATGGTGGCTTATGCCTATAATCCCAGCATTTTGGGATGCCAAGGGATGATTATTTGAGCCCAGGAGTTCCCAGCTTTAGTGAGCTATGATTGCACCACTGCACTCCAGCATGGGTGACAGAGCAAGACCTTGTCTCTAAAAAAGAAAATTAGGCCAGGCGCAGTGGCTCACGCCTGTAATCCCAGCACTTTGGGAGGCCAAGGCGGGCGGATCACAAGGTCAGGAGTTCGAGACCAGCCTGACCAACCTGGTGAAACCCCATCTCTATTAAAAATATAAAAATTAGCTGGGCATGGTGGTGGGCGCCTGTAATCCCAGCTACTCAGGAGGCTGAGGCAGGAGAATTGCTTGAACCTGGGAGGTGGAGGTTGCAGTGAGCTGAGATCACGCCACTGCACTTCAGCCTGGGTGACAGAGCAAGACTCTGTCTCAAAAAAAAAAATTATGGAGTTAGAACAAATGTTAGTTTCACAGTTGATTTAATGAAGATGCTTTTCATTTTTTGGTCTTGTGTCTGTGCTGCTTGTGGATCTTCGTATTTTGGATAGTGGAAGCTCTAAACTTAACCTAGCATTTAGTAAAAAGCTTCTGTGATGACTTTCAGGCCTTTTTTAACCCACTTATGCCGGAGGTTGCCAATTTTTTTTGTGTGTGAAAGATCAGACCTTGGCGATGAGGTTGAACAGTAGAATATAAACTCCCACAAGCTTAGTGTTCCAATAATGGAATGCTAGGCACAGATGGGTTAATTCCTCTGGTTACAGAACAACTGTGCAGTGGATCCATAACTCCCTAGCCATATACTCTTAACTAAGCTGAAGGCAAGCAGGGCCTTCCCTGGGTACTAATGATGGCACCAGCAGGAAGAGAGATGGTGACACCAGTTTGCGGGGAGTCTTTGAGGTTGGAATTTCAAAGTAATGCAAGTGAGATTAGGAACGATTGTCAGAGTTGAGGAATGATTATAATGCCCAGAGAAACAAGTACTAGTCTAATGGTGAACATGGTGCTCTTCCAGGCAAATGCTAATTAGAACAGAACAGCCCGCAAATTTCCAGCACATCTGTCCCCTATGTGCACCTCCATGGAGACTGTGATGGGGACTGGAGACTGAGCAAGTATCCACCCACTTAGAGCCTGCAGGGGGGGCAGGAGGAAGGAGGAGCTTGGGAATCCTCTGTGTGGGCCAAACCAGGACACAGGCAGCTTCTCCATTTGTATCTATGCTGCTTGTTGGTCTTTGTATTTTAGATAGTTGAAGATTATCTAAATGTTTCTTTGAGAAATGAGATGTGTATTTTTTTTTTTTTCCTGAGATGGAGTCTCATTCTGTCACCAGGCTGGAGTGCAGTGGCACGATCTCGGCTCACTGCAACCTCTGCCTCCCAGGTTCAAGTGATTCTGCTGCCTCTGCCTCCTGAGTAGCTGGGACTACAGGTGTGCGCCACCACACCCAGCTAATTTTTTTGTATTTTTAGTAGAGATGGGGTTTCACCATGTTGGCCAGGATGGTCTCGATCTCTTGACCTTGTGATTCACCCACCTTGGCCTCCCAGAGTGCTGGGATTACAGGCATGAGCCATCGTGCCTGGCCAATGAGGTGGTTTTTAATAACTTCAATTCTACATTTCTTGTTCAGCTGCCTGACATGAGGGCCAAGGCCAAGCCTCATGTGGTATTTTCTTTCTTTGGTTGTTTTGTTTTTTGAGCCAGAGTCTCACTCTGTCACCCAGGTTAGAGTGCAGTGGTGTGATCTTGGCTCACTGCAACCTCTGTCTCCTTGGTTCAAGCCATTCTTCTGCCTCAGCCTCCCGAATAGCTGGGATTGCAAGCTTATACCACCACATGTAGCTAATTTTTGTATTTTTAGTAGAGACAGGGTTTTACCATGTTGGCCAGCCTGGTCTCGAACTCCTGACCTCAAGTGATTCGTCTGCCTCGGCCTCCCAAAATGCTGGGATCTTTCTTAGGTTTTTAAAGATCATTTCAAAAATATAAAATATAATAGAATACTAAGCCTCTCTCTACCCCTAAGCCAGCTTCAGTAACTATCAACTCATGACCACTCTTGATTTTTATGAAGCCCTGCTCACTGCCCCCTCTGAAGATGTGTGTGTGTGTGTGTGTGTGTGTGTGTGTGTGTGTTTTGAGATGGAGTTTTGCTCTTGCCCAGGCTGGAGTGCAGTGGCATGATCTTGGTTCACTGCAACCTCTGCCTCCTGGGTTCAAGTGATTCTCCTGCCTCAGCCTCCTGAGTAGCTGGGATTATAGGCATCTGCCACCATGCCCGGGTAATTTTGTATTTTTAGTAGAGATGGGGTTTCACCATGTTGGCCAGGCTGGTCTCGAACTCCTGACCTCAAGTGGTCCACCTGCCTCAGCCTCTCAAAGTGCTGAGATTACATCGCGCCCAGCCGCGTGTGTACTTTCTAATTGAAGAAACCGTGTTGTTTGCCCTGCACGGATTCCCAGGGTCTAGATTGGGCTCATTGCATATCCCTCCTCCCCTCTTGTGACCCTCTACATCCTTGCATGCTGTATCATTTAACATGTCCATCTGGTACCAGAAGTTAGTAGTTAGATCTAGAAGCTTGATGTGATTCAGGTTTTATTTTCCCCCCTCCTCCCTTTGGCAAGAGTACTTTGTAGGTGAGGGTGTGTACCACCTGCCACTTCGAGATACCTCGCTTAGGTCTGGTTATGTGTGTGTGGTATTTGGAGCCATTCATGATCATTGCTTAAGATGCATTAATTTGTTAGGAGTTTGCAAAGTGGTGATATTCCAGTTCCTCATTTATTAGCTGAAATATTTGCATAAAGAGAAACTTTGCCATTATCAACTCTTTGATACTCTGAGTTACAGTACACCTATAGGAAAGGCAGGAGAAATGATTAATTTTGTTATTTTTTTTTAAAACCGATTTTCAAAATAATGAGTGATTCTCCAGCATTTTCCTGTGGAGTTAATGGATTTTTTGTTATTGCTTGTTCTGTATATTTTGATGAGTATGATTGTGAGCTCATGGATTTAAACAGTTCTGATGTGCTGTTCATTACAGTTATCATCCCTGTGCCACGCTTTGGCTGTCTTTGGCTAGTGGGAGTCTATCGAAGTTGGGCCCTGAGTCTTTTGAATGTATACTATTAGTCTTTGCAACTTCCTCATTTTCTGGTATGACAGATGTTTTAGGCTCCCTGAACAGTTTTTGCCCCAGCTGTGGAATCAACCATTTTTCCTAGCAGCTTTAACTCCTTTTATGTTTATATTTAAAGATAAACATATCATGAATTTATGTGGGTATTTCCAAATCAGATTCAGGACACCAGTGTTTTGACTTAATCTCTTTACTCTTACATCTGTATCTCTTTTCTCCCTTCATCTGTTCTTTTTTCTCCCTAGCCTAATCCCAGCTCTTGATATCAACATACTTATTCATTTATTTTATCTTACAGTATCAACACTATTACCCATAATATGATTTCTAAAAATAATTTAAATTTTTTTTTTTTTTGCAGTTTACATTGTCCTTAGGGTAGATAATAATGTGCAGGGACTATCTTTTCAAACTATTTTTTTTTACAGTCAAATAAACTAGTTAAACTATTTTGTTTAAAGTTAAAAAAACAAATTATGATTCATCCTTTTGTTTGGTAGGTACAGTCTTTACTGAACATTTAATTTTCCCTGCTGTGCAGAATGGAAGATCTTAGTTTCATCACTGAAATCTCAGCATCCTTTTTTCCTAAGGGATTTTCTTGGAAGCCTAACATTTGGCAGCAGTTCTGATTAAAAGCCCTTTGTGGTCTTAAAAGTTCTTCAGGGTCAGGCACAGTGGCTCACGCCTGTAATCCCAGCACTTTGGGAGGCCAAGGCAGGCAGATCACGAGGTCAGGAGTTCGAGACCAGCCTGGACAATATGGTGAAATCCTGTCTCTACTAAAAAAATACAAAAATTAGTTGGTCGTGGTGGCATGTGCCTGTAGTCCCAGCTACTCAGGAGGCCAAGGCAGGAGAATTGCTTGAATCTGGGAGGTGGAGGTTGCGGTGAGCTGAGATTGCACCACTGCACTCCAGCCTGCGCAACAAGAGTGAAACTCCATCTCAAAAAAGCTCTTCACAGCGGGTCTCCAGCCCCTCCAGACTCAGACACAGAGAGTGCAGGAGAGGAGAATAGTGATGTGTACAGGCATTGGTTTCTACACTCCAGAATCTTCCGGGGATGGGGAACTCAGGCCCTACCCTGATCAATTGGCCCTAAATGTGGGGGATGGGTCCTGAGCATCAGTGAGCGTGTAAGTCTCCTGGGTGATTCTAACATGCAGTCAGGACTGCACTGATTCAGAGAGGACTTCAGGTATATCTGGAGTCTTAATGGTTATTATTTCCCCAGATTCACCTTTTTTCTTCCTTATCTCTGGATCTTTCTCAACCCTAGTTTTGTCCCCTGTTCCCCCATTTCTTTTTTTTTTTTTTTTTTTTTCTGAGATGGAGTCTTGTGCTGTTCTCCAGGCTGGAGTGCAGTGGCGCGATCTTGGCTCACTGCAGCCTTACCTCCTGGGTTCAAGTGATTCTTGTGCCTCAGCCTCCCCAGTAGCTGGGATTACAGGTGCGAGCCACCATACCCAGCTAATTTTTGTGTTTTTAGTAGAGATGGGGTTTCACCATGTTGGCCAGGCTGGTCTTGACCTCCTGACCTCAAGTGATCTGCCCACCTCGGCCTCCCAAAGTGCTGGGATTACAGGTGGGAGCCACCGCGCCTGGCTGTATTTCCCCATTTCTAAAACAAACTGCTTACTCATTTTTCCACAGCTCACTCTTTTCTGCTTGTATTTTTCACTCAAACATCTTCTTTGGTAGCTTGTTTCTATTTCCTGTGTTTTCTTTCCTTCCCATGCAATCTGGTATGGTGCAGTTGGGCAAGGAATATCTGAAGTGCGTGGGGGAGCAGGAGCATGGAGGCCGCGTGCCCGCTGGGCCTAGACATGTAATGTGTCACTCCAAGAAAGCAAGGGATGGGGCTCGAATGTCAGGAGGCTGAGTACCAAATACTCCATTGAGAAGTATCTGCCTTCAAGTACTCTGGGACTCCAGTAGAACCTGAAGTATGGAACATTCAAGTATCCTACTGGACTCTCAAAAACCTCCATGGTTTCACAGTCGAGGAGAATTCTTGTGAAGGAGTAAGGACTATTCTTAGCTTGTTTGTGGAAAGACTCTTCACCAGGTCATAGATTGGTTGGTCTCTAAGGTGGAGAATTTATGTGAGTTACTTTTGACCTTGGTACTGATATTTAGAAAGTTTAAATTTGGTTAGTTGTAATTTTGATAATGAGTATTTTCCCAGTTGTTTCGTTTCTTATTAGTTGAAGGTTAAGATGGAGAGGTCCGTGGAAAAGCATGGACCAAAAACCAGCATTACTCACCAATGAGCCCATTTGCTTGACTGGATTATTAAATGCTGTCTCTCGGCAGGGAAATCTGGACAATTAGGTAGTCGTGACCTACCTGCCTTTTGCATTCTCTTTCGCTGGGTTTATTGCATCTGTTATTTCCTCTGGGGGTCATCCCTCTTGCCGTTTGAATCATACTCACCTACGGCTGAAATGGAGAAGCGTGTAACAGGTAACAGTGACTCCCAGGGACTGTGAGAAGTTTCAGGAACATTTAGAAAGGCAAAGAGCACTGAGCGTCTGGCTGATAGCCCAGGTGTGTCTGCTGCGGCCCTGGTTGCCCTTGGCACTCCTGAGCCAGGGCTGCCCATGTGTACAGTTTGGCCGTCTTGCTTCTTGATGTAAACGTCCAGATTTTCATCTCAGTAAACTCTAAACAGTCCGTGTTATGACCCATTGTACTGGGGGCTCTTCCATAAACTCTTAGTGCCTTTTGAATGATTGGCCATGCTGGAAATGTAATGGTGAGCCTCTGCATTCTTGATATCTGATCATCTTATTCATAATTCTTCAACTAAATGGTATTTTCTGATTTCTGTATCATAGGGGAAAACTTCCATGACCTCATGGAAGGCAGTGCAGTTGGTGAAGTGTGTGAGAGAGAGTGTGTGTGTGTGTGTGTGCGCGCACGCGCGCGTTCACATGCCGAGACAGGCTTGTTGGGATTTAATATCATGACCCATCTGAGGGATGGGAATGTCTTCTGTAAATATCCTGATCCCGTGCTAGTTGTTTGGGATGAAAGTGTGTGTTAATTTTGTTTTTGTTTTTTACTGATTGTTCTTCTCTCACTTCAGATGGACAGAAAACAGCTATCAATGGCAAACCTGTCAGGTGTTTATTATGTCTTTGTTAAGAAGGAGAGATTGCTTAAAAGGAAAAGTTGTTTTTCAAGGTTAAGGTCTTGAAAGATTTTCAAACATTTTGCATTTTGTCTTTTGAGAAGTCAGGAGGAAATGATGTCGAGGGCCTACATGTTTACTTTTGGTGACCTGGATTTGCAATGAGTGTTTGGTTTTCTTTGTTGGGGGAAAAGGGTCCCTTACAACGGGTTCGAGAGGGAGGAAGTAGGTTGCCGGGTGAAGTGCTCATTTGGCAGGGAGGGTAAAGGAAAGCTCCTTTGCTTACCTCAAACCGTGGCTCAAGCTGCGTTCTGCTGTTTCTTTGCCTTTAGTCTTGGAGGTTAAAATTGCATTCCCTACATCTTGTTCAGAAGGTAAGCCCGCATGCTTCCCAGCTCATTGGTGTGGGATTTTAATTTTGCCTTGGGGAAAAGATGATTATTAATATTGCTTCAAAACCAGGACCTTCAAAATATGGCTGATAAAGAGAGCCACTGATGACATTCCCTTTGAGCTCAATTTCTGCTGTGTTTAATTTTTGACTCCACACTACCTGAGCCAAAGTGGCAGTTCTTCTGGGCACATCCGGGCTTGTAGGGGGCAGAAACATACTGAAGCAATGTCCTGTGGGTCCAAGAGCCTGGAATCCTCCCAAGTCTGGTTCTTTTCCCCACTCCAACTGAAGCTGGACTTGGTGGTGTTAGATCTACCGACTCTTGGAGTTTGGATTGGGAAAAATTGGAGAGTTTGATTTTCTGATCTGGGTTTGTGCCAATATCTCCATTCACAAAGGCTCTTAACTGTGAAGAAGGTGGCAAGAGTGCTGGCCTCCCATAGACGAGCCTGTGGGCTGGGATGTCAAGGGTACAGAGGAAGTGGGGTGAGAGCTGGGGTGTCTGTTTGTAAGCAAATTCCTTACTCCTCTTGGGCCATTTTTTTCCTTATTCACCTTAGGCCAAGACTTAATTTGGTAGTTTGCCAAGTGTGCTTTAAAGCCCTGTTTGTAATACAGAGCACCCACAGTGTACCAAGCACAATGTACTAAAACTTTATTGACTTTGAAATTAGAATTTTGATTTCAGGTTAAAACTCCTATCGGCTTGTCTTAAAGAAGAAAACAGTTCTGCTTTTCTTTTAGATGAGTGATGAATGTTGCACTTTGAAAATATAAAACTTGTGTTAAGAAAAAACGAGCCTAGGTGCCGTGGCTCACATCTGTAATCCTAGCACTTTGGGAGGCTGAGGTGGGAGGATCACTTGAGGCTAGGAGTTCGGGACCAGCCTGGGCAACATAGTGAGACCCTGTCTTGACCAAAAAAAAAAAATTTAGCTCTACATGATGGTGTGCACTTGTAGTCCCAGCTACTTGGGAGGCTGAGGTGTGAGGATTGCTTGAGTTAGGGAGTTCGAGGCTGCTGTGAGCTGGGATTGTGCCACTATACTCCAGCATGGGTGACAGAGCAAGCAATATCTGAAAAAAGAGAAAGTAAAAAGAAAAAATGGTGTGGTCTGTATGTCTAATTAAAGGCTTTTCTTTTTCTTCTTTTAGGAAAGTGCCAAAGTAATCCAGCCCATATTTTTGGGAAAAATTATTAATTATTTTGAAAATTATGATCCCATGGATTCTGTGGCTTTGAACACAGCGTACGCCTATGCCACGGTGCTGACTTTTTGCACGCTCATTTTGGCTATACTGCATCACTTATATTTTTATCACGTTCAGTGTGCTGGGATGAGGTTACGAGTAGCCATGTGCCATATGATTTATCGGAAGGTAAGTGACATTCAGCATTAAACATGTACCTCACCTGAAGCATCAGAAGCATTCTGAGGAAGTTTTATGTAAATTAAATACTGCATAAATAGCCACTGCACTCCAGCCTGGGTGACAGAGCAAGACCCTGTCTCTAAAAAAAGAAAAACGAAGAAAACTTCTGTAAATAGAATCATTTACACCTTACTAGAGAAGCTTGCTATTTGCATCAGGCCAATGTTTTTTTTCTTTATGCAAAATTTTCCAGTGTATAATGAAAGTTTTCTACTGCTGTCAGGGCATGGCTGCCTTTGATAACAGGCTGTTGCAGAATACTAAATTTATAATGAAATCTAATTAAAAATATCAAATTGGTTTTCAGTGTTTCTTTGCCTCAATCTCATAGTTGTATTTATGGAAATTTTTGTTGTTGTTCATTAAAACCTTCACTTACATCACAGTTGTATTCAGAAGTGAACTTCAGTGAAATTGGATCTATGAAATTAAATCTAGGAGAAAAGAATATATTTGAGAAAGGGAATTCTTATATTTTTTAAATGAACCATTTAGTCATATTCCATATAATTTTCTTAACTGAAGAAAAATGTAAATGGAATCCACGTCGGATACAGGCTTTCTTTATATTCTAAATCTAGTTGTGGTTGTTTTTAATGGTATTTAAGAAAATAGTTGGATGTTTGGGATAACACTTTGAATTGTTGATTGTTTTTCACAATTTTGGAGAGAACTTATAGTGTTTCTATTTTATGTTGGTTTTCATTCAAAGTAAGTTTTTACATTAAACAGTTGTCCCTTGGTATTCGTGGGGGATTGGTTACAGGACCTCTTGAGGATACAAAAAAATTGGAGGATGCTTAAGTCCTTGATATAAAGTGGCATAGTATTTGTATATAACTTATTCACACCCTCCCATATATGGCATTTTATTTATTTATTTATTTTAAATAATTTCATCTTTTATTTTAGATTCAGGGGTAGAGGTGCAAGTTTTTTCCATGGGTGTATTGTGTGATGCTGAGGTTTGGGTTATGGATGATCCCATCCCCCAGGCCATGAGTGTGGTACCTGATAGGTAGTTTTTCAGCCCTTGCCGCATTCCCTCTCTCCCAACTCTAGTAGTCTTCAGTGTCTTTGTTCTCATCTTTATGTCCATCTGTACCCAATGATTACCTCCCACTTATAAGTGAGAACATCTGGTATTTGGTTTTCTGTTCCTGCGTTAATTCGCTTAGGATAATGGTCTCCAGCTGCATCCACGTGGCTGCAAAGGACATGATTTTTTTTTTTTTTATGGGTGCACTCCCATGTACTTTAAATCATCTTGGTTTACTTATAATACCTAATACAATGTAAATATACATTATATAATGTACAATATACAATGTACATTGTGTACAGTTATATAATGTACATTGTAAAGTGTACATTATTTAATTGCACATTGTAAATTGTACATTATATAATTGTACATTGTATAATGTAAATATACATTGTATTAGGTACTATAAACAAATAACTGTTTAGGGAATAGTGACAAGAAAAAAATCTGTGTGTGTTCAGTACAGACACAATCACCTATTTTGTTTCCCCCAAATATTTTCAACCCCAGGTTGGTTGAGTCCAGGGATGCCAAACCCATGCACAGGAAAGGCTGACTGTATTTTCTTTCCCATTAGGGCAGTAATAATGATAAGACCTGATTTGATATTTTCTTATTTTATTTGTGCTTTTGTATTGAGATATGCCATAAATAATACCATAGTTTGCTGTGGTCTTAACTGTTATAGAAGGAGTGGGATTTCTGGTTGCTTTGCTGAGAAGTTGCCATAGAGATGCTAGTGTCAAGAGCTAAAGAACTTGTCATTAAATCAGTCCTGGATATCTCTTTGTCCTGGGCCGTTTTTTTAAGCCATTTAAATTTTTTTTTTTTTTTGAGATGAAGTCTTGCTCTGTCGCCCAGGCTGGAGTGTAGTGGTGCAACCTCTGCTCACTGCAACCTCCACCTCCCGGGTTCAAGCGATTCTTCTGCCTCAGCCTGCCGAGTAGCTGGGATTATGGACATGGGCCACCACACCCAGCTAATTTTTGTATTTTTAGTAGAGACGTGGTGTCACCATGTTGGCCAGGCTGGTCTTGAACTCCTGACCTTGTGATCTGCCCGTCTCGGCCTCCCAAAGTGCTGGGATTACAGGTGGGAGCCACCGCACCCAGCCCATTTAAATTTAAAGTATTCTTCTTTGACCTCGTTGTCACTTATCCAGAGTGTCCGTAAGGTGTCCTCCCCAAGTCTTCCTTTGACATGGGGGAATCAATCTTATAATTCTGTGAATCCTGGAGGCCTCGTGTCTTAGTGTCTATGGTACAGTATAACAGGTATGCCCGGATTCCTCATGTGTGACATGAAAATGATAACAAGGCTTGTACACACTAGTCAAGGGGTCTTCATCATCATCACCACCACCACCACCACCACCACCACCATCATCATCAGCAGCAGCAGCATCATCATCATCTGTGTTATTCTCCTGTACTCTCTTCTACCATTTAGGAGAAGAATACTCAGGTTTTTCTATAAACTAGCTAGATTTTTGTCTTTCAAGATCATACTTCTAATAAATTCATAAAAATTTTCACTAACACTCCACTTGGCAAACTTTAAAAACACCCTACATGAAGTCCGGTTTGAGGTAGTGGTTCAGTAAAACACAGCTCTTTGTACAAGTGAGATACTGTTCACCTGTTTTTCTTCCTCTTTTCCACTAACGCTTTGGAAAATAGCCTTTGGGAAATCTGATCTAACTCGGCAGACTTGCTTGCCTGCATGTAAACATCTCCCAAAGGTATTAATTTGTCAGCTTGATTATCTTAGAAGTATTGTCTCTTTATGAAGTCAAAAATTGCTTGGGTTAAACCATAAGACTTAACCTGAAATCCCAGAAACGTGGGAAAGACGAATATCCTCATGTCCTGCCTTGTATGTGGAAACATGCCCAGGTGAAGAAATAAGACACTTCCTCCTCACACGTGGGCTGCTTCCTTGGGGCAGAGGCTGGCTCTGCAGCAGGACTCTGAAAGGTCCCTCTGCGACACTGGCAGTTTCCACTGAGGCCCCCATATCCTGATTCCCGGTCTGGCAGAAATCAGGTTGGCTGTTGCAAATGGAATGACTGCCGAGCCCGTCGTCGACATTTGGTATTGAATGATCTTGCAGGATGTCTGAAAATGACTCGTCATTTATTTACTTTTTCACAGCTTTGGTAAAATTACTTTAGGCTTTTCATCATTAATTTTTCTTCTTATTGTAATAAAATATGCATAACATAAAATTTACCATTTTAACTCTTTTTAAGTGTACAGTAGTAGTTCGTTTGCATTAAGTACATTCACATCATTGTGCCTCCCAACCCCACCATCCATCGACAGAATTTGTTCATCTTCCCAGGTGGAAACTCTGTACCCATTAGGCACTGGTGTCCACTCTCCCCTCTCCACAGTTGTCAGCCTTCTGCTTTCCAGCTCTATGAATTTGATGACTCTAGGTATTTCATAGAAGTAGAATCATACAGTATTTGTTATTTTCTGTCTGGCTCACTTCATGTAGCATAAGGTCTTCAGGGATTATCTGTGTTGTATTGTATGCCAGATTTTAATTCCTTTGAAAGAGTGAATAATATTCCACTATTTGGATATGCCTCATTTTGTTTATCCATTCATCTGCCACCGGACATTTGGGTTATTTCTGCCTTTTAGCTATTGTGAACAATGCTGCTATGAACACGAATGTACAATTATCTCTTTGAGTCCTTGCATTTAGTTTTCATTTATTTTTATTTTTGAGATGGAGTCTTGCTCTGTCACCCAGTCAGGAGTGCAGTGGCATGATCTCAGCTCACTACAACCTCTGCCTCCTGGGTTCAAGTGATTCTCCTGCCTCAGCCTCCTGAGTAGCTGGGACTACAGGCACCTGCCACCACGCCAGGCTAATTTTTGTATTTTTAATAGAGACAGGGTTTCACCATGTTGGCCAGACTGATCTCAAACTACTGACCTCGCGATCTGCTCACCTTGGCCTCCCAAAGTGCTGGGATTACAGGCGTGAGCCACTGTACCCGGCCGAGTCCTTGCTTTTAATACTTTTGAGTATATATTTATTTAGAGATGGAGTTGCTGGGTTATGTGGTAATTCTGTTTAATTTTTTGAGGAACCATCATACTGTTTTTCACAGTGGCCACACCATTTTACATTCCCACTTATTCTTTAATAATTTGTCTGTTTAACTTGAGAACTAAATGAGATGTTTTTATGAATCATGACTAGCTTTAATTTGGATTGATGGCTCCAAGGGTGGTCTGTTGAAATGGTTCATGGTGGTTTGTTCAGGTTCCTCGGAACTCTGTGTTATTTCTTACAACTTTTACCAAATAAAAAGACTGTGCAGCACAGGCTGTATTTTAAGTGAGGTCAACAGATTGGCATTAAGAATATGGGCTCCTCATGGCAATAGTGTGCTGAACATTGTACTTGCTCATGTTAGAATGTCGTCAGTCACAAGTCATATTCCCAGCATGGGTTCGTATAACCTCTGCAGTGGGGACAGTGCCTTATCTCCTGTTTTTACTTTTTAGCTATCTGGGACACAGAAGCAGGGGATGTGTCCATCTTCAAGTCTCAAGGGGTTACTTCTATAGCTTAGAGCACATGAGTTGGGGAGTTGGCTCCATGTTGGAGGAAGAGGGTCCCTTTAGTCAAACTGAGCCTGGATTAAGGATAGCTGAAGATCTTCAGCCCCAGCCACCAGTGAGACTGGATCTCCCATTTGCCCTTGCCTACCTTGACTTAGGGCCAGGATAGATCTGAGCCTGAATGCTAAACATCTGAATGCTAGACCTACGATGGAATGGAGGACAGTTTCATTAATCAGGATGGGCTTGTCATCCCAGCTTTTGTATTATCAAATACATTAGGCATAGAGACTTTTCCTTAAGATCTGTGGCCTAATTAGCTCAAGATTTCTTGACTTTGTATCTAATTTGAAGAACCGTGGTGGTTCCTGCAGTGGGTTGGCTTCTGAGTTGTGGATTTTGATGTTGGGTTGGCTTGTCCTGAATGCCAGGTAAAGCTACAGCAGTACCTGAGCCTGCTTGCTGGTGCTCCTCTCTGCTGTTTGCAGACTTTTTTGCAGAATTGAGAAAGTTTGGGGAAACTTTTTATTCTGGATAAAACTGCTCGTCTTCACTTTCTTTAGAGTTACTCTGAAGGATAGTTTGAGGTAAAGTATCTGTCTGTCCTTCATCTTCCACCTTCTAAGGTGTGTTGAGTCCCTGCAGACTTTCTAGTTTTCCTTTATCATTTATTACAGATCTGCCCTAGAAGAATATATGGAATATATGTATGTAGTGTATCTCAGAGGGGTGCTCTCTATAGATTTCTGTGTTGAGAAATATTTGTAGTTACCCTAAGTGTATTGTTTAACCATTTATGTGATACTGTGTGGTTCTCTTTTTAGAATTCTGTAACTTGGGGGGAAATGCATATTCCCTGTATGCAGGGAATATGGATACTCCAGGAATACATGTATATATTCTCTTGGATGCTCCATCCAGAGTTCATATTATCAGGTACTCTTCATCTTTCTGGGGGAAGAATTCCTGTTTCTTTTAATCTTTTCATTTGAGAACCCTCTCCTCTTGACCATTTCCTTTTTTTTTCTTTAAAGAGACAGGGTCTCCCTATGTTGCCCAGGCTGGTCTCGAACTCCTGGGCTCAAGGGATCCTCCTGCCTTGGCCTCCCAAAGTACCAGGATTACAGGTGTGAGCCACCACTCCTGGCTTTTTTTTTTTTTTCAAGACAGAGTCTTGCTCTGTCGCCCAGGCTAGAGCACAGTGGCATGATCTTAGTTCACTGCAACCTCCGCCTCCCGGGTTCAAGTGATTCCCATGCCTCAGCTTCCCAAGTAGCTGGGATTACAGGCATGGTGGTGCATTTTTGTATTTTTAGTAGAGACGGCATTTCACCATGTTGGCCAGGCTGGTCGCGAACTCCAAACCTCAGGTAATGCGCCTACATTGACCTCTCAAAGTGCTGGGATTACAGGTGTGAGCCACTGCGCCTGGCCTTGATCTTTTCCTTCTCTTTTCTTGGCATTGCTGCAGGGCAGGTATATTTTTAGGTCAGTGGTCAGAGCAGCAGACAGCCTCCTCTACCACAGACTGAGTAGGAAGTGGAAGGTGCCCTCCCATAATGCACAGAGAGGCTGGGCTTGTGCACCCTTCCCAAGTCATGTCTGCCGCCCTATGCAATAAGTAGAACCTGAAGTAAAAAAAATAAATGCACCGTCATGCGCTGATGGTGAGAAGATTGCAGCCACCTGTAGCTCTCTGGCTGCATCCCAGTCTTCCCACCCCGTCTCCCTCTGGGTTTTCTCAGTGGATGTGGACAGACAATTGATAGCAAATTTTGTCAGCAACTGAGCCATACAGTGTTGTGGTCTTAGTTTTAAAACAGAACTTTTGTTTTTATTTAAAGCTATTTTTATTTCACTGTAGACTGTATATTGCTTTATATTTAGACTGAATAGTATGAAATTACAGATATTCAGGGCCGGGTGCAGTGGCTCACACCTGTAATCCCAACACTATGGGAGGCCAAGGTGGGTGGATCACTTGAGGCCAGGAGTTCGAGACCAGCCTGACCAACATGGTGAAACCCCATCTCTACTAAAAATACAAAAATTAGCCTGGCATGGTGGTGCACGCCTGTGATCCCATCTACTTGGGAGGCTGAGGCACAAGAATTGCTTGAACCCAGGAGGTGGAGGTTGCAGTGAGCTGAGATCCGTGCCACCGCACTCCAGCGTGGGTGACAGAACAAGACTCTTCTTTAAAAAAAAGAAATTACATATATTCAACTCCTTTGGGCCTTTTTACAAAACTAGCAATTTCATATGGCTCAAACTAATCTTTTGTCTATTAGTCTGTAGATCGGTTTCCTTTCTGAAGATTCGTAGAGAGCCTCTTGACAGTGTTGTCAAAGTGAAACTGTGTGGTGTGTGTGGAAGTTATCTCCCTGGACACATGTGATACTTTGGTTGGACTTCCTCTTCTAATGTTATTTTCTAAGTTTCTGACAAAATTAGAATGACCCAGTAGTGCTTCTTACATTGTCCATAATACGTTAAAATTTTTGTTTCAAAAACTTTTCTCCCCCACAGTTTTTGGTTTTACTTCTGATGTGAACTTGAATTGTACCTGGGCATTTTGTGAGACATTAATCTCATCAAGGGACAATTTGTCAGTCTTCTAGTTTGCTAGGGAATAGCTTAAGAGGAGCCAAGTTAACTTTCCATAGCTTGGAGTTTGAGCTAAGAAAGCAAGTTAAGGAGGGAGGACTTGTTTTGTTTGGATTTTTCCAAGAGGAAATTTCTGCTGCTGGAGATTTAGGAGTGTCAGATGCGTCCCATCATCTGATAATTGTATTTGCTTCACTGGGGTGTGGGTGCAAACTGGAAGAAAATGCTTTAGCTCAGTGGTTCCTCAAACTGCTCTCTGTTGTATTCATGAGGGGAAATCTTTAAAATACCACTGGTGTCTGGACTCTTCCCCTAAACATTCTGATTTAATTGCTTTAGGGAAATTTTAAAAGCTCCTATGTGATACTAATAGGCCTCAAATATGTGTTCAGCTTAATTTTATGCTTTATAACTAAGACCTTCCAGTTCACAGAGATAGCATATGGGTTGCGGGTTTAATCCCCCTCATTGGTGAATAACTCCTTCGGACTTGTAGGTATAAACCTCAAGCATGGTAGCTGTTCATCAGCCCGAGTGTCCTACCATCTGGTCTGGGAATCTCATATGCAGGAGAGCCCGGGTGTTGAGTCAGGTGTCCAGGCACTTTGTAGAAGACTCCATGAAGTCCTCTAGTGGCAGATTGGCAAGGGTAGAGATTGAGTGTGGACTCTGAGAGCAATCATGGACTCAGAGCAGTCAGACCTGAGTTCACATCTCAGTGCTGTCATTTTCTAAGCTGTAAAATCTTAAGAGAAGCACATTCGCTTCCCAGGGCCAGTTTCCTGATAACAACTTGTTGAAGACTACTCTTTCCCCATTGAATTAAGTTGGAGAAAATGTAGATTAGATGGCCATTTATGTGTGAATCTTTTTCTGGATCCTCTATTCTGTTTTGTTGATCTATATTTTCTTTGTTTTACTTTAGTAGTCAGATGGATAGAATCTATTCTTTCTTCATAGCAAATTATCTTAATTACTATAGCTTTATAAATCAAATAGTGAAAGTTACCCAACCTGTTTTTCTTTTATGATTGTTTTGACTATTCTAAGTCTCTTGCATTTTCATATTGACTTTAGAATCAGCTTTTCAAGTTTTACAGGAAACTGTTGGGTTATGCATCTTGAATTCTAAGACATGGTCTTAGAATTCCAGATGAAGTAATTCCAGATGAAGTAATTGCCCTGTTGGAGAAGTAATTCTCCAACAGGGCAATTCTATCCACCTGACTATTAATGTTAAGAGTGGGCATCTTAACATTATTTAGATTTCCAGTCTAAGAAAATAGTGTATTTACCTATTCCTCAGTTATCTACATCTTTATACATTTCTTTTTCTTTTTTTTTTTTTTTTAAGTGGAGATGGAGTCTCAGTATGTTGCCCAGGATGATCTTCCTGAGCTCAATTGATTCTCCTGTTTCAGCCTGCCAAAGTGTTGGGATTACAGGCATGAGCCACTCACGCCAAGCCCTAGATCTTTAACTCTCCTTGTAATTATTAGGATAGAGGTCTTAAAGATCATTTGTTATATTTTTATATTTTATATTTTTATATTTTTATATTTGTTAGCATTTAAAAAAGAATGCCATAATTCAAAGTAGCATTTGTGCTGTTATAAATGGTATTTTATTTATTTATTTTATTTATTTTTTGAGACAGACTCTCGCTCTGTTGCCCAAGCTGGAGTGCAGTGGCACGATCTTGGCTCACTGCAACCTCCGCCTCCTGGGCTCAAGCAATTACCCTGCCTCAGCCTCCTGAGTAGCTGGGATTACAGATGCATGCCACTGCACCCGACTAATTTTTGTATTTTTAGTAGAGACGGGATTTTACCATGTTGGCCAGGCAGGTCTCGAACTCCTGACCTCAGGTGATCCACCCACCTTGGCCTCCCAAAGTGCTGGGATTACAGGAGTGAGCCACTGTGCCCGGCCATAAATCGTATTTTAAATTTTCACTTACCGTTTGTTGTTAGTATATAGAAATACAATTGATTTTTGTATTTTTGCTTTGTTTCCTGAAACCTTGCTAAAGTGCGTTAAGTTGCAGTAATTTTTGGCTGATTCCTTAGGATAGCTATTTAGATAATCATGCCTTTGGATAAAAACAAATATACTCTGTGTGTGTGTGTGTGTGTGTGTGTGTGTGTGTGTGTGTGTGTGTGTGTGAGAGAGAGAGAGACAGACAGACAGACAGACAGTGGGGGAGAGGGAGAGAAGAAGGGAGAGAAGTTAAAATCTCCGGTTATGAGAGTTAGTCTCTTTTTCTCCTTAATCATGAACTTTTTGCATCCTGACTTACTGGATTCACTTGTATTTAAAGTTTCTTACTGGATTCATTTGTGCTTAAGGTTTATTTGTATTTAATATCCCCTCATCTTCACCGCCATACAATATTTATGCTTTAATTATTCAGTTGTCTTTCCACAATTTAAAAGAAGAAAAAAATAGTTTTTAAATTACCCACTGAATTACTATTTCTGGTGCTCTTCATTCCTTCCCTTTAGCTCCAGGTTTCCATTTGATATAATTTTTTTTCAGCATGTAAAACATCTATTAGCATTTCTTTATTTTCTTTTTTTTTTTGAGACAGAGTCTCACTCTGTCACCCAGACTGGAGTGCAGTGGCACAATCTCGGCTCACTGCAACCTCCGCCTCCCGGGTTCAAGTGATTCTCCTGTCTCAGCCTCCCGAGTAGCTGGGATTATAGGCATGTGACACCACACCTGGCTAAATTTTGTATTTTTGGTAGAGATGGGGTTTTGCTATGTTACCCAGGCTGGTCTTGAACTCCTGACCTCAAGTGATCTGCCTGCCTTGGCCTCCCAAAGTGCTGGGATTACAGGCGTGAGCCACCACGACTGGCCAACATTTCTTATAGTAGAAGTCTGCTGGCCATGAATTCTCTCATTTTGTTCTTTAATCTGAACAAATTTTTTTTTTTCTTTTGAAGCACATGGTTGCTGGATGTTGAATTCTGGGTGATAGCTGGTGGTGTCTGCCCCTCTCCCTTCAAAGGTGTTCCATTGTCAACTGGCCTTCATTCTTTCTAATAAGTTGTTAGCCATCATTTGTATCTTTATTACCTTGTTTGTAATGTTTCTCTTTTTTTTTTTTTGGGTTGATTTTTTTTTCTCTTTGATACTGATTTTTTAGAGGATTGATAATGATCCTAGGTATAATTTACTTGGTATTTATACTTCTCGGAGTTTGCTGAGCTTCTTGGATCTTTGATTTGATTCTTTTTATTATTGTAAAGTTTAGGAAATATTTAACCATTATATCTTAAGTTTTTTTTGACTTATTCTCACACTCTTGTTTTTCTTGGACTCCTATTACATATATATTAAACTATTTGAGATTGTCTTATAGGACAGTCAGTCTTTTTCACTTTTATTCAATCTTCTCTGTTGCTTTTAAACTGCTGATAAGACCAGCCAGTGATTTTTCTTTTCTCCTTTATTTCTCATTTCAGTATTGCAGCTCTAGAGTGTTTATTGGGCTCTTTTTAAAAATACTTTACACTGGCCAGGCACGGTGGCATGTAATCCCAACACTTTGGGAGGCCAAGGCGGGCAGATCACATGAAGTCAGGAGTTTGAGACTAGCCTGGCCAACATGGTGAAACCCTATCTCTACTAAAAATACAAAATTTAGCTGGGTGTGGTGGCGGACGCCTGTAATCCCAGTTACTCAGGAGGCTGAGGCAGGAGAATCGCTTGAACCCGGGAGGCAGAGGTTGCAGTGAGCTGAGATCACACCACTGTACTCCAGCCTGGGTGAGAGTGAGACTCTTTCTCAAAAAACAAACAAACAAACAAAAAACTTTACACTTTTTTGCTGAAAATCTCTATCTCTTTACTCATATTTTTCCTCAGTTTCTTTGAACATACTAACCCATTGTACATTTATACTTGTTTCTGTAAATCTTAAAATCCAATGTGTGTGCCTACTTGGATTTACTTTTATTATTTATATATTTGAGGGGTTTGGTTTTTATTATGAAGACTGCTTTCTTTATTGCCCTGAGTTAAATTTTCTTTCTTGCATGTCTAAGGTTTTTTATTGTGGACATTTTGGATGATACATTGTATGTCTGACTTCTGATAATTCTAAAAAGTATTGAATTTTACTCCAATACCATATTAACTGGCTGAACTCATAGGCCTGTTTTTTATGCTTTGTTAGGGCAGAACTTTGGAAATTTTCAGGTGTTTTCCAAGCTTCTCTAACTTGATGGGACTCAAGATTCAAAACATGTGTCATTTGCAGGCCCTGTTAGGTAGTGCTTGTTTTTTCTTGGGCAAGTTTAGAGTTAACTCTTTTTTAGTGCTCAACCTGGGTAGCACTTGACATTTAGGGCTAAATAATTTCTTTTTGGGGATGGAGAGGCTGCTCCGTGCATTGTAAGATGTTGAACAGCATCTGTGGCCTCTGCCCACTAGATACCGAAAGCGTCCCTCTAGTTGTAACAACCAGTAGTGCCTCCAGTCGTTGCCACATCTCTCCTGGGAGGCAAAATTGCCCTGTTTGAGAATTATTTCTCTGGATAGTGCTCTTGAATTCTAAGACATGATCTCTCTGGTGTTTCAACCGTATGCCAGGTGTGTTAATGATATATGAATGAGGTTTCCGCACTCTGGTCTGGTGAGAATTTCAGTACCTCACCTCAGCTTGACCTTCAGTATCTCTATTCAGCTCACTCCTCCTCAGCACCAGCTCTCTGTTAAGGCTTGGGCGGCCTTGACCTGTGCCCGCGCATCAGCCAAGGACTTGTAGCACCCCCACCCCACAGCCTTCTGGGGCCCTTCCCTTCTGATACCTGCTTACTGTCCAGGGCCATGCAGATGCCAGTGGCTTTAACTAACCCAAGCTCTGGCCTCCACCCCTTTGCTCAGCAGGGCTGCTGTGATGTGTTTGGACTTCAGCTCACTGCCACAGTCGGAAAGTGGTGTCCTAGCTCAGAGCCAAGGCAATGCTTGGTGTCTGGAGACATCTGCCTTCTAGTGTTGTACAGTTCTGAGGCAGAGGAGTGGGCCGTTATGGTATGAGCCACTTAGCCGTGGCCAGAGCCCAGTCTCTCTGCTAGTTGAATAGCCCAGATGTTTATGAGCTGTGGAGCTGGGAGCTCCAAGTGTACAGTATAGGGTGTGGTTGTGTGAGCTGTAGGACATGCCTGTTTAACTTCCTTACTGAATAGATGGAGGGTGAGGGCATATGCAAGACTGAGGGGCTCCAGCATCTGCCATATGTCACCTGTGTGCTTAACAAAAACCCCAATCCTGGGGCCATCTCAGACCTGACCTGCTGTTTCAGAATTTCTAGAGAAAGGGCCTGGAAATCTGTATATTTAATTTGTGCCTCAGGGAAGTTTCTGTACTAGAGGATGGCGAAGGGAACAACAGGTGTGGAGAGGGAGGCTGGACGTGGCTTCCTTGAAAGGGAAAGGGCCGCATGAGGCTCTGCATTCCTTTCCCCAGGACTTATATTGAAATCATGGCCAATGATTTATTTATTTTTTAAAAATATTAATTCAGTTTTTAAATTTTAGTTTTTTTTCTGTTTTTTCCTTTTTTCTATCTTCTAAGACATCCTGTTATAGCAAATTTTTACATTTTTTCATTGCCCTGCCCTGAAAATGTTTTTATTTCTCGTTTTTTTTTTTAACATATTTCTCTAGGTTTAGAATTTGTATTTTGTGCTTATTTACTGTCAGGCCTTCAAACATAATTGATTTGTTTTTAATCTTTTTCTACTAAAAATTAAAAAAAATTGTGGTAAAATATACATAACGGTCAGGCATGGTGGCTTACACCTGTAATCCCAATACTTTGGGAGGCTCAGATGGCTGGATCGCTTGAGCCTTGGAGTTCAAGACCAGCCTGGGCAACATAGTGAAACCCTGTTTCTACAAAAAATACAAAAATCAGCCAGGCATGATGGTGTGTACCAGTAGTCTCAGCTACTTGGGAGGCTGAGGTGGGAGGATTACCTGAGCTCAGGAAGTTGAGGCTTCAGTGAGCCATGATTGTGCCACTGTACGCCATCCTGGGCACTGGAGTGAGACCCTGTCTCAAAAAAATATCTGTCACATAAAATTTGTAATTTTTGCAAGGCATGGTGGCTCTTGCCTGTCATCCTCTGGTGTCCTCCATTTTACTTTCTGTCTGTAATAATCTGATTACTGAAGGGACCTCATCCAAGTGGGATCATACCATATTTATCCTTTTGTGAGTGGCTTATCTCACTTCGCATCATGTCCTCAGGTAAATTTAATTTTGGGGTTTATGTCATACATTTTCTCAGCATTTAGTGAAAAACTTCTGCCTCACCCTGATCCTCAACTGTGGTGCTGAACCTTTATTTAGCTGTAGTGGAAGAGGAAAGAATTTCTGAGATTCTACCCTTTTCTGGCTTCTTGCTCTGAGCAACTGCCTGTGTCCTGATGTGTTTTGAAGTCCTCATCTTCTCCTTTCTACTCCCTCTGGGACCCATTAGCTGAAGGAACAGGGTCATTTTCTCTTTTGGATCTCTCCTGGGGGTAATAGCTGTGGGCACAGGGCTGTTATTTGATATGCTTATCATAGAGTCGAGAAAGTGGGAAGGAGGTACCTTGGTAAAGAGTGTCTGTCCCTCCTCTCTCTGTGCATTTTTCTCCTAATTCCTTTATCCTCATCAGTGAAAGAGATGAAGGCATTACTGCATTTGGTATGTTTGGTTGTAAAAATGTATGTTAGTGAATAAGTCATTAGTAAGACATTTTCTGACATCTGTCATTTTTTTTCCTGCTGCACAAATCTCTTCATTTTCTTAAAGCTTCAAAGATAATCTTGAAATGGGAATGAATGATGGAATGAATTTTGCAGTATTACAGTACTGTGTACTGTTACTTTCGGATTACTGAATATCTGGCCTACTCAAGGTCAATACTTTGATAAATACACAACATTAGGAAAAAAGGAAAATCACGTATGTAAAATATTTTCATTTTGACTGATTCTTAGTAAAATTTTGGTGAGTCTGTAGAGTGAAGATTGCTTCCTCCAAGTATTCTTAGTCTTAAAGACGGCACATGAAACATGTCATATTTGAGAAGATACATTATAAACACATTTCTTATTTGTTTCTTATAATATTCTTTTAGAAGCAGAAAGCAGGCTGGGCACGTTGGTTCACACCTATAATCCCAGTACTTTGCAAGGCCAAGGCAGGTGGATCACTTGAGGTCAGGATTTCGAGACCAGCCTGATCAACATGGTGAAACCCCGTCTCTACTAAAACTAAAAAAAAAAAAAAAAATTAGCCAGGCATGATGGCGCATGCCTGTAATCCCAGCTACTTGGGAGGCTAAGGTAGGTGAATCTCTTGAATCTGGGAGGTGGAGGTTGCAGTGAGCCAAGATCATGCCATTGCACTCCAGCCTGGGCAACAAGAGTGAAACTGTCTCGGGGGGAAAAAAAAAGCAGAAAGAAGAAAAACATGATAAAAAAGATTTTTAAAAAATGATGATGGATGCCAAACACACCTCTAATCCTAGAACTTTGAGAAGCCAAGGCGGGAGCATTGCTTGAGCCTAGGAGTTCAAGACCAGCTTGGACAACATAGGGAGATTCTGTCTCTGCCTCGGCCCTCCCTGTTCTACCCTCCAAAAAAGCCAAGTGTGGTGGCACATGCCTATAGTCTCTTACTTGGGAGGCTGAGACAGGAGGATTGCTTGGACCCCAGAGGTGGAAGCTGCAGTGAGCTGCGATCATGCCACTTAACTCCAGCAAAAAGAGCAAGACCCTGTCACACACACACAACAAAAAGATGACAGAAGTTTGGTTTTTTTCTTCCTCTTCAATGGGGGTATACTGCATTTATATTCTCCTTAAGATGATCTTCTCTGACCTAACCCTAGACCATGTATTTGTCCCCATGTATGTCCTCACTGTCCCTTCTTTACCCACTCCCTGGCTTGTCACCCTCTCCATATTTTCCTTTTTCTTCCTGTTGCCCTGCCAGTATGTCTTGCTCATCTCTGTTCCCCTCTCAGTCGATAAACCAGTTCAGTTGGGGCTTGTTTTTCAGGCAAAGAAACTGGTGATAGCAGGGTCTGGGGCTGAGGGGTCTTTCAGCCATGGTGGGGGGATGTGGCCCCCCTTTGAACAGATTACTCTCAAACTGTGTTACATGTTCTTTCCATGGGTATTGGTAGAATTGACTAATTAGATTGTACTAATTTCCTTCAATGTATATTGACTGCCCCACCACTCATTGAAACGCTAATGGTTTTTTTTCCCTTTCTTTTCTTTTCCTTCCTTCCTTTCTTTCTCACTCTTTCTTTCTTTCTCACTCTTTCTTTCTTTCTTTCTTTCTTTCTTTCTTTCTTTCTTTCTTTCTTTCTTTCTTTCTCTTTCTTTCTCTCTCTCTCTCTTTCTCTCTCTCTCATCTGTCTGTCTCTTTTCTTTTCTTTTCTTTTTTTTTCTTTTCTTTCTTGGTTTTGCTCTGTTGCCCAGACTGGATTCCAGTGGGATGATTACTGCTTACTGCAGCCTTGAGCTCCTGGGCTCAAGCGATCTTTCCACCTCAGCCTCCTGAGTAGCTGGGACTACAGGCATGTGCCACCATGCCTGGTTAATTTTTAAATTTTTTTGTAGACAGGATCTCACTACGTTGCCCAGTCTAGTCTTGAACTCCTGGGCTCATGTGATCTTGCCGCCTTGGTCTTCTAAAGTGCTGGGATTACAGGCATGAGCCACCCTACCTGGCCTACGGAGAACTTTCTGTATAGGTTTTCAGGCTTGTATTCCAGCCATGAAAAATCAGGTGAAACACAAACAAAAGCCTCAGAAGGCAGTGAAACTGTCAGATTATAAAGAACATACAGGTTGTTGATTTTGGATGGACATTTTCATCTCCTTAAATTTCATTTCTTTTACAGAATTAGAGAAGGAATGTGACTTTGGTAGTCACCCATCATGTTTACGAGGAAGGAGGATATTAGCCAGTCCTTGGATCATCCCCTCAGAAACAGAGATTATTGGTTTTAGATTGTGCAGTCATTAAAGTAGATATGTTGTTACTAAGCAACTCTGGCCAACAGTATTGGAAAAATACAGGCAATTTTCTGCTTCAAGTGATTAAACATACTCATCCTAGTTGCCTGTTGCAGAAATACCCAGTTTAATTGGAAGTTTCATTACCTCACAAACTCAACTCTGGGGTAGGGTCATGAACCAGGAAGTAAGCAAAACATAAAATAAATAAGATAGATAATACTTACTTTATATGCTTATTCAGAACGTTTTTACTCTGACTTTACTTACAGCACTCAAAAGCCACATCCTAGTCTAAAACACTAGTAGGTAATGGTGTGACATTCTGATGAGAATAAAGAGATACCTGATAGCCTGACAGCCAGGGGCAAGATGGATCAGGAAGTACCCGAATCCGAAAAGTGTGGCCATTTGGGGACTCTGTGAGAGGAGCATCCCTGTCCACCCCGGGTCATTGACACTGGGTAAGAGCCATATTGTTGTGAGGAATTTGCATCGTGAAGGTGATGAACTGCGGTTTGCATCTTTTGTTTTATTTATTTATTTTTTTAATTTTTGAGAAGGAGTCTCACTGTCACCCTGGCTGGAGTGGCGCAATCTTGGCTCACTGCAACCCCTGCCTCTCGGGTTCAAGCGA
This sequence comes from Homo sapiens, assembly GCF_000001405.40. NCBI lineage: Eukaryota > Metazoa > Chordata > Mammalia > Primates > Hominidae > Homo > Homo sapiens. Next base: position 95,217,646 of record NC_000013.11, on the reverse strand, counting down.
TTCTCCTGCCTCAGCCTCCCCAGTAGCTGGGATTGCAGGGGTGTGCGCCACCATGCCCAGCTAATTTTTGTATTTTTAGTAGAGACGGGGTTTCACCATGTTGGCCAGGCTGGTCTCGAACTCCTGATCTAAGGTGATCCGCCCTCCCTGGCCTCCCAAAGTGCTAGGATTACAGGCATGAGCCACCGTGCCCAGCCGCATCTTCTGTTTTAAAAGGACTATTAGAGAGGGGGGAAAGACATCTGTTAAAATGAAGATTGGATTAATGCATTTAATCCAAAAAGGGATATTCATCTCACCAGTCTGGAAAACTCAGTTCCATGAAAAGGTCATTCTCTCCTTCCACCTCCCTTTGATGGTGATATTTATGTGGCCACACTGATTAAAATAATCAAGAAAGAAGAAACAGTTTATATTTTTCAAATGAAGCTAGATATTACATGATTTATTTTTAAGAAATTGAATACAATTAATGTTTTGTTCTAGATAGTACAGTTTTCTTGTAATCTCAAATGTATTTCCTTGCCTGCCTTCAGTAGTAAGCAGCTATCAAATGGTGCCCTGCTCTGATGGTGTTTACTTCCACCATTCACAGTATTGTTCTTAATGGCATGCGGATTCTAGAGTAACCAATAATTAGATACTCAGATGTTTTCCAGTTTTTAGTAATTAGATAGTTAGATGTCTTCTAGTTTTTGTATATTACAAATAGCATTTTAATGGACATGATTAAAGCTAAACATTTGGACAGATCCTTCATTTCCTAGGGCGTACAAATTTCAAGGCTTTTGCTATGCTAGATTGATTTCCTCCCCAAGAGTTGTTAATTACTTACATTTTCCCCGGTGAAATGAGAGAGCTCCCTACAAGTCCAGATTTGATGTTATATTTTAATAATCACTGTCAATCTCACCAATTTTCATAGGTGAAAAATAATGCATTGTTGTTTTAATTTACATGGCTTTGTGTAATAGTGGATTTCAGCATTTGCATTTCCTTGGCCATTTGTGCTGGTTTTTTTTTTTTTTTTTTTTTTTTGTGAATTTCCTGCACACATTCTTTGCTCCTTTTAAAAAATAATTGGTAGGCATTTATAATTCATATCGATATGTAGGGGCCGTTGATTTATTAAAGATATTTTGGGTCTGGGATGTGTACTACAGGTTTTGATTTCAGTTTGTTTTAGTTGCCTTTTATTTGTTCTCATGGTAGAACTATTTTGTTTTCACAGGGAAAACAAATTTAATCTAATGGTGTCCTTTTATAACCTGTCAGGTTAATGAAGCATAGAATCAAAATATTTGCAGAACGATGATACATTAATTTACAGATTTTTTCTGTACATTGGATGTGAACTCTTTTAAACTATAACATGGACACTTTATTGGAACCAAACTTTAGTTTTCTACATTAATGAGAAACACTGGTAACTTTGCTTCATTGAAAAAATAATTGCTTGTTCTCTGTCAGATGTAAGTAGTTTGAGTTTATTTTTATCTTCTCATCTACAAAATAGGAATAATTCTTACTTCATAGTTGTTTTCTTGTTCAGTTGTCTGGCTTACAGTAGGTGCTTACTAAATGGTAGCTTGATTTATGATCATAATGACATAAATGAATATGACTTGGTCTATATATTCTGGTAGCTGCTGAGGGTAACACAGATATATGATTACACTAATTGTACTTCTGAGGATGTGAGCAGTGTTTTGTTGTTGTTGTTTGTTTGTTTCTTTGGTGTTGATTTTAGGTAGAACTTTGATTATCAATTTTATGCCTTCTTTTTAAATGCAAAGTCCTTAAAGCCAAAAGTTTACTCTAAGACTTGCTTTAGCTATAACTCGCAAATTATTATCATTTACTTTAAAATATTTCAGATTTCCCTTATGATGTCATCTTTGACACATGCTTATTTAGAAATATTGTTAATATTCAGATATTTTGAGTTGTTAGAGATGTCTTATTGTTGATCTGTAATTTAATTCTGCTGTCACCAGAATACATTCTGTGTAACATTTTTATGTTCAGATATTGATTGAAATTTACTGACGGCCCAACATAAGGACTATTTTACCTTAAAAGTTAGAAGTATGCAACAGTAAAATTCTATTACCTTCCCCATCTTGTGTGCTATTGTCGTATATTTTACTTCTGTCTCCAAAATGCACCATTACCATTTTTGCTCTAAGCAGCTAGTTGTTTTTCAAAGTAATTTGTCTTCTTTTTATTTATTTTTTATTTTTTTTTAGACAAGGCCTCACTTTGTCACCCCGGCTGGAGTGGAGTGGTGTGATCTTGGCTCACTGCAACCTCCGCCTCGTGGGTTCAAGCGATTCTCCCACGTCAGCCCCCGAGTAGCTGGGTCTACAAGTGTGTGGCACCATGCCTGGAGAATTGTTATATTTTTTGTGGAGCCCAGGCTGGTCGCGAACTCCTGAGCTCAAGCAATTTGACTGCCTCAGCCTCCCAAAATGTTGGGATAACAGGCATGAGCTATCATGCCCAGCCTGTCCTTATATTTACTCACATTGGTCATTTTGGTTTCTCTTTATTCTTTCTGTAGATCTGAGTTTCCATTTGATACCATCTCCTTATAGCTTGAAAAGTATTCTTTACGCTGTTTTTTACAGTTCAGGTTCATTGCTGATAAAGTCTCTCAGCCTTTTTCTGAAAATGTCCTAATTTCACCCTCATATTTTAAAGGACATTTTGTGTTGGTGATAGAATTCAGAGTTGACAGGTGTTTTTTTTTTTTTTTTTTTGAATTGGAGTCTCACCTATCACCCAGGCTGGAGTGGAGTGGCGCGATCTCGGCTCACTGCAACCTCTGCCTCCCAGGTTCAAGTGATTTTCCTGCCTGAGCCTCCGGAGTGGCTGGAATTACAGGTGCCCACCACTGTGCCCGGCTAATTTTTGTATTTTTAGTAGAGGCGGGGTCTCACCATGTTGGCCAGGCTGGTCTCGAAGTCCTGGGCTCGAGTGATCTGCCCGCCTCAACCACCCAAAGTGCTGGGAATACAGGCATGAGCCACCGCACCTGGCCAGTTATTTTTGTCTGTCTTTCAGCACTGTAAATATTGTTCTGTTGTCTTCTTGTTTTCATTGTTTCTGGTGTGTCAGCTTCTGCTTGTTTTTGTTGTTTCTCTGTGTTTAATGTGTGTCTAGGTATAGATCTCTTTGTTTTTGTCCTTCATTGAACTTGCTAAGATTCTTCATTATGTAAATTAATATTTGCTACCAACTTTGGTAAAATTCCAGTCATTATTTGTTCAAATATTTTTTCTTCCCCTATTTCTTCTTCTTTTAGGACTCCAATTACATGAATATTTTATTGCTTAATATTCTTCCATAAGGACCTTCATTCAGTCTTTGTTCTTTTTCTTAACTCTTTTTTTCTGTTTGTTCTTCAGATTTCAGTTGTAAACTATAGAAGGAAGGGTTAGCGACTCTGGGAATAAATCAATGGAAAGTATCTGCTATTAATGATATCTAATTTATTTTTCATTTCAGGTATTACCTTTTCAGTTTGAGAAGTTCTATTTGGTTCTTTTTGATATTACCTATCTCGCTCCTAAACTCACATCTACTTGTTATAACCATATTTTTCTTTAACTCCTTGACATATTATAATAGGTGCTTCATAGTTGTTGTTTACTAATTCCAAAATCTGGATCATTTCAGGGTCTATTTCTGTTGCCATTTCCCTCCTTTGATTACAGGTCACATTTTATTGTTTCCTTGTGTATCTAGTAATTGTTTTACTATGTTGAACATTATGATCGATATACTATAGGGAGTCTGGATTAAAGAGCATTGAGTTTTGTTCATGCAGGTAGTTAAATTCCTGGCAGATTGGCCCCTTTAGCATTGAATCCTTCTGTCTGTCTGTCAATCAGTTAATCATAGGGCAGGTAGCTCCATTCTGAACTTATTCCAAGTGCACAGCTGTTAATCTAGGGTGAGATCTTTATTACTAAGACATAGCCTTCCTGGTGTCTCAGGTGAATGCCTGAGGCCCAGTGGAGATTTCCTTCCTCTCCTCGGGCGGCATCTCCTACTGCATGACCTCCAGAATCTTCGGTCAGCACTCAGCCCCATAGCTGCTGCTTTCCTAGGCCTCATGGAGTCTGGCCCTGCTTATGAAGCCGTTGGCAAAGTACCCTGGGTAAATCCCTACTGAAACTTCTGGGGCAAACCCTCTGCTACTCAGGCTCACAAATTCCAGATGCTTCTACAACTTGGAACAACCATCTCTTCCTCCACCGCTCAGTGAAACTGTTTTGCTTGGGCAGAAAATGTCCTCAGGCATAAAGCCAGGTCAGTCCCGGGCCACCACCTACATTTCCCGTCTCTTGAGGCTCACAGCCTGTGTTACCTGTGGTCCAGTGCCTGAAAACAGCTGTGTCATATGTTTTGCCCAACGTTACAGTTTTCCAGGGGAGGGCAAGTCCTCTCTCATGGTTGGAAGCAGAAGCCTGGTAGTTTGCTTGTCAGCTGTGTCTTCCTCTTTTTTTTTTTTTAAGATGGAATCTTGCTCAGTCGCCGAAGCTGGAGTGTAATGGCACGATCTTGGCTCACTGCAGCCTCTGCCTCCTGGGTTCAAGTGATTCTCCTGCCTCAGCCTCCTGAGTAGCTGGGATTACAGGCACCTGCCATCATGCCTGGCTAATTTTTGTATTTTTGTAGAGACAGGGATTCACCGTGTTGACCAGGCTGGTCTCGAACTCCCGACCTCAGGTGATCTGCCTGCCTCAGCCTCCCAAAGTGCTGGGATTACAGGTGTGAGCCACCGCACCTGGCATGTCTTCCTCATTAATAATATTCATGGCCCTTCATGATTTTTTTTATCCTATCTGGAGTATGACTGATTTAATTTCAGCAGGCCCTTAATTTCTGTGTTGACTGTAGAGTTATCGTTCACTTGGGTTAACTTCTATTACAACCCGAGTATCTGCCCAGCCTTTTATTCCACCTCTACACCTGGTCACAGTAATACACGACTTACAAGTAGCCCTCCTGGTGCACCCAGAAGAACTTTGTCTTTTTCACAAATTGGCATCTGTGCTGTCTTACCTAAATCCTCATTGTTGGCCTCAGACACAATCTGTGGATGATAGTTCAAGTTGGGCACAATTGACTTCAGATTTCTTGAAAAGGGTCAGCTTAGGCTTAGAGTTTGGTGTTGACATTTTGCTTTTATTTTTTTAAAATTAGGTATCAAATTTACATGCTTTAAAAATGTGGTATTTTCTGCATGTGGGATTAACATTTTGTATGTAAGACTGGCTTTATAAATATTTACAGATAGTTTGTAGTCAATAAGGCACATTACGTTCTGTTTCTTTCCTACAGGGGCGGGCTGGTCTCTCTCCTTCCCTTTCTTCTCCCTCACTCCTACATTTTCTTCTTTCTTTGTATTTTACGATTGATTCACTTATATTTGCATAATAGCATTTTTTAATTTTTTTTTTTTTGAGACAGTCTCACTCTGTCACCCAGACTGGAGTACAGTGGTGCAATCTTGGCTGATTGCAACCCCTGCCTCCCGGTTCAAGTGATTTTCTGCCTCAGCCTCCCGAGTAGCTGGGATTACAGGTGCACACCACCACACCAAGCTAATTTTTGTATTTTTAGTAGAGACAGGGTTTCACCATGTTGGCCAGGCTGATCTCGAACTCCTGACCTCAAGTGATCTGCCTTCAGCCCCACTAAGTGCTGGGATTACAGGTGTGAGCCACCGCGCCCGGCCATTTTTTAACTTTTCAAAATGTTTTCACTTCTATCTGGCCCTTTTTTTCCCATTCACATAGCCCTCGTTGACAGTCTTGTTGCCTTTTGCCTGGACTGTTATTCCAGCGGCAACTCATTCTCCTCCTTCCAGTAGTCTCCTGGCCAATTGCTTCTACTGTTTAACCTTCCTTAAGTTGAGTTTCTCCCTCTAACTTGAAAAACCACACGTACTGTTCCATATTGCCTTCCATAAGCTTCACCTGCTTCAGCCCTGCTTCCATGAGCTTCACCTGCTTCAGCCCCATTTCCATAAGCTTCACCTGTTTCAGCCCCGCTTCCATGAGCTTCACCTGCTTCAGCCAGGTTTGGGGTGTTCTTTATTCAGCAGCCTCCACATCCTCCTTCTCCGTACTTCTGTCCTAGCTAGGCCTCCCCTGCAGTGCCCTTCCCTTCCCTCCATAAAGTCCCTCCTTCATCGTCCAGGGTCTCTCCCACCCAGTGTCCCTCAGTTCGAACTGTCCCCAGTTCTCTGTGCAGGTCACAGTTGAATCACAGGTGTCTGGACATACCTAGCCCTGTCTCCCAAGGCAGGAAAACATGACTGTGTCACTGTATCTGCTGGGGCTCCTGGTGTCCTCCAGATAGTTGATACTCCATATTTGTCATTTCCCATTGAACACATTGAAACCCTGTGATCCAGGCAGGGTGAAGAGACTAAGGCCCCATGTGTTTAATAATGTTGCACAGAGAATTAGTGATTGGTACGGATTTATAGTCCACGTCCTCTCATTTTGTTCCTCTGACAGCCTCTCTGTTCTTCCCTAATTTGGCTCAAAATTACTTTGGTTGGCTCTTAAGTAGAAACTTATGTCCTTTTGTACTTGGGGGCGTGTCCAAATTCATTAAATGAGGTGGGAGATTTTTCTTCTTCCTACCTCTCGCTTTGCTGTCCTGACACAGCTGCCACCACTAAAGGTGCTGGTGGGGCAGAGAGAGGGGGCAGTGGGGGGGTGGGGATGCTTGTGCTTAGATCTGGTCTTGACATCACACGAGACTTCCTCAGGTCTGCTGTGTCCTAAGCCTGACTTAGTATCACTGCATGAATACAATTCTCTACTTACCTCTTTTATTTCAGGCACTTCGTCTTAGTAACATGGCCATGGGGAAGACAACCACAGGCCAGATAGTCAATCTGCTGTCCAATGATGTGAACAAGTTTGATCAGGTAAGCTGCAGCTCAGGGATCCTTTTTCATTGCATTAAACACCCCTCTTTCCCCTTTTATTCTTTCTGGAGGCAGGGGCTCACTCTGTTCACACTGGATTGCAGTGGCAGGATCATAGCTCGCTGAAGGCTTGAACTCCTGGGCTCAAGTGATGTGCGATCCTCCTGTCTCAGCCTCCTGATTAGCTGTGACTACAGGTGTGCATCACCGTGAACAGCTAATTTCTTTTTTTTTGAATTTTCATGTCAGATGGGCTATTGTGGAAACATCATAACAAAATTCAAGGGTGGCACATCTCACACAAGTGCGTGAACACCCGATTATCATGCTCATGAACTACAAAAGGATTGCTGGCTAATTTCTTTTTTTATTATTTGTAGAGAAGGGATCACGCCTTGTTGCGCAGGCTGGTCTCAAGATTCTGGCCTCAAGCGATTCTCGCTACCTTGGCCTCCCAAAGTGCTGGGATTACAGGTGTGAACACCATACCCGCCCAGTATCCATTGTTTAATACTTACCTTGTAGCGGTATCATTTTTCCAGGGCATTCTAGCTGCTGGCCATATTCATTTTGCACTAGGACCACTTCTTTTTTCCAATTATTCATTCATCAGAATGAACTAAAGCCTCCGCTCAGTGTCAGGGACAATGAATAAGACTTGGTTTCTGTTCTGAAGAAGCTCACTGCCTGTCTGGGAGACAAACACACAAGTAAATTACTGGAGTATGTGGTGGGCACTGTAGTACAGGTTTTCTTGGGGTACTGGGGAGCCCCAGGGCATATGGGAGCTGAATTCTGTGGCAGAGAGTTCTGGAAAATGCTCAGCTCATCAGTGAAGATAGTCACGATCAAGACATTCTTCTAATGCCGCTGGTCGGATTCTCTTGCGAGTCTCCCAGACCCACTCTTTGTTTCCCCAGAATGGCTTCACCTGTGGTGGGTGCTTGGCTTTCTGCTTTAGCAGGTGTAAACCCACTGTGGCCATTTCTGTTTAGGATCTTGCCTGTTCTTTTCCAGTGGATCGTTTCTGTACTGTGTTCTTACTGGTTTTGCTTTTCTGGAGTCCTAAGAACGCTCTGTCTTTTTCTTTAAAGGTGACAGTGTTCTTACACTTCCTGTGGGCAGGACCACTGCAGGCGATTGCAGTGACTGCCCTACTCTGGATGGAGATAGGAATATCGTGCCTTGCTGGGATGGCAGTTCTAATCATTCTCCTGCCCTTGCAAAGCTGTTTTGGGAAGTTGTTCTCATCACTGAGGTAAGAGAAATACTGCTGTGAAAAATGTCATATGTATTTGGTAACATCCACAGTCTTCCCAATGCTTTTGTTCAGAAACAAACTAAATGCCTTTTATTATCTCTTCCTTGCATATGTTGCAGCTCTTCAGGCTCAGCCAAGGGGGCCTCTGTCCTTATGCTGAAGGCAAATCTTCAAGGGAGAAAGGTGAAGGCATTCACTGGCTCCTCCCAGCCAGCTTTTCAGGCGCTGTGGCCTCAATAAGTAGAGTGTCCTTAAGCAGAAATCACATATGTAGAAGTTAGTTAAACATATAATGAATAATGATAAATTGAAATGTTTCATAGGCTCCATTCTAGCTGCATACATCTTTACCGTGCTTGTGTTAGAGCTGTTTTCACGTGTATATATGTGTGTTATTTTTAATTCAGTATTTCCATTAAATTGTAAGCTCCCCAAAGGCAAGGTGAATTTTAATGATGTAGTTATAAAATCACACAGTCCTAGTAGCATATGTGTTAGGAATATGGTTGTTAGCTGGTCGTGGTGGCTGAAGCCTGTAATCCCAACACTTTGGGAGGCCAAGGCAGGTGGATCACTTGAGGCCAGGAGTTTGAGACCTGCCTGGCCAACATGACAAAACTCCGTCTCTACTAAATTTAAAAAATTAGCTGGGCATGGTGGTACACGCCTGTAATCCCAGCTACTTGGGAGGCTCAGGCACGAGAATCACTTGAATCCAGGAGGCAGAGGTTGCAGTGAGCCGATATTATGCCACTGCACTCCAGCCTGGGTGACAGAGTGAGACTCTGTCTCAAAAAAAAAAAAAAAAAAAAAAAAAAAAAAGAAATACAGCTTTTGATCAAGAGATTAATGATGATAAAATAAATTAGACTTGAAGCAGGTTCCAACGAATTGGAAATGGTTCATTGTCAAGGTTGTCAGCTGGATCGAGATGAGCCACTGTTGGAAGTGCATTGAGTTCTTTGTTTTATGCTTTTGCTTATGGTGTATTTTCTACTTGGACCTTCCCCTCTTTGCCATCTGGAGAAATAGTCCTTGTCCTTTGAGGCCCCGTTCAAATGCTCCTGGTCCTCTGAAGCTTTTTTTTTTTTTTTTGCTCTCCTCTTTCCCGGTGGAGTTAACAAACAGCCCTTTCTTTTCTGCTCCCCAGCACTTCATTCCCATTTTAGCACTCTCTGACCACTGTGTTATCGTCAGGCTCGGGTGCCTTTCTGCCTTTCCTGCCCACCTGTGAGCTCCTCGAGGGGACAGATGACATCTGACTCATTTTCATGTCTTCCTCAGCAGATATTACAAATTCTCCAAAATACTTGTTGAGTTGGTATAGATTGTTGACTTCCTAATCGAAGTCTTTTTCTATTTGTATTTTGAGTAGGACCTGTCTGTGTTGTCGGAAGCAAAAGCGCTGTAGGGAACCATGTGATGCAGGTCCCTGCCTGTGCCTGCCGCTGATAAGGGCAGGCTGTGATCGCTCAGGCTCATCTCCCGTGTCTGGTTCCCCTTAGGAGTAAAACTGCAACTTTCACGGATGCCAGGATCAGGACCATGAATGAAGTTATAACTGGTATAAGGATAATAAAAATGTACGCCTGGGAAAAGTCATTTTCAAATCTTATTACCAATTTGAGAAAGTAAGTTTTTGTATACATTGTACCATATTTTTGTATTTTTCTATTTGCTATTCTTGTTGATGGTTTTAGAAGTTTTACTATGTTTTCACATTATGGGAAGTTCAGTACAATCCATCCCAGTCCCCACGCTTGGCAGTTGGGTTAAGTAGAATGGTAGAGAACGTTATTTTCACTTGGTCTTCCATTTACCATGTTCTTAAACAGAAAGCATGTATGCTTCTTACTAATACAAAAGTGAAATTCCAAATGTTTCTGAATATCCCAAATCCCAACAATGAGTCTAAGATGTTAGTATTTGAGAATAATGGTGTTTAAAATAAAACTATAATTTATATTAATGTAGCCAAATGGACAAGTTATAGAGACTGGGCATATCTATATTGGACCAAACTATATGAATCAGTATTTTTCATTCCAAACAGGCATGGAAATACTGTTAGTTGTGCTTTGTTTTATTAGAAATTTTGGAGGGGGCTGGGCGCAGTGGCTCATGCCTGTAATCCAAGAACTTTGGGAGGCTGAGGCGGGTGGATCACCTGAGGTCAGGAGTTTGAGACCAGCCTGGCCAACATGGTGAAACCCTGTCTCTACTAAAAATACAAACATTTGCTGGGCGTGGTGGCACATGCCTGTAATCCTAGCTACTTGAGAGGCTGAGGCAGGAGAATCGCTTGAACCAGGAGGCGGAGGTTGCAGTGAGCTGAGATCGCACCATTGCCTGGGCGACAAGAGTGAAACTCTGTCTCAAAAAACAAAATATGTATTTTTTTTTTGGCTTTTGGATTAAATATTTGATTAGTTGTTGCATTCCAGCACATGATACTTCTTATGATTTCTTGGGTAGTTCCTGGCCACCTCTCACCTTTGCACTTTTTTGTTGTTGTTGCCCAGGATGGTCTCAAACTCCTGGGTTCAAACAATTCATCCACCTCAGCTCCCAAAGTGCTGAGATTGCAGGCGTGAGCCACTTTATCTGGTTGACATCACTGCTTTTTTAAAAACCTGTACTCTCTTTCAGGAAGGAGATTTCCAAGATTCTGAGAAGTTCCTGCCTCAGAGGGATGAATTTGGCTTCATTTTTCAGTGCAAGCAAAATCATCGTGTTTGTGACCTTCACCACCTACGTGCTCCTCGGCAGTGTGATCACAGCCAGCCGCGTGTTCGTGGCAGTGACGCTGTATGGGGCTGTGCGGCTGACGGTTACCCTCTTCTTCCCCTCAGCCATTGAGAGGGTGTCAGAGGCAATCGTCAGCATCCGAAGAATCCAGGTTGGTGTCAGATGCCATTTTAAAGTTGTAGGTGCATTTGAAGTAGAATGATGTCTCCTTTTATTTAGCATCACTATGTTCCAGTGTAATGACATTTAACTCTCTCATAACCAAAACGTGCCGCCATTCCAGAATGTTGTGTGTACTTCCCTATCTTAGATAGAGCGCGGTAAAGACAATGCAAGCATTGTGATTCATTTGTTGGCAGCAACATAAACAGCAGTGGCACAGGGCTTTTGATGTACAGGTGGTAACTGCAGGGGTGATTAAAATGTCTAAGCTGTCTAAAAGCAGGAAAAGCAAATAGATTTCATCTCTTATGTTAACACCAATGAGAAAGTAGTGAGTATGAGTTGAGTATGATTCTTCTGTGGGCTGGAAGGAAAGAGCTTGCTGGGGGTCTCTGCTTCTTGGTCAGGAAGAATGGCCTCAACTTCACTTAGCTATCCCTGTTTGAAAATAAGTTCTTTCCTCTGTAGATGTTTTCCTTGTTAATTTCTGTGCATGCCTTTAGGACCTCTGCCATTTCTTTCCTGTCCGCTTTTCACTTTTTTCTTACTGTTGATGAACCTATCTCTGCCAGACTTCTTTATTTCCAATTGGTTGATTTCTACTGCCTTGCTCCATTTGTACGACTGTAACAAGGACCACTCTCTGCTTCCCAGATGGACCTCTGTGTCCTCCCATCGTGGAGGAAACAGAAGGACAAAATGGGCCTGGTTAGTTCTCTCCAGCCTTCTGTAAGGACACTAATCCCCTTCAGGAGGGCTCTGCCGTAGCGACCTGATCACCTCTTAGAGGCCCCACCTCTTAACACTGATGCTGGGGTGAACTTCCAACCTGTGAATTTAGAACAGGCATGCCCATTCAAACCATAGCATCCACTTTACACACCATCACCTTTTCCTAAGTCGCTGTCACTCAATTGCCAGGGGCAAATAATTTATATCACCAAGGTAAGGTCCTGGCACATAATGTATGCTCAAGTATTTGTGTGTTTATGAATAAGTTGAAAATTAAAATAAATTGGCTTTGTGAGAGGGCTTGGCAAGAACTTGACTGTCTAAGCTTTTCAAAAATCTGCTTTGTTTTATTCCTGGTTCTTAATAGAGATGGATGCCCAAGGACAGACTCGAGTGAACTTAGCTGACACTGGCTGTGATTATTTTTTTATTTTTATTTTTTTGGTAGGGGAGAGAATGGGGTGGGTGTTGTCATAAAAGCTAAGATTCTTTTTTATGATGAAGTTTGTTTTTTAAAGATGAGATCTTGCTGTGTTACCCAGGCTGGAGCATAGTGGCTATTCATAGGCAGACTCCCACTACTGATTAGCAAGTTTGTATTTCATAAAAAATATTACCTATAAAACAGACCATACAGGGTCATTTCTTATCCCCATTCTTTCTGACAACAGCTTCAGGTAACACTGTGAAGGGATGGTCCATGCAGGTCAGTAACACTTTTTTCATGTAGCTTTTGCATCTTGAAAGAAAGAACTTAGGAGTATACTTTGACCAGAGTATCTTTCTGAGTGTGCAGGACACCTTTTTCAGACGGAAGGGCCACATGTGTATTGTGCTGCTGTAATTCTCTGACTGCTGTTGCTGCCCCTCACCGTGATTGCAGGTGTTGGTGTGTGTACCGTGGACCAGGGCTCTTGGAAGCCTGTACATGTTATTTCATGTTATCCTCACAATTGAAGGAGATAAGCATTAGTGTCCCCACTTTACAGAGAATGAAACTGGCTCCTGTAATAGGTTAAGGAGTTTGCCTATCTTAGAACTAGGAATCTGTTCAGAACCATGATTTCTTAACCATGGTATGTTGCCTGTTGTATTAATCTGTTTTTATATTGCTATAAAGAACTTCCTGAGACTGGGCAATTTATATTGGAAAGAGGTTTAATTGACTCACAGTTCAGCATAGTTGGGGAGACCTCAGGAAACTCACAGTCATGGCGGAAGGGGAAGCAGGCACTTTCTTCACAGGGTGGCAGGAAGGAGAAGTGCAAGCAGGGAAAATGCCAGACGCGTATAAAACCATCAGATCTCATGAGAACTCACTATCACTAGAACAGCACAGGGGAAACTGCCCCCATGATCCGATTACCTCCACCTGGTCCCACCCTTGACACGTGAGGATTATGGCGATTACAGTTCAAGCTGAGATTCGGGTGGGGACACAGAGCCAAACTGTATCACCTATGTTGCTGCCTTAGTATCCTCTGGTGTGGGATATTTCCTTCAGTATTCTTTTACTCATCTAGTTGTATTCCAAAAACCTTGAAAGGTTCTCTGTTTCTTGTGGAGTCCTATTTTTGAACCCTAGGTGTAGGGCTTACCTGTGTGTGTTTCCCAGCACATGACTCGTCTCTGTTCCCACTTTGGGGTCTTTTGCTCTGTGTGGCTGGGGTGTCCTCCCTTCTGTCCTTGATTTAAGCAAATGCTACTAAGCCCTCCGGCCAGGTCTCAGGAGCCTGGTGGTACTTTTGTTCCTGCCGAGCAAGGCCAGTACGGTGCAGCTCAGCATTGATGGACACATAATGGGCACCAAATGCTGGATGGACAGAAGCAGCAACCTTAGCAAAAGTCTGGGGCCCAATACAGACCCAAGGTGGCCCAGCCTGCACTAGAAGCTAGAGGAAGGCCGAGCGAGGAAGCAGACTCGAGTTGAATATTCCCAGAACACCAGGCCTTGTTCAAGGGGGGTGTGAGGGTCCTTAACTCTGGGGAGCTGGATTTTTTTCAGAGTGGACTGGATCGGAGTCTCTGCCTCGTTATGTGTGTCCCTCTGTGCATCTCAAACCCTCTTGGACTTGGTGGACCTGCTCTTGTAAGAGAGGGGCCATGTCTGACATTAAATATAGACCCTCCTGGCCAGGCGCGGTGGCTTACAGCTATAATCGCAGCACTTTGGGAGGCCGAGGTGAGCGGATCACTTGAGGTCAGGAGTTAGAGACCAGCTTGGCCAACATGGTGAAATCCCGTCTCTACTAAAAATATAAAAATTAGTCAGGCATGGTGGTACATGCCTGTAATCCCAGCTCCTGAGCTACACGCCTGTAATCCCAGCTCCTCAGGAGGCTCAGGCTTGCTTGAACCCAAAAAGTGGAGGTTGCAGTGAGCCGAGATTACGCCACTGCACTGTAGTCTGGGTGACAGAGTGAGGCTCTGTCTCCAAAAAAAAAAAAAAAAAGAGCCTCCTGACTGGCTTCCAGGCTGTGAAACAAATGGACTTTCCTTGGGCCATGTGGAGAAATAGAAACAGTCTTACTTGGTTAATAAAATTAGTCTGTCTTCCTGGCCATTATGAGATAAATGAAGATTAAGATCAAGACCATGGGGCTTTATATGAACAGGTAATAGCTGGTGAGTACCCACTAGGTAACAAGGAGGGGCCCAAGTGCCTTATGAATACTCACTCCTTTTACTTGTGTAACTCCCCTATCATTCCCACATTACAGATAAAGAAACTGAAGCCTGAGGAGGGTGAATAGCACCTCCACGTTTTAACAGTTAATAAAAGGCTGATCCGGGGCTTTAGCCCAGGCCGTCAATCTGTCTCAGAAGTGCGGCCAGGCGCGATGGCTCACGTCTGTAATCCCAGCACTTTTGGAGGCCTAGGTGGACGGATCACTTGAGGTCAGGAGTTCTAGACCAGCCTGGCCAGCATGGTGAAACCCCGCCTCTGCAAAAAATAAAACAACAACAACAAAATCAGCTGGGCATGGTGGCACGCACCTGTAATCCCAGCTACTCTGGAGGCCAAGGCACGAGAATTGCTTGAACCCGGGAGGTGGAGGTTGCAGTGAGCTGAGATTGCACCACTGCACTCCAGCCTGGGTGACAGAGGAGACTCCATCTCAAAAAAAAAAAAAAAAAAAAAAAGTGCACATTCTTATCCCCACATGCACAGCATAACCTGAATGCAGATCTCACTTCCATGCGGCAGCCATAAAAAATAATTGGGCAAAGAGCAGCCCCAACAGGTGGTATGGCGGGGTGGGACGCAGACCTTGGGTTCTCACCAACTCTCTGGGCCTTGGTTTTATTGTCTTTAAATAAGGGGATTGGACTTAGTGTCTGGAGGTCATTTCCTATTTTGTCTCACTTATTTAGAAAACCGTCTGTATTAGTCAGAGTTCTCCAGAGAAGCAGAACTGATAGGGCCCACGTGTATGTACATGCAGAGAGAGATTGGTAGATTGATTGATAAAATTGTCTCACGCAACTTGGAGGTGACGTAAGTCTGCAATCTGCAGGGCAGCTGGCAGGCCAGAGACCCTGGGAAGAGCTGATGATGCAGCTTGAGTCTGAGGAGGACAGTCTTGAGGCAGAATTCCCTTTTCTTTGTAGGTCTTTTTTCTCTTAAATGCCTTCAACTGATTGGATGAGCCCCGCTGACATTATGTAGGATTTTAAAGTCTACAGATTTAAATGCTAATCTCAACTGAAAAACACTTTCCCATTGATACCCAGACATGTTTGACCACATATCTGGGGACTGTGGCCTAGCCAAGCTGACACATAAAATTCACCATCACAGTCTTTTTTTTCTTTTGAGATGAGTCTCACTCTGTCGGCTAGGCTGGAGTGCAGTGGCACGATCTCAGCTCACTGCAACCTCTACTTCCCGGGTTCAAGCAATTCTCCTGC
The DNA here is from genome assembly GCF_000001405.40 of Homo sapiens. Taxonomy (NCBI): domain Eukaryota; kingdom Metazoa; phylum Chordata; class Mammalia; order Primates; family Hominidae; genus Homo; species Homo sapiens. Next base: position 95,201,876 of record NC_000013.11, on the reverse strand, counting down.
CTCAGCCTCCTGAGTAGTTGGGATTACAGGCGTGAGCCACCATGTCCAGCTAATTTTTGTATTTTTAGTAGAGGCAAGGTTTCACCACGTTGGCCAGGCAGGTCTCGAATTCCTGACCTCAAGTGATCCACCCGCCTTGGCATCCCAAAGTGCTGGGATTACAGGTATAAGCCACCGCACCCGGCCCATCACACACTCTTTAATCCTCATCTCTTCTTTTGGGCTCTCCATACGTGACTTTGTCCTCATTTTCCCCTTATTATTGAAGCCATTTGTTTATAGATTTCTTTCCCTTCCTAAACTCTAAACTTACAAAAGGCAGACACAGTGCCTCATTCATCTTTATATTACGTATAGATTGCAGGTGCTCAGAAGATGTGTAAGTGAAGTCAACCTCCAGCTTCATTACATCTATGAGATTTGGAAAATGCCTAACAACTGAGCATTATTTTAGTGGGAAGTGATGACTGTCGTTCTCTGCTGAATTATGTCACACATCAGAGAGTGTGGCATGAAAGGGATCCTGCAGACGATTTTCAGGGAATTGTGGTCCAATATGCAGCTAGGGAAGAAATCCTTAGGATTTTTTATTTTTTTCCCACCAAAATGCAACTCACCTGTGTCTAAGGCTTGAAATTCCTGTTCCTGTAGATAGATGTATGCATGTAGTAAAATAAAATGACCGGCTGGGAATTTTACATTTTCCAGTGGCTAACTTTGGCAAGGTGCTCTGTGTCCAGATAAAGGATGCATCTTTGACTTGGGCAGGAAACCTTAATTTCCCCTCATGTACATAGTTTCTGGTGGGAGGGTGGGCCTAGAGTTCAGCAGTAGTGATTTTCAGTAAAGGAGAAACAAATGGCCAGGCATGACTGGTAAGAAAGCGTTGGCGCTCGTATGGTAAACTCCTTCATGGTGGTGTTGAAGTCATTGTTGGAGGTTTTGTTTTGTTTTGTTTATTTGTTTGTTTTTTCTTCCTTTAGAACTTTGTGTTTTTTCAACCTGGATGGTTCCTGTAACCCATTTAAAATTTTGTCCCCAAGTTCATCAGAATTACCTGATGCACTGATTAAAACTAAATTATTACACCTTGGAGATTCTGCTTCATCAGGCATTGGCTGGGTCCCAATATCTTTTGTTTTGTTTTGTTTTGTTTTGAGACGGCGTCTCGCTCTGTCACCAAGCTGGAGTGCAGTGGCGTGATCTCAGCTCACTGCAACCTCTGCCTCCCAGGTTCAAGTGATTCTCCTGCCTCAGCCTTTGGAGTAGCTGGGACTACAGGCATGCACCACCACACCCGGCTAACTTTTGTATTTTTAGTAGAGACTGGGTTTCACCACGTTGGCCAGGATAGTCTCAGTCTCTTGACCTCGTGATCCACCCGCGTCGGCCTCCCAAAGTGTTGGGATTACAGCGTGAGCCATTGCGCTCAGCCCAATCAATATCTTTAGAAAGTGTCCTCGTGTCCCTGAAAATATGCTGTCTTTGGGAAACCTTGCCCTAGTTGTGTGATAAAAAAACGCATGAGGTCAAAATATGTGTAGCAAATAGAAACGACGTCAGGATAACTTAAGACTAAAATCATTTGAGAGGAAGCACGCAGACACCTGTTTTGGTCTATGCTAGGCTTTTGGGGGTTAAGTTTGGAATTTATTCATTCACTTAGTCATTGACTCTACAATGTAATTGAGCACCTAGCTTAAGCTGGCACTGTGATAAATGCTTAGATACAATGGTAAGCCAATGCACAGAAGTCCTTCCTGCTGGGAACTTCCTCCTGGGAATCATCAAGTGGGGGTTAATAAATAACCACGTAATTAAAATCAGTGCTCATGTGTCATTGTCTTTGGAAGGCAATATCTGAGATGCCATGAGGTGCTTTGGTAGAGATGCCCATGCCATTGTGGAGGTGTAGTGCTTCCTGCGAAGGCTCAAGAAATAGCCTGCAGCATTGTGTGCGTGGTAGTGGAGAGAGATGGGGAAGGGTTTGGGAAGGGAGGTGGCTTGGGGCAGCCAGGAGGCTGATGCCCTGCATTTCCCTGGGGGTAATTATGTGAGAAAGCTCTTAATGTTCAAGAAAATCCACATATTTTCAATTCACCCTGGCTGCAGCCTGGGGAATGCATTGGGGGCCCAGAGTAGAGGCAGGGAGATACGTCAGGAGGCTGATGCAGCAAGCAGTCCCGGAAGATGATGATGGGATTTGGACTCAGACCAAGTAGACAGCCTTGGATAGATTTGAAAGCCATTGAGAGCATGTCCTGATTTGGGTGTGGGGCAAGAGGAGGGATTAGTCAGAAGGAGGGATCAGGGCTACTTTCGTCCTTATGGCTGCAAAATCACCTGGGTTCACTGAAATATGGAATACTAGAAGACCAGATTTGGGGATGAATTTGGCTTTGAAGACTGGGATGCTTTAGAACTGTGCAGATGTTTGCTACAAGACCCACTGATGGGGTCTGCCTGGTTCCGCCTCCTTTCCTATTTCTCTAAAAATGGAGGTTGTAAATGATGAGTGTAATGAATTGATCCAATGTTCACTTTCTTCCTTGCCTCTCGTGGATGTGTTAATGAACAATGAGAAGGTGAAAAATGGCATCAGGAGAGGAGGAATAGTTCTGCCCAATATACTGATCGGAACTAAGTGAGTCTTGACCATAGATAGACCAGAGCTTGGCAGACACATAGAGTTTAGAAAACATTGTGTTGTTAAATTTTTAAAAAATATTTTTATATTTCTATTTTAATTTTTTTATTATACTTTTTCTGGGACACATGTGCAGAACATGAAGGTTTGTTACATAGGTATACATGTGCCATGGTGGTTTGCTGCACCCATCAACCCATCATCTAGGTTTTAAGCCCCACATGCATTCAGTATTTGTCCTAATGCTCTCCTTCCCCTTGCCCCTCACCCTCTGACAGGCCCTGGTGTGTGATGTTCCCCTTCCTGTGTCCATGTGTTCTCATTGTTCAACTCTCACTTATGAGTGAGAACATGCAGGGTTTGGTTTTCTGTTCCTGTGTTAGTTTGCTGAGAATGATGGTTTCCAGCTTCATCCATGTCCCTGTAAAGGACATGAACTCATCCTTTTTTATGGCTGCATAGTATTCCACAGTGTATATATGACACATTTTCTTTATCCAGTCTGTCATTGATGGGCATTTGGGTTGGTTCCAAGTCTTTGCTGTTGTAAATAGTGCTGCAGTAAACATACGTGTGCATGTGTCTTTATAGTCGAATGATTTATAATCCTTTGGGTATATACCCAGTAATGGGATTGCTGGGTCCAATGGTATTTCTGGTTCTAGTTCCTTGAGGAATTGCCACGTTGTCTTTCACAGTGGTTGAACTAATTTACACTCCCACCAACAATGTAAAAGTGTTCCTATTTCTCCACATCCTCTCCAGCATCTGTTGTTTCCTGACTTTTTAATGATCACCATTCTAACTGGTGTGAGATGGTATCTCATTGTGGTTTTGATTTGCATTTCTTTAATGACCAGTGATAATGAGCTTTTTTTCATATGTTTGTTGGCTGCATACATGTCTTCTTTTGAGAAGTGTCTGTTCATATCCTTCGCTCACTTTTTGATGGGGTTGTTTTTTTTCTTGTAAATTTGTTTAAGTTCCTTGTAGATTCTGGATGTTAGCCCTCTGTCACATGGATAGATTGCAAAAATTTTCTTCCATTCTGTAGGTTGCCTGTTCACTCTGATGAGAGTTTCTTTTGCTGTGGAGAAGCTCTTTAGTTTAATTAGATCCCATTTGTCAATTTTGGCTTTTGTTGCCATTGTTTTTGGTGTTTTAGTCGTGAAGTCTTTGCCATGCCTATGTCCTGAATGGTATTACCTAGGCTTTCTTCTAGGGTTTTTATGGTTTGAGGTTTTATATTTAAGTCTTTAATCTATTGTCTTTCTTACTCATACTTTTCAATTTCCTTTTTTCCATGTACAGAAAATGAAGGTTTTATTGCGAAGTTTTTAGGTCTAAGAAGTTCCGTCTGTTTTTCTTTTATTAAGGAAAGGATTGATGGTCTTGGCATTAAGCAAGTCCAATAGGATTTTAAGAGATCTTATCTTAACAGCAAAGCACTGAAAGTCTTCAATGACTTCCACATCCAGTAAAATGTGTCTCTGAGGTTTTATTGTTCACAAAGCTGCTTCAGTTTTTGCCAACCGTCCACTCTGAAGTCAATCTCTTTGACTTCAGTTCTGCCGTCTGATACTTCCCCAAGTGAACTTTCTGGGGATGCACCTCATTGCTGTATTGGCAATGTCATTTCAGCTTTTTCACCCTCCTGAGTGACTAGAGAAAGTCCAGCTAGCCCCTCCAGCATCTTTACAAGCCGTTCATGTGTTGAGTGGAGTCTCATTTAACCACTAAACTATTATCATGTCTGTCTCCACTCAGATCTGTTGTTTATTGACCAGTGCTCAATAGGTTTACTGTGTGCATAGTTTTTTATTTTGAAGGTGGGGAACTTCTGTTCTGACCTGCACATACAGAATACTGAATTTGATGTCTTGGTCGTACACTTCAGCTAAAATCAGAATTTTATTCTGTCTAGACAAGGTTAAGAAGATGTATATATAACCTTTTGCTTGTTGCTGTGCTAACTGACATAGCTGATTGTTTGAATAATTTAAGCCGATCATACAGTCTGTTTATGACTGTAGCATGTATCTGTGAAGAGCTGACCCCGTGTGCAGTGCAGTGTTCATGCAGGTGAGTGTGTTTGTAAGTGCAGGATGGGGGACACATCTCTGCCCTGTACATAACTCAGTTTCGGTCCCAGCTGCAGCCACCCTGAGCTGGTTCCCAGCAGGATTAGTCTTTGAGGTGGGCCCTCAAAGACAGGGTGGGATTAATACTCAGGGAATCAAGGCAAAGGCTACTTTGGGAGTGTGACTGTCAGTGCTGCTGGGTCATGGAAGAGTTTGAAGCATGGTGGTTATTATCAGAGGTGTTTTCAGAAGATCCTTAGGGAGTGGTGTTTGGGAACGGTTTGGTTGTGATGGGGGATGCTGGAGAAGGGACCAGTGAAAACATTGTATCAGTATCACAAATGATTGCCGGTCAGTAAACTTGTGAAATTGGGTCTGGTCTTTTTTCTTTCTTTCCTTCCTTCCCTCCCTCCCTTCTTCCTTCCTTCCTTCCTTCCTTCCTTCCTTCCTTCCTTCCTTCCTTCCTTCCTTCCTTCCTTCCTTCCTTCCTTCCTTCCTTCCTTCCTTCCTTCCTTCCTTCCTTCCTTCCTTCCTTCCTTCCTTCCTTCCTTCCTTCCTTCCTTCCTCCTTTCCTCCTTTCCTCCTTTCCTTTTATTTTTTTTGACAGGGTCTTGCACTATTGCCCAGGCTGGAGTGCAATGAGGGAGGAGCCCTCATGGCCTAAATACCTCTCAATACCATCACATTGGCCATTAAGTTTCACCACCTGGATTTTGGAGGGGAAGTTGTCCAGGCAGCTTCCAAGGCCTGGAGACTGTATAGGAAGTTTCCTGGACGTTGTCACTTTCTGTTGGGCTGAACTTAAAGTCATGTGGCTACATCTAACTGTGTTGGGGGCTGGAGAGAGTGGTCCTTGTTCAAGGCTGCTGTGCGTTGGCTAAAAATGCACAGAAAATTAGAGCAGGTTTTGAGGAGAGCTGACAGTTTTTGCCACATCTACAAAATTTTGGATGGGGTGGGGGTGATCTAGGTTGTTTATTCTGTTTCTAAGCCACTGTAGCTTCTCTCACTGAATTATGCCTACCATTTGAGGAGCAAAAGGGAGTTTTCCCATATATCATTATGTTAGGTTTGTTATGGTTAACAGGACTTTGTTTTATTCAGTTAAATTGCATTGTGTAGTTGCTAACTAGTGTGGAAAATAGCAATAAGCGAGAGATTGGTCCGTTCTGCTGTCTAGGAGGGGACATTGACTAAGGAAAAAAGATAAGTGTAGGTGTAGCATGGTGGCTTATGCCTGTAAACCCAGCATTTTGGGAGGCCGAGGTGGGTAGATTGCTTGAGGCCAGCAGTTCGAGACCAGCCTGGCTAACATGGTGAAACCCTGTCTCCAGTGTAAATACAAAAATTAGCCAGGCATGGTGGCAGACACCTGTAATCCCAGCTACTTGGGAGGCTGAGGCTGGAGAATCACTTGAACCGGAGAGGCGGAGGCTGCAGCGAACCGAGATCGTGCCATGCTTTCCAGCCTGGGTGACAGAGTGAGACTCTGTCTCAAAATAATAATAATAACAATAATAATAGGTGATTGTGAAAAGAAGCTTATAAAATATGTTTTAAGAGATAGAAACCTTTTTTCTTATTTTGGTAAAGAACACTGACTTAAGTGATAGTGAATTAAGTTGTATGTCAATTTGACGTGCACGAGGGAGGAGAAGGCCAGTTGAATCTAAGTGACTGGCCAGAGCCAGGGCTGCCTTCAGAGGCTCTGCCCTGTGTTTCCTGCCTACCCTTCTGGGCTCACTTGCTTCCTGAAGGCTGGGAATGGCCTTGACTTTCATGTTGCCAGCATCTAGCGCGGGGCTTGGCACATGATGAGGATTCATGAAATATTCATCAGATCATTTCCAACCAACTCCCGTGTTCACCATTAGTAACACAAAAGTACAACAGTAGAACTATGCAGGCTGTCAATGCACTCAGTCTCAGAGCAGTATTTTCGGTTTATTTAGGAACAAGTATACTTGTTGAAAAAAATTACACAGATAGTTCCTAAAATTACAAAGATAGTTCATGGCCATGAACTCTTTACATGTTTATTTATTAAATAAATATCATATGCTGATGTGAACCGATACTTTAAATAGGGTTGGTAAAATGATCTGTAGGCTGTATAAAGTTTTATGTTACAAATTCCATGGAAGCAGTGACTTTTGTTTGTGCTTTTGTTTCTGTAATTTAAACAATCTGTGTTTTTCCCATTTTCTTTAGACCTTTTTGCTACTTGATGAGATATCACAGCGCAACCGTCAGCTGCCGTCAGATGGTAAAAAGATGGTGCATGTGCAGGATTTTACTGCTTTTTGGGATAAGGTAACATATCCTTAATGCAAGATCATGACTGCTGAAGATAATGAGTGACATTGATTTAATAGAGAATTTTGAGGTGTTACACATGGTATAAAATATGGCTTGCTTATTTACTGAAACTATGTTACAAAGATTCTCAAAATTAGGAGTAAGTTTTGCAATTAATAGAAAGTAGGTATGAAATCAGACTTAGGTATTTGACAAGTTGTATTTTATCTCATTTTCAAAAAACCAAGGAAAGTGTTACCTCGTTCTAAACTAAATGTCACTAAGTTTGGACATTGGCAACGCTGGATTTTATAGGATTGGACAGACTAGGGGTGCAGCATGGAATGGGTTAACTGCTGAGTACATTGTAGATTATTACGGAGACTTTGGGGTATCAGTGCACATTTTCAGCTTAGCGTTTTCAGGTCATCTTATTACATATTGAGAAAGCCCATGACTTGGATTTTTGCCACGGGGTTGGGGTGGGGCTCCCCTATTCCAAGCATCTGGATGTTGCCAGCTGCTTTGGTGGCAGCCCAAGGCCGAGGGGAGGCTGCAGGCCGGCGTAGCAAGCTCCATGGATTCCTGACTGAAGGGTTTCACCGTGTGGTAAGTGGACAGGTAGTTCTGGCAAGGCCACAAGGATTTTTCAACACTTGGTTTACTCATAACATTTAGGCAAATGGGACCAACAGCAGGGGCCACCCACAAGAAGTACTGAGGCTCGGTGCATCTCCTGTTATCCACAACTCCAGTGCCCTCCTCATGCTTCCAAGGAAGCAGTGGGCTCCCTGCCCAGTGCTCATAGACGCCACTACTATGGCACCAGCTTTTCATGAAGAGAAAGGCTGTATTGTGAGTGGAATGGCAAGGAGACAGGAGGCAACGCTCAAATTTGTCTTCCCTAGCTGGGGGATGGGGCAGGTTTTATAGGCAGAGGGTAATGAGGCATGGTCCGATTGGGTCTTGCATGATGCCAGAGCTGGACCTGATCGGATCCTGGATCATGCCATGAGGCGTTCGCCTCTGAACTCGTTCCTCCTTCCTTGGTCCTAGCACTTGGGTTCTGCCCATGGTTGCCTGCTTGGTTCATCTGGGAATGCTCAGATTACGTAACTTGCAACCTGGGATCCATGGTGACTGAAAAACTGTTTACTATGTTATTACACAAAGTTGAACCAGATTGGGCTGGTTCTGCGGTTACGCTCACCTGAGTCCGGGGTCCTCTGCAAATGCACTTGTCTCAGTCTGTGTTAGTCTGGAAAACAGAACACACAGCATGGGAGAGGGAATTTTGTGCAGGGAATTCGTTTCATAGGTGATGAAAGAAAGAGCACAAAGGGAAAGCAGGGGTGGAGGAGGCCACCCCGAGATCAGCCACGGCAGGAAGCTGCACCCCGGGGCTGGAGATGATGTCTGCCAGGAGCAGAGCCCAGTGGCCCAGCTGCCAGCAAGATTTGGGAGCAGAGGGCGAGGGTCTCTTCTGAGGGTACTGGAACAGCTCAGGCTGCTTAAAACAGGTGGGCAGTGCTGGTGGTGACCAGCTCCTCCCCTCTCCGGGTGCTCTTTGTGGCTGACCTTGCGTTGTAGCGTAGTTTGCTGGAGCCAAGAGCCAATAGGCGGTTGAGCAGCACTCCTGCCCAGCCCCACTGCCTCCGTCCTCCCCTGTGGGACAAATGTCAAAACTCTCTAGACTCCAGACTCTTCCTTTCTCTACATGCCCTTGGCTCTAAGTATTGCACTCCCTGTTTCATGTTTGCCTAATTCTGATGTAATTTCTGCCATCTCTACCAACAAAACAATAATGTGTTCCCAGATATTTAGAACATCATCGCATCTTGTGCACATGGAAACTCACACAAGGTGACAGTTTCTCTTTATCTGCTGGCATTCCCACCCTCATACACTTTATTTATTTATTTATTTGTTTTGGAGACAGAGTCTTGCTCTTTTGCCTAGGCTGGAGTGCAGTGCTGTGATTTCGGCTCACTGTAACCTCTGTCTCCCAGGGTCAAGTGATTCTCCTGCCTCAACCTCGTGAGTAGCTAGGATTACAGGCACGCCCCACCATGCCTGGCTAATTTTTGTATTTTTAGTAGAGACAGGGTTTCTCCCATGTTGGCCAGGCTGGTCTTGAATTTCTGGCCTCAAGTGATCTGCCCGCCTTGGCCTCCCAAAGTGCTGGGATTGCAGGCATGAGCCACCGTGCCCAGCTCTAATACACTTCAAGCATTGACAGACAGCTCTGTGAACATCCCACTAGAAAAAAGCACTCTAGGTGAATGCTGTTGAGCTAGAGGAAGGCACTGAGGTAGCTACCACACACTGTGTAGGTCCCATTTGCAAATTTCTTTTGTACCAAACCCTGCGATATTGTAAAATGGTCTGTTTTGTTGTTTTTCGGTTCCTAGATAACATTGACAGCTGCATTGTAAACAGAACACTCCATCCTGTTTTCTGGCCTTGTCTTGGGGTGATTTTGCCTCACACTGGCAGGGATTATTAGGGAGGTCCTGCGGCTGAGAGGGTGCTGGGGTGGGAGGAGGGGCACAGACACGGGCTTCTGGAGAGAAGCTGCAGAGGAAAGAAGGGTGTGCTGGGCTGGGATTTCGGAGAAAGACAGAGACCCCAGCAGCAGTCCTGCTGGATAGACCAGCAGGTATTGGAGGGAAGGTCTTCTCACCAGCCTAGGTCTCATTTATAAAACAGGGGCTTGGGCTGAAGCTGTAAAGTCTGTGGCCCCGTGAGAGCCTGTGACTCTCCATGGGGAAGGGATTTGCTTCTGCTTTCTTCACTGCTCTGGCCCCAGGGCCCACAGAGTGGGGGCTCAGTCTGCCTGCCTTAGTGTGTCTTGGAGCCTGGGGAGGTCCCAGAGGGAATGGGCCTAGCCTTCTGAGCTGTCGAGTGCTGCCCCCTTCTGGCTGCAGCCCACCAGTGCTGGGTCCCAGGCCTCCCGGCGGGGCAGAAACCTGCTCTAAGAACCAGGGCCTTGATGGGAAGCTGGGTTTTGCATGTGGCTCACTCTTTTGCAGCCAAAACTGAATAAAAAGAAGTAAAATCAGAAGTAGTTGTTAGGAAAGAGACACACTGCAAAGGAGGGGAAAGGGACAGGTTGACCGGTTGTGTTTTTTCATCCTTTTGTAATCACAGAAATAAGTAGGTTTCAGTTGTCTTAAGAGACAGATGTTACTTAATCAGGAATACAGAGTAGACCCGTTACATTTTAGAGGAGGAACACCTTATATAGTAAGGCGAAGTCAAGCAAGACTTTGTGAATTTGTGACAAGTTTGCACTTAAAATCGTGTAAATATGTCACATTTTGTTTAACGTTATTTTTCCAAGTGTTTAGGTAATGTATTACTTTTTTAAAAAAGAAATAGTTGTTAGGCATGTATGAAGGAGTAAAGAAACCTATTCTGGGTGGTTGTTATATAATTCCTATGAAATCTGGGGCTAATTTCTTTGTGCTTAAAAGGGATCATGATCGTTTTGGTCTGCGGCCATCCTATGATGTGGTATGGGACACATAAGGGGTCAGTTTTCATACACACATATTTTAGCATTTGACCATTTATAGAAATATTTGTGATTATTCGGATATGTGACCATTAAGTCGTTTCCAGGTAAATTTTTCATTTTGAAGGTTATCTTGATCTCTTATTCCCCCACCGTGCTTTCTGTCTTTTGGGCATTTTACTAATTGCACATGCCCGCTTGAGATGTGGAGAGGGGTTGATGAGTAACTGTGGGCTGCGCCAGCTCAGTGTCTTTAGGTTTTGGGTTGGTTGACTCCATGCGTGCTTCCCTCTTCCATCATCCCAGGGGTGTTCCACCCTTCAGGGACGCCAGATTCATTTTGAAGAATCCTTTTCTAGAGTTGAGGAGGCTGCATTGCCTTTGATTCATTCTTGATCATTTTTCTATGATATGGATGAGCATTTACCAAAGTGTGTCGTGCAGAAGAATAGCCACTTCCGAAAGGATTTGGGACTTGAATAAATTTGCTAAATGCCTACCCACCAGACATGCATGGTCAAGTCTCTCCAATCTATCCACGAGAAATTCAGACGAAGATTATAAATGTGCTGCTTAAACCCCTTTAGGATTCCTCCCAAATTGTAGCTGTTTTTACTTTACTTAACAGTATCAATTTTTGTCTACTAGTGTTGATGTCTGGGTTTGGACAAAAGTTCTTAGAGTTGGCAGTTTTTACGGTTGAGGTTCTATACTCTGAATTTAAAACCATTCCTCTCTTTATTTGTACCAACTGACTTTTGCTTTTTTAAAAGATAGATAATTCAAAGTACTGATTGTCCTTGTATGAGAAGAGGAAACCTCCTCATTTTGGTTTATCATGCTCTGGTAAACTATCCCTATCATGCTCTGGTAAACTATCCCTTCTCCCTGATACACACTTAATCCTCTCAATTGAAAATATTTAGAAGCTCTTTGTAAAAGTAATGAATTTGATTTGGTCTCCTAAATAATAAACTGCAAAATAACATTTTTTTGAGACAAGGTCTTACTGTGTCACCCGGGTTAGAGTGCAGTGGTGCAATCTTGGCTCACTGCAACCTCAGCCTCCGGTGCTCAAGGGATCCTCCTGCCTCATCCTCCTGAGTAGCTGGGACTATGGCACACACCATGCCTGGCTGATTTTTTTTTCTTTAAGAGATGGTTTCTCACTATGTTGCCCCAGCTTGTCTTGAACTCCTAGGCTCAAGTGATCCTCCCACCTCCATCTCCCAAAATGTTGGGATTACAGGCATGAACCAGTCCGTACCCTGCCTAAAACAACTTTTTTTTTTTTAACATTAGCAGTGATTGATAATTTTGTTAACATTTAGTATATGTAAAAACATGCATATACTCCTGAATCTTTTTATCATAGAATTTATAGATTGTTTAGGAACATTATTTCTGATACCCTAATGAGTACTTCATCCCTTCCTCCCTTTGTGCTGGATTGAATGCTGTGGTGGGTACCTCAGTGTTTATAGTAGAACTACTATGCTGTCCCTATTTTCCCAGGATGGGTAACACAAGCTGCAGGTGTAACACTGAGACTTTCACTTTGACCTATGAACATACACTTAATTTCATTATTCTTCAGTTTTTGGTTATTGTTAAATTAGAGCTCTTGGTTACAGGGTTGACCACCATTTGTAGAAGTTCATTTGCCAAGAGTGACTTTATAGTATAAAGTGCCTTCTGGCTGGCTGGGCATAACTGAGGTTCATGCTTTATCAAGTGAAAATGGAAAGATTAGTGGAGATTTCAAGTCATCCATTAGCCAAGGACTGGGCATGCCATGTACTCATGCTGCCACCTTGTGGAGGTTAATGAAATAGAATATTAAAACCAAGGGACAGAATGAAAATTTACAAATGGTTGAAAAGCTCCCATACTGAATATTATATTAAGAATATTGCCGGGCGCGGTGGCTCACGCCTGTAATCCCAGCACTTTGGGAGGCCGAGGCGGGCGGATCACGAGGTCAGGAGATCGAGACCACGGTGAAACCCCGTCTCTACTAAAAATACAAAAAATTAGCTGGGCGCAGTGGCAGGCGCCTGTAGTCCCAGCTACTCGGGAGGCTGAGGCAGGAGAATGGCGTGAACCCGGAAGGCGGAGCTTGCAGTGAGCGGAGATCGCGCCACAGCACTCCCGCCTGGGCGACAGAACGAGACTCCGTCTCAAAAAAAAAAAAAAAAAAAAAAAAAAAGAATATTGTTTTAAATGAGAACACATGGACACAGGGAGGGGAACATTACACATACGGGGCTTGTCGGTGGGTGGGGGGCAAGGGGAGGGAGAGCATTAGGACAAATACATAATGCATGCAGGGCTTAAAACCTAGATGACAGGTTGACAGGTGCAGCAAACCACCATGGCACATGTATACCTATGTAACAAACCTGCACGTTCTGCGCATGTATCCTAGAACTTAAAGTAAAAAATATATATATATTGTTTTAGTAAGTTAGCATGAGTTTTCATTTCAAGAAGCTTGTCTTGTCATTTTTACTATCTAAATTTTGTGGAAGTCTGGAGCTGTGTTCACATGAAAATCTGGTAAAAGGGAATGGGCCTTCCTTAAGTACTGAAGACTCCAAACTGTGTAAAACCCCACCAAAAAAATATGATTGTATGAAAAGGACTCTAGGATACAATATCTTAAAATAGGAAGGAGAAAGATTTGGGTTATGTTCATGTATCAATGACTGTTGTATTGTTTTCTTCTCTTTTTGAAGTGATTTGTGTGACTTTATTGAAATGGGCACATTTTATAAACTTTAATTTGTAGGCATCAGAGACCCCAACTCTACAAGGCCTTTCCTTTACTGTCAGACCTGGCGAATTGTTAGCTGTGGTCGGCCCCGTGGGAGCAGGGAAGGTGAGTTAGAATGGCTTTTGGCAGCTTGTTGCAACCCCACTTATCATATTAACTTCGTGGGTTTGAGCCCAAGGCTACGTGTAACACAATTTTGAACTGGGTACACTTGGCACGGCATTTCTCAGTGCATGGAACATTCGTTTTGCAAGAAGGGTCACATGACCAAATAAATGTGGACAATGCATATCATGTTTCCCTTGGTTCTTCAAGTTGAGCAATTGGGAACTCCTAGAAGTTGGACATCTCCATGAAAGAAATTATTTATGTGACCACTATGCAGGATGGATTGACTAAGAAAGTGGGAACTTCTTTTTGTCAGAGGGGACCCTAGATGCTACAAGACATCTGGAGGTTATGAAGGCTTGTCTGAAAAGCTTTAAACATGTTTTGATATGACTTCTCCAAGTCACATGAACACACATTTAATAAACCTGTAGCCAGGTGTATAGTCCTGTGTTAGGAGTAAAAGATACACCTGTAATCAAGACCCAGACGCCACTGCCCTCCAGAAGTTTCTGGTATCTGGGGTGAGACAGATATACAAACAGGTGATTTCAGTTCAGTGTCGTAAGTGCTCTGATAGTGGGGGGCACAGACACGTCATGTCTGTGCATTGTAGAAGATGTGAAGGAAACGTGCGTACAGACTTAGTCTCATATATTCTAAAGCAACGCAATAAATCTAGTTGTAGGTGTATAACAAATAGGGTGGTTTAACAATTGAAGTTTGCTCTTCAGAGACACGATTCTTGGGTATTTAAAAATAAAAGTCCTTCCTAGTGCACAGGATTTATTATTTATTTTTATTTATTCATTCATTTATTCACGTATGTATGTATATTTAGTTTTTGAGACATGGTCTCGCTCTGTCACCCAGGCTGGAGTGCAGTGGCGTGATCTAGAGTCACTGCAACCTCCATTTCCCTAGGTTCAAGTGATTCTCATGCCTCAGCCTCCCAAGTAGCTGGGATTACAGGCGTGCCACCATGCCCGGCTAATGTTTGTAGTTTTAGTAGAGATGGGGTTTCACCATGTTGGCCAGGCTGGTCTCGAACTCCTGGCCTCAAGTCATCCACCCGCCTCGGCCTCCCAAAGTGCTGGGATTACAGGCGTGAGCCACTGCACCTGGCCAGGATATGTTATTTACATACAGCATTTCTAGGATTAGTTCTTTGTCAAAAAAGATACCCGCATGCAGGAACAATGCATTCAGTATTGGATATATGAACTATATATGTCATGCTTGGCTACTCTGTTGCTGTAAACATTCTTAGTTGATCTTTGTTCCGTGTACCATTTCATTTAGGGGCATGAAACTCATTTAGGGAAACTCATTAGGGCAGAGTAGATTGTTACACTCTATTTTGTTAATATTCCTTATAAACTACTAGTTTATGTGGACCATTATGTTATTTCCAATTTTTAATCACAACTTCCTGTGCTCTTTTAAATGAATGAATGGTGTTTTTCAAGCTCCCAGGGCTGGGCAAGGCTGCATTGCAGTGGCTTATTCTTGTCTCGAGTGTTGACTGAACATGTGCTTTTTTACAATCTGTTTCAGTCATCACTGTTAAGTGCCGTGCTCGGGGAATTGGCCCCAAGTCACGGGCTGGTCAGCGTGCATGGAAGAATTGCCTATGTGTCTCAGCAGCCCTGGGTGTTCTCGGGAACTCTGAGGAGTAATATTTTATTTGGGAAGAAATACGAAAAGGAACGATATGAAAAAGTCATAAAGGCTTGTGCTCTGAAAAAGGTGAGTGATGACTTTTGGATTTCATGTACTCGAATGTCCAGTAATACTAGTGTTCACTTGAACAACAAGGTTTATTAACTTTTTTTTAATTTTTAAAGACCTTTGAATGTTATTTAATACTTTAAGGCGGTCCTCCCAGTAAATAAACACACACACGCTCTGTCCTTTTACGTCTGATGCGAAAATGATGTTTACAGGGTGAATTTCGGGGGTTTGGTTGGTTTTGTGAAGTTTTATTTACTTTTAACTTTTCTTTTTTTCAAAATGGACAATTATAAAAATTTGCAAAAGTGGAGAGAAGGGTGTCTTGAACCTGCCTGTACCCATTGCTCAAGTTCAAGTGCGATCAACTTGTAGCCAATTCAACTCCGTCTCTCCCCTGGCCCTCTGCTAGCTCCACCCCCAACCCAGATTCTTCTGATGCATACCCTTGGCCTCAATTGTATTTTATCTGTAATTGTATTTTATCTGTAATACCTTATTACTTATCTCTAGAAGATAAGAACACTTTTGAAAAAAAATTACATCTCACTCAAGAAAAAAAATCACCAGAATTTCTTGCTATCATCAACCGGCTAGGCAGAGATTACAGTGCTTTAGTATCTCATTACCCATTGGTTTGCGTCAGACTCCGGAAGATGTCTGCACCGTGCACTTGGCTGATGTTTCCTGCTTGGGTCCCTCTCAAACCACAGGTTTCCTTCTCCACTCCCTTTAAAAAAGAAAATTTGTTTCAGTAGATTTTGGGGTACGGGTGGTTTTTGGTTACATGGATAAATTTACAGTGCAATTTATTATTTAAAGGAAACTGTTTTAAAATTTATTTTTCATTGTGTATCATTTCACCAAGAGAGTGATTGTTTTCAGAAAAGATGAAGTGTTTGATTGTACACTGAGGTTTTCATAAACCTGGTGGATAGTTGATGAAAACTGAGCATACTTAATAGAGGGCTATAAGTTCTAGAAGATAGAAAAAATGGTAAATACTGATAAATACTATGTTACCTTCTTTGGGCCATAAAAATCAGTGAATAATGGCATTAAAGGGCTCTCCCCAGGCCCTGTGCAGTGTGGCCTGGACATCCTACTGTTCTTTTATGCTGTCTGGAAAAGGCCGCCACAGACTGTCACAGGTGTGATGCAGAAGGCTTCCAGCCAGGTTTGTGAGGAATGAGTAATTTTGCTTGAACAATGGCTGGAATATCAGAGTCTGTCAATCAGGTGAGTAGTATTTGCTGGCGATTTGGATAGAGAAATCATTGCTTGTTTAATGGGCTGTTTCTTCATCCTGGACTATTGTTAATGAGAGATGATGCATTTTCGGAAATGACATTAAGTTAGCAGTAATGAGCTAGATTTTTATTGAATAGTATACACTATATAGGAAAAGATGCGCTAAGGCAAGCTCCTAGTTATTCAGATCCTACCAGGTCTTATTTTTTTTTCTCTGTCTCACACGCTCACACATATGCACACACAAAGCTGTGTAAAGTTTTAATCTTTTGCCATGATTTCCCAGTGCCTTTGCTATTGCTATCCTCATTTTGTTTATTTTTCTGATATTGCTAGCCTCGCTTTTTTAAAGTAAAATTTTCATTTTATTCAAAGTTTGTACAGAATTGCTAACATTTCCCTAAAATAATTACTATACTTCAGCTTGTCCTGCTCTGGTGTCCCCCCACTGTCCCCTGCTTCCCTGAAGATCCATTTTAGAGAAATTTTGCAGAAATATAGGGTCAAAGTAGGAGAATATACAAGGTGATTTCAGTGTGTTGCAGTGAGTGGAGTGTATCATGTTTTAGGGAGTTGAGAAACAGATGGCAAATTTTGCTAGTTTTCCCCCACTGGTAGTTACAGTTGATAACCAAGAAACTGCTGATGGACCAGGCCCCGGAGATAGGAAAGATGGTACGCCATTTTTCAATGGAAGGGTGGCACTTGGCAACCTGGGCCTTGTCTTTCAGCTCTTTTCTTCCATCATTTCTCTATGACAGGTTAGAAGTGAGGTCCTTGGGACCAACACAGGGCTTTCTTGGGAAGGCTTTGTTGCTCTTTACCTACTAATCTGTCAGTTTGGAGATAACCTACTAGTAAACTCTAGAATTTAAGAATGATTTGTTCAAGACTGTGGTTTCAAGAGTTGAATGTTGCTTCTGGCTGGTAAAGTGGAGGGTTGGAGAGATAAAATGACTCACTTGAACATTTGCAGTTCAAGTTCAAAGCCATACCTGCCTAGCTCCAGATTCCATTTTCCCCTCTGCCAGGCACCTCTCAGTTGGGGGTGTTTATAAGGTAGAAAACTATTTTAACAATTAGGTGATTGATAAAAAGGTAGAATGTGGGACAAAATGTTTTTCAAGCCTTCCCTTTTTACCTGTTCAGCTTCTGATACCCACATGAGACTCCAGGTCCCAGGTCACCCAGCTCTGCCTTGCTCCTTCCCACATCAGAAAGTCTCTGGGGGAAAGTGGGGGTTAGGACAGTGGCTGCCATTCAGCCTCTTCCGTAGCCACCTTTGAGGACTGGCCCAGTAACTCGGATAGTGTCCCAGGCACCTGCGGGCTTCTGCGTGGCAGGCAGACTCCAGTGGCAATGGGGTCCCCTCAGGGCTGGGCTGCATGGCGACTTCTTGGTTCCTTCCTGGATGTGTGTAAGCATGGACTGCTGGCCCCCTGTGCATGGTTCCATCCTCGGTAGGACGGTGGGCCTCCGGTGGTGGAGAAGTCGAACAGAGCAGGAGTCTGGCCCAGCTTTGTCATTTGCTCGCTGTCACTTTGGGTTTTTTTTGAGATGGAGTCTCGCTCTGTCACCCAGGCTGGAGTCTAATGGTGTAATCTCGCCTCATTGCAACCTCCGCCTCCCAGGCTCCAGTGATTCTCCTGCCTCAGCCTCCTGAGTAACTGGGGTCACAGGTGTGCGCCACCATGCCTGGCTAATTTTTTTGTACTTTTAGTAGAGATGGGGTTTTGCTGTGTTGACCAGCTGGTCTTGAACTCTTGACCTCAAGTGATCCACCTGCTTTTGCTTCCCAAAATGCTGGGATTATTTGCATGAGCCACTGCGCACGACCAGCTCGGTGTCCACTTTGGACTTGTCACATTACTTGCCTTGGGCTTTTGATGTCTCTGCTGAGAAATAAGGACATGGGATGAGATGGTTTCCAAGAAATTTTGCTACCATTCTCAAATGCCATTTATGACTGTTTAGCAGGGGACTGGAAGAAACCAGGGATCCTCTTAATGAGTTATGAGATCATTTGCCGACTCCTTTTCAAATCCACGTGTCAATGGTGGGTGTTAGATGGCCATAGAGAATAGCAATACTGGAATTATTCTGGCTTGTAGGTACAGAGATTGCATGTGTAATCAAAACCTGCTGGACAGAAATGGTCCTGAGCGTCTCTGGGTGTTTGGCCTCTGTTTCATTTCTTATTAAATGGGGGAGATACAGCAGGATTATAAAGACTGCAGGCAATGTCTGTAAAATGCAAACATGCCAGGTTTTTGGTAAATAGTAGCTGTTGCCCTTTTCTCTAAATCAGTTAATAAGATAAATAAAAGATTTTGCCTTATATAGTTCCTCATTCCCCTCCTGGCCACCCTCCCCCGCAAAAAAAAAAAAAAAAGTCCTAGAGGAAAAAATAGGAACTAACAAGATTTCTCAGATATGTTGATAGCAACTAGATATATTGTACTAGATACAGTTGAAGTAAATTTATAAGTTCATCGAGCTAAAAATATATTTGAGATAAAATAATAAGATAGGAAGTAGTAATTCACATTTAGCAGTATTGCTTTAGGCTAATTATTTATTCAAAGAGATATCGTAGCAAATGACAGGACATACCTCAGGAAACAACATACTAATGTTAGATACTTTAGTGGGTAGTAGTTAAAATCCGAGGCCTTGGGGTCAGACAGCTCTGGGATTGAGTCTCAGTTCCTCTTCAGTAGGTGTGTGATTTTAGCTAATCGTCTGAACCTTAGAAAGCCTCAGTTTTGTCATCTGTAAAATAGAGATAATAAACTATTCACCTCATAGGCTATTGTGAGGATAAGATTTGATCATGAACTTAAAGCATCTGATTACTAGGCACATAACAGGCCTTCTTAATTATAAGAGCCACCAATTTTGGGTAAAATCACATGAAATGTGACATGCTTGAAAGAATGTATCTGAGTATATAACTTCCATTATTTGAATTGATATTTATATAGGGTTTCTATACATAGTACAGTAAATAAGAGAATAATAAAAATATTGTTACCCTAATAGATGCAATGTATTAATATTATGTCACCCTTTGCATAGTTTCTTTTAATCCTTGAGCACTTTTAAGCAGTGTGTATCCAAAAAGGCATGGAATTGATAAATTGGAGTTTAATGTTTTTCTATATAGCTCACTTGACTCTACAAACCCCTTTGGTGTACCCACTATCTTATAATTTCTTCTCATATTTGCCACATTCCTGCCAACTTGGACATTTTCTTTTTAGATTGCCTTGACAATCATAAAATAACTGTTGTTATGCCTTTTTGTTGTTGTTGTTAATCTCTCAGTTGGGAGAACCATATCACTCCTTAGTGACATAATAGGAAATAAATGCTGAGGGCCCGGCGTGGTGGCTCAAACCTGTAATCCCAGTACTTTGGGTAGCTGAGGTGGGAGGATTGCTTGAGGCCAGGAGTATGAGACCAGCCTAGGCAACATAGCAAGACCCTGTCTTTTTTTTTAAAGCTGAGTACAAAAGGGATACAATGAGGTGAATCTAACTAGGGTGACTAAATGAACTGATAGTGCTGTATATGGATAGAGAGACTTCGAGTTCTGAGTTGTTTCAGTATTGCCTTTAAGTAACTTCTAGCAAGCACTTGGGGAAGCATGATATGAAAGGGCAACAGGCTGTGAACTGAGATGAGCTTGGTTCAGACTCCAGCCTTCCTTTATTAACTGAGAGTCCTCAGTCCAGTTACGTGCTCTCACTTCATCTCAGTCTCCTCATCTGTGAAGTGTGGTCACTACTTACTTGGCAGGTTGTCATGAAGGTTAGAGATAACACCAGGCATCAGGAACAGTGGTTGGTGCATAGCTCTTACATCCAGGAGCTGACCTGTGGAGCAAGAAGCTGAGTACACACATAAACATTAAGAGGCAGAATATGGCAGGTCCTTCCTAAGAAATATAAACAAAGCCTTAGGAACCTAGAAGAGAGAGTGATGTTTTCTGATTGGGGGACTGCAGGTTAGTTTCATAGAAGAGTTTGAGCTGGGCCCTGAAAGAAGAATAGGATGTTGATAAGCTATGACAGGAAGGGCCATTCCAAATGGAAGCAAGGTGTGGCCCAAAGCTGGAGAGCCCTGCTCTCTGACTCTGGGGCCTCTTCTTGTGCTGGGGCCTCAGGCCTGGCCCCTGTGACCATCCCCATAGTGTCCTCAGTGGTCTTTCTGCCTTTAGTGTCACCATGGTTGATGTGCACATGGTAGGATTCTGGTTAGATGGCGTCAAACCCACATAGCCACGTCATGGTTTTTCTCTAGTTTCTGTGTCTGCATTTCAGTAAAGGTGGTGGTAGATTAAATAATTGGTTAATTTTACTGAGTGGTACCTAACGTGCATGAGATACCTTCCTCCCATTGGGAGCACTTCTGCTTTCTGCTCAACTGTTTCCCTTTAGCCAAACTAGAAAATCATGGCTAGGAAATTAGCCTGACTCAGATTGTACTTCAGATCCTTTGAAATATTTTCCCTGTCTGAGGCGTGTCCATAAATAGTTTGCCAAGTCAACAACACTCAAGGTCGTTGTAGTACTCAAAGTGCTACTACCAGGCATGGGGAGAGAGCTCCTTCCCTATTCCCTGTCTGCATGAAATGAGACAGATATTTTTAGTGTCTTTTCTAGAAAATGGCTAAGATTGCTCTGCTACAACTTGATGCTATTTTGAGAATGAAAACAAAACAATGTAAAATCAAGGCACAGAAACTTAACACATTATATAAAGACCATCAGCAATGGAATGAGGCCAAGTAAACAATGTGTGTTTGTGTTTGTGTGGAAGGCTGGGACCCTGTCTTAAAATGGTGCATTGTCTTTTTATGAAAACTGAAAGGAAGAGATAGTGTTAACTGGTGCATTGTCTTTTTTTTTTTGAGATGGAGTTTCACTCTTGTTGCCCAGGCTGGAGTGCAATGGTGCGATCTCGCTCACTGCAACCTTTGCCTCCCAGGTTCAAGCGATTCTCCTGCCTTAGCCTCTCAAGTAGCTGGGATTACAGGCATGCACCCCCATGCCTGGCTAATTTTGTATGTTTAGTAGAGACGGAGTTTCACCATGTTGGCCAGGCTGGTCTTGAACTCCTGACCTCAGGTGATCCACCCGTGTCGGCCTCCCAAATTGCTGGGATTACAGGCGTGAGCCACCGTGCCTGGCCGCGTTGTCTTTTTATGAAAACTGAAAGGAAGAGATAGTGTAACTTCTGAGCTCAACAAAGAGATAACGTGAAATAATGAATTTTCATAATGGGGCACTTGCTACCTTTCATTTGATGCCATCTGGTTCAGATTGGAGTATTAGGGGACTCCTGTGTGTCTTAGTGGGCTGCCAGGGAGTGGGTTCCAATGGAAATACTGTTTTTTTCCATTTGGTGATGTACTTTATTTAGTGGGATTCATGCTATGAATGGGGTCCTGCTGTTGGTTTGATCAGAAAATATGTCATAGTCATCAATAGCAAATGATAATGAACTCAGATCCTTTTTTCACTTAGAGAGTTCATACCCTTACTTTAGATTGTTCCGGCATTCTATGAGTTTATTAATTCTTGTTTCTCCAGGATATTTTGTAAAAGAGATAAAATGAGAACTTAGGGAGGTCAGAGGATTTGCTTGTCATGGAGATCTCAATGTGCCATTTGCTTTGTCTCCCCGGCTTTGTCAGAGTAGAGACAAAGAAATGACACCTTGATCTGTAAGAGGGCTATCTCTGTAGTGTCCTAGGTTGATGCTTATGCAGCTCAGTCAATACCCAGCGATGTTCTCCACACCTTTTGTCTATGCTAGGATCTGTCTAGTGATAATTATAGGCCATCCAAGTAAAGATTTCTAATGTAATGTCCTGTAACTTAAACCTGATCATTATCCTGTTATTTTCAGGGATGTTCTTGTCATGTTTTTTAAAAAAAGTATTATGCTTTGTCAACTTATTTCTTAAATAATTTTTAAATATAACTTTGGTTGGATCCTCAAATAAAAACTTGTTTTCCTTCCTAGCTTTTGTTTTTTGGGGTCTTGCATGGAGCCAGAGTCTACTTAGTGCAACCAGTCTGTGCAGTGTCTCATGAGCACTCTGCTCCTTTCCCTTTGGCTTTTCCTGACTGGGCTGCTCTTTCTGCTCTTATTCTTTGCAGTTTTTTTTCTGTCAGTCTATTGTGATGCCTTAAGCATCACTGTGAAGATGGGGCGGGTGTTATCCCTTCTCTGAGAATGGAAAGCTGAGGCAAAAGTCGCAAAATGGCTTGTGAAGACACAGTTGTTCCTTAGTAAGTCCCGTGGCTTTATGCTGACAGCCCTCACGGTTGGGTCTCCAGCACAGACCTCCAGACTCACTTATCCAGCCGCAAGTCAGGATAGCCGGTCAGCATTTCAGTTTGGCCATAATCAACCTTTTGATTTTATCTCTTGAATCTGCGTCCCTCATTTCCCCCAGCTCAGTAAATGGTAACCCTGTTCTTCCCTTGTCTTACACCAAAACCAATGCAGTCCTCCTCTTTTTCTATCACAACACAAACCCATCTCATCAGCAGATCCTATAGGTGCTACCTTTAAAATTTGTTCAGCACATGACCACTGATGTTCACTTCCTTGTTCCCCACTCCGGTCCCGGCTACTGTTGTTTCTTGTCTCAATTATTGCCTTGATCAGATCATGTCCTTCCTCCTATTTCCCTGGGTGTGAGCCCTTGGCTTCTCTTGCCTCTGTCTCTGCCCTCCCCTGCCATCATCCTGTGCTCGCAGTTCCGTGTGCATCCATATTGCTCTTCTGTGAACACCTTGGGCACGTATCACCCCATGGGTTTTGTGCTTGCTCATTCCTCTATGGAGCACTCTTCCTGCACTCTGTGCCAGCCAGTCCATCCCCTGACAGGTCTCTGCTCAGACCCCCTCGATCAGAGCCCTTGTTGACCTCCCTATATAAAGTGGACTTTCCCTCTGTCACTCTGTCTCCCTAAGCCAGCTTCCTTCTCCTTCTTAGCACTTATCACCTCTTACATTTGTGTCAATCTTTTATTGTCAGGTCACTCACTGTGGAAACTCTTTCGCTGCTGAATTCACAAGGAGTTGCTGCTCAAAAAATTTCTGTTAAAATGGCTCAGTGCATAAATGCTATGAAAAGCTACAGCATTAAAATAGATAACGTGCCCTGACTGTGTATTTGATAGGTTCAAACTTACAATTTAGTTACTATGAAATATTTCCATTGCTGTTGATCAAATACATGTAAATTTCTGAAGAACTAATGTGCAAAGTTTAGGATAACTTTGGAAGAACACAAAGAACAGAGGAAGAACATGTTTTAAGTCTCTTTTTCCCCCCTTCTTTCCTTTGTCCATACAGGATTTACAGCTGTTGGAGGATGGTGATCTGACTGTGATAGGAGATCGGGGAACCACGCTGAGTGGAGGGCAGAAAGCACGGGTAAACCTTGCAAGGTAAGTTGCATTTCAGCAGCCACTATGCCGGTGTCTTTTGATACCTTCCAGTGGTGGTGAGCACATAGGACCTGCTTACTGTGTATTGCGTCCTGTGTGAAGCACCTTCTTGGGTTATTCTGTTGGCATTTGAATGAACATCCCAGTTGTTGAAAGTTGTCATGTTCCTGGGTGAGAGTCTGATACCTCTTTGTATTTTCTAGAGCAGTGTATCAAGATGCTGACATCTATCTCCTGGACGATCCTCTCAGTGCAGTAGATGCGGAAGTTAGCAGACACTTGTTCGAACTGTGAGTGTGTTTGTGTCTTAAGTCATTTCTGCTTTTCCAGAGCCATTTCGAGTTGGCTCAGGAAAGCCTTTATGGCTTTCAGCTCATCCTACTCTGGTGTCCGCTCCCCTCCCCACACTGTCCCCTGCTTCCCTGAAGATCCATTTTAGAGAAATTTTGCAGAAATACAAGGTCAAGGTAGGAAAATACACAAAGTGATTTCAGTGTGTTGCAGTGAGTGGAGTGTATCATGTTTTAGGGAGTTGAGAAACAGATGGCAAATTTTGCAAGTTTTCCCCTACTAGTAATTACAGTTGATAACCAAGAAACTGCTGATGGACCAGGCCCCGGAGATAGGAAAGATGGTACTCCATTTTTCAATGGAAGGGTGGCACTTGGCAACCTGAGCCTTGTCTTTCAGCTCTTTTCCTCCATCATTTCTCTATGACAGGTTAGAAGTGACGTCCTTGGGACCAACATAGGGCTTTCTTGGGAAGGCTTTGTTGCTCTTTACATACTAATCTGTCAGTTTGGAGATAACCTACTAGTAAAATCTAGAATTTAAGAATGATTTGCTCCATAGTAGACTGTGGTTTCAAGAATCTAATGTTGCTTCATGGATTCTTACCAGAGTGAACACTTAAAACCCACAGGCATGTAGGCCTGGCTTGCCTTTGAAACTAGTTGTCTAGAATCTGGCTTCCCTCCCAACTCTTACGTGGTGTTTCTGGGA
Organism: Homo sapiens; assembly: GCF_000001405.40. Taxonomy (NCBI): domain Eukaryota; kingdom Metazoa; phylum Chordata; class Mammalia; order Primates; family Hominidae; genus Homo; species Homo sapiens. The sequence goes on along the minus strand of NC_000013.11, from coordinate 95,176,994 downwards.
TTTTCTTTCTTTGGCTCTTGCTTAGACACTGAGCCATGGAGGTAGAACTACTCTGGAATCTTTTCTGTATATTCTATAAACTCATGTGTGCCGACTGACACTTCCTACATAGTCTAGACTGGCCTTTTTGAAAGCATTGTGAACTGGTTTTGCCAAAACAGCACTCACATCTGCCCCACAGTCAGCTTCCTGTTTTTCGCCTTGTTAAAGTCAGTGAGCCTTTCCCACTCATTGTAACCCTTCTGCGCACACTGAGGTAGATGCTCCTGCAGATGCTACTGCATGAAACATCTTCGCTTGCAGAGGAGGGCAGTCAGCCACAGAGAAGATAAGCACCCATGCTGGGCTGAGTGAGAGAGAGACAAGTTCAGATTTCATTCTTGCCCATAAGGAATTTGTCTCTGCATGGATCAAGACTAAGTGCATGGGAAAAGTTCAACAGACCCCAAGGCTTAGGGGATTTCAATATAGGACAATCTATTTTATTATTATTTTTTTTTTAGATAGGATCTCGCTCTGTTGCCCAGGCTGGAGTGCAGTGGTGCATTCTCAGCTCACTGCAGCCTCGACCTCCTGGGTTCAAGAGATTCTCCTGCCTCAGCCTCCCGGGTAGCTGTGACTACAGGCTAGCACCACCATGCCCAGCTCATTCAGTGTTTTTTTGAAGAGAGGGGGCTTTGCCATGTTGTCTAGGCTGGTCTCCCTATGTTGCCCAGGCTGGTCTCGAACTCCTGGGCTCAAGGGATCCACCCCCCCCCCCCCCCCCCCCCTGCCCTCGGCTTCCTGGAGTGCTGAGATTACAGGTGTGAGCCCCTACACCTGGCATACGACAATCTTTTTTTTTAAATGGAAGAAGTGGGCAGCAGAGATTGGAAAGGTCACTGAGGGCCGGGCTTGGCTGGAAGTAGCCTGTGGTCCTGCAGGCTGGTAAGGGTTTGTGGTGGCTGAGAGTAGGATTCAATTCCTTTGAAAGAAATAGTAGAAGCAGAGGTGTGCAGACGGGAAGGAGTGAGGCCTGTGGGAAGGACAGCAGGCAGGCACCTGTTCCTGTGGTGGGGGATAGAGAAGGTACCGTGAGAGAAAGCTCTGGAAGTCCTGTGTTGGCCAGCCAGGGCTGCCCTCACAAAATGCCACAGGCTGGGGGGCTTCCACAGCGGCAGGTTGTTTCTGCAGAGTTCTGGAGACTGCATGTGTGAGATCAATGCATCTGCAGGTGCAGCTCCTCCCGAGGGCTTTCTTGGCCTGCTGATGGCTGCCTTCTCACCCTTTTCTCCTTGTGTCTCTGTATCCAAATCTCCTCTTCCTGAAAAGACACCAGTCAGATTAGAGTAGGGCCCACCCTCATGGCCTCATTTTAGTGTAATTACTTCTCTAAAGGTTCTGTGTTGGCCGGGCACTGTGGCCCATGCCTGTAATCCCAGCACTTTGGGAAGCCGAGGCAGGCAGATCACCTGAGGAGTTCGAGACCAGCCTGGCCAACGTTGTGAAACCCCATCTCTACTAAAAATACAAAAATCAGTGGTGGATGGTGGCGGGTGCCTGTAATCCCAGCTACTCTGGAGGCTGAGGCAGGAGAATTGCTTGAACCCAGGAGGTGGAGGTTGCAGTGAGCCGAGATAGCGCCATTGCACTCCAGCCTGGATGACGAGTGAGATTCTGTCTCAAAAATAATAATAATAAAAAAAAAATTTTAAAAAAGGTTCTCTGTTCAATTTCTAAGGTGCTAGGGTGAGGGCTGGAACATAGGAACTTTGAGGGGAGCATGGTTCAGTCCATAACAAGTCCTGGATAGCAAAGTGGATAGCGAGTCGGCTGTGTGAGAGTAACTCATCTCTGGGCTCTGGATTCCAGGGGTTTGGACATGAAGTCATCCACTGAGCATGGGGCTCTACGTGGGTTCCTGAACGTTTACCCACCAGAGTGCGTATGCAAAATGTGCCTGGTATGGGATGATGAAGTGGATGTGTATGATGGTGATGGTTGCACAATGGTGTGTATGTACTTAGCGCGACCAAGCTATACAATTAAAAATGGTGTAAATGGTAAATGTTATGTCTTGTCTATTTTTCCACAACCAAAAAAAACGTGGATGGCAGCATTGAATCTTTCTGAATGCAGAGTGCAGGATAAGCTGGCACTTGGCATTGCCGCAGCAGTCTGATCAGAGCCTCGTTTCCTGCTCCCTCCTCATTGTGCCTTGATGAATTTTCCATTTCGCCGAGAAGGGCCTCTGTGGCTTGCTTGAGTCTTGCGCGAGGCCCCACCAGTTCTTTATCACTCAAACAACAATTCCCGGTGGGACGCTGTTTAGAGTCGCCGCGGGGAAGGAGGAAGGTATTTTCATTGCTGAGTATCAGTGTGCGTATCGCACAAGCTCCCTCAGATTTTCATTTGAACACAGGAGGTATTTATAAAGTCCTCTTGCACCTTTAAGGATTAATGACTTTGGATATATGCTTGTTAGAAGCAAGCTTGTTAAAATTGTTGTTTGCTAATCAGAATCACATTCTTTGGGGAAACTTAGGGCAGGGAGCACGAATGCAATTTAGGAAATCACTCAGCAGCAACTGGAGAATGTTCTCAACGAGTTAGAAAATTGGATTGAACAATATGCTATGAAAGATGGCGGTTGTGTTGAAGCTTAGAAATGTGAAGTGTTTTGTATTAAAAGTGAATGAATTACGCTTCTATTTGCCATTAACAGTTTTACTTCAATCATGAATATATATCGAGAGTTGTTAAGAGTTGTGTTTTACAACTATATGTTGCAAACACTAAGTGGATTTTATCACATACAAAAAGTGAGGGTCACTTAGATTAAAGGATGCTAATCCAATTTGTTGCCTGCTATAGATGTGGTTGTGTTCTAGAAAGCCTCAAATTCTCAGACCCCTGCCTCTTTGAGTCTCCTAATCAGATCTCCCACACTGTTGCCTACCTATTTGTCTTAGTCCATTCAGGCTGCTGATTCAAAATAGCATAAACTAGGTACTCCATATAAACAATAGAAAATTGTTTCTACAGTTCTGGAGGACAAGATTCAAGATCAAGGCGCCAGCAGTTTTGGTGCCTGGAGAGGGCTCACGCTCTGGTTCATAGACAGCTGTCTTGTCACTGTGGAAGGGGTACGGCAGCTTCCCTGGGCTGGCCCCTTCTACTAATACCATTTGTGTTGGCAGATTCTCATGAAATAGGCCTCACCTCCTAATACCATTACATTGGTGATTAGGGTTCAGTAGGAATTTGGGGAGGGCCACAAACATTCAGGCACAGCACTAGTTCACCTTCCCTCTTTCAGGTCCTCTAGGACTCCCCTACTTTTAAGCTACAGTTCTAAGTCCTCGAATGGCAAATTGCCCTTTGCAGTCTGCCCCATTCACCTTTCCAACCCTTGCCATGCAAGACCAGTCCTCCAGCCATGCACACTTCTTTGGGGTGCCTGGAAGGAGGTGTGAATTTCTCACGTCTGCCTGTCTGTAAGGGTATTTTTCCTGCCGTTGGACAACCAGGGATAGTTTGCCTGGGCAAAAGAGAAAAATGAAAGACACAGATCCTACCTCCTGCCTTTCTCTTCTGCTCCTCGGAGGGCATGGCGCTTTCTCTGTCTTCCCACAGCCCTCAATGAGCTGCTCTTGATCCACCTATGTGTTCTTCCCTCCAGCCCCCGCACTAGACTGCGAATGCATGAAGGTGCCTTTGCACAGCGCATTTGTGCCCCGGGACCATTGCACCTGCTGTATCTGCCAGGAATGCTTCCCCCAGATAGTCTCATGGCTCATACATCACCTCCTTGCAGAGAGGACTTTCCTGGCCACTCCCTCTAAAGTACAACCTTTGCCTGGCTGTCTCTTCATGGTTTACTTTACTATCCAATAGTGTGTTTTCTGTGTTTGTGTAGTGAGTGTCCCTACACGACTCAGGGTGTTGTCTGTTTGCTTGACCAGTGGATGTATCCTCATCACTTAGAGTAGTCCCTGGTACTTCGTCAGTGCTCAGCAAATGTATCTTAACTGAATGAATGAAGGTAGTGACTGTATCTGTCCCTCTCTCCCTCCCTCCATCCCTTCCTTCCTTTTTTGACAGAGTTTTGCCCTGTCACCCAGGCTGAAGTGCAATGGCATGATCACGGCCCACTGCAACTTCTACCTCCTGGGCTCAAGTGATCCTCCCGAGTAGCTGGGACTACAAGTGCACACCACCACTCCTGGCTAAGTTTCGTGTTTTTTTGTAGAGATGGGATCTCTCCATGTTGCCCAGACTGGCCTTTAACTCCTGGGTTCAAAAGATCCTCCTGCCTTAACCTCCCAAAGTGCTGGGATTATAGGTGTGAGCCACTGCACCAACTGACTATATCTTTCTCACTTGTGTCACCTCCAACATTGTATGTGTCAGCTCTTAATGTTGTCTTTTTTTTTTTTTTTTCCTTTTTGAGGCAGAGTCTCGCTCTGTTGCCCAGGCTGGAGTGCAGTGGCATGATCTTGGATCACTGCAGGCCTCCTGGGTTCCAGCAATTCTTGTGCCTCAGCCAGCCGAGTAGCTGGGATTACAGGCATGGGTGACCACATCCAGCTAATTTTTGTATTTTTAGTGGAGATGGGATTTCACCGTGTTGCTTGAACTCCCGACCTCAAGTGATCTGTCTGCCTCAGCCTTCCAAAGTGCTGGAATTATAGGCGTGAGCCCCCGTGGCTGGCCTCTTAATGTAGTCTTTATGTAGGATTAGAGTTAAATAGCTCATTGCTACATCAATCACTTATTATTTGTTTGTTTTATGGCATGACTGGAAGATTTTTACTCTTAATAATTTGGAAAGTATTTTTTGAGATTTGCCTAAGAAGCATAATTTAGAAAAAATTTCAAGCCATCAATTACAATGTTAGTGTAATTATTTCTATTATCTCATCTACAATGGAAGATGTTAGGAAGAAAACATTTTGAAACCTTTGAGTTGGCTGATACTGGACATAGCACCCATCAGATTTGATCATTAACATCTCCCTTTAGATATGTATATAAAAGGACTAATGGCAGCCAATCTTGATATAAAGGGAAACAGTTTCATTAAAAGCTTTAGTACTAAACCTGAAGAGGGGTATAAGTACTAAACCTGAAGAGGTATACTAGATTGAACAACTTAGTTTTGAAATAAGCCAAACTAAGATATGTGAAAGGGGAAAAAATAATCCTTTTGGACGTAAAGGATGAAGTGATAGTTTACATATCTGCAGTCTGGAGTTGTGGTTCTGATCACAGGCACTGTCTCTAAAATACTTGCTTATGACTTCTCAGTCCTGAATTTCTAAAAGCAGTGGCTGCATATGAGGAAGACTGGAGGACAGGGCTAACACTTATTGAGCATGAGTTATGTTCTTGGCCCTTGTTACAGATTAATGCTTTTCTTTTCTTTTTCTTTTTTTTTTTTCTCCTTTTTTTCTTTTTGAGACAGGGTCTTACTCTGTCAACCAGGCTGGAGTGCAGTGGTGTGATGACGGCTCACTGTAGCCTCACCTCCTGGGCTCAAGTGATTCTCCCACCTTAGCCTCCCTTCTAGCTGGGACTACAGGTGTGTGCCACCACACCCGGCTAATTTTTTTTTTTTGTAGCTCCCAGGAGTCTACGTTTACAATGTAGGAGAACTTTGAGTGGGTACCGTAGAAAACAAACAAACGTCAGAAAACTTGATGGTTGAATACTGAGGTGGGTCTTATCTTTGAGCCATATGGTTTGGACTGTTTGGATTCTGTTTTTCCATTTTCTTATTCAGACTGTTTAGGACTAATGAGAGAAGTTTTGCTTCCTGGATGAGACCAAGAATACTGTGGAGAGTCACATGTCACTAGCATTTGTTTTCGTATCTAGTATTATTTTTGAAGAAGAGTCTGGAAAATGCACTCTGGCAAAGGTTACCAAGAATCTAAGCCTTTTTGCGGGGGGTGGAGGGGGGGCGTTGATATGTGCATTATAAATTATCATCTAAGAAACCGTCCAAGAAAAATGCCGCGTCGTTACGTGACCTCGATCTTTCTTTCTCCCCTGCAATCCTACACGGCAATAAAATAATTAGTGTTTTAGTTAAGTCAAATTTTTGAATGTCTATGTTAAACTAAGTTTTAGGAAAAAAAATTACACTTATTGCCTCCTTCCCAGAAAACTTTTGAGGATTTCACCACAGCAAGGCTCGTATTTGCTGCTAGTGGTTTTGAGGACCTAGCCGGCTTTATTGGCTTATATTTGTATTTAGTTTGTATTTAACCTCTAGATCTTTGACTACTGTGTTGTCTTTGACTACGGTTTCAAAATGTATGTTTTTCAATGTGGAGCACCCCATTCATGCATTTTTTCACCCTGTGCCTTTTACATTTATAGGTGTATTTGTCAAATTTTGCATGAGAAGATCACAATTTTAGTGACTCATCAGTTGCAGTACCTCAAAGCTGCAAGTCAGATTCTGATATTGAAAGATGTAAGTAGTTTCTAGAGGTCTCCCGAACTTGCAAGTACTTGGGTGTGTTGAATCCCCTTCTTCTTCCTCCATTTCATGTTCCTTTCTTCTCAGAGCTGGGATTCATGTTTTTAAGTATTAACTCAAAAGACTTGTAGAAATGTCATTATTACATGCTAAACCATATTACCGTAAAGTATGTAAAATTGCTACCTCAAGGTTACTACATTGTTAAAGAAAATGATGCTGTTTTAATTTAGAACTTTTTGTTTACCTCTTCCATGACTTAATTCAAATTGTATTATTTGGAAATTACAGACTCTAAGACCTGTTTGTATCCCTTTAATTGTCATGCATAGTTTGGCTAAAGATCCTCTTCTATTAATAGCAGAAATGGCTGGGCACAGTGACTCAGGCCTGTAATCCCAGCACTTTGGGAGGCCGAGGCAGGCAGATCACCTGACGTCAGGAGTTCAAGACCAGCCTGTCTAACACGGTGAAACCCCGTCTCTACTAAAAATACAAAAAATTAGCCCAGCATGATGGTGCACACTTGTAGTCCCAGCTACTCAGGAGGCTGAGGCAGGGGAATCACTTGAACCCGGGAGGCGGAGGTTGTAGTGAGCCGAGATCATGCCGTTGCACTCCAGCCTGGGCTACAGAGTGAGACTCTGTCTCAAAAAAATAAAAATTAAAAAATAATAATAATAGCAGCAACACAGTTGGATAACTGAGCAACCCCTAGTCACAGCACCCACTTTCCTGGAATAGCCAGCAGTTAGTGTCACTGCACAGGAATTTTTGAGTGCCTGATATGTGTGAGAGCTGGTATAGCTATAAGTAAGACAAAGTCCTTGCCATCGTCGGGCTGACATTCTTCCTGGAGATAGATGCAAGGAAGGAAATGGAGGGGTGGGGTTGCCTCGCTGGGACTTGAGGTACAGTGACGTGAAGGTGCTGACCATGCGGTCACCTGGGGAGGGCATCTGAGGCAGGGGACTGGCAGTGGGGTCCTAAAGCTGGAAGTTACCTGGTGCATTTACAGGAACATCAGGGAGGAGCAGAGCAAGCCAGGGAGAGCCTGGAGAAAGGTGGGCTCAGAGCAGTTGTCAGAGGCCCTGGAACTAGGACAGAGGCTACTGGACAGTCCAGAGCAGTGGAGTGACATGGTTTGATCTGTGATTTTAAGAGATCCTCTTTGTTGTTGGCTGGAGGAGCTACAGCAGAAGTAATTTGAAGTCTTAGTGGTTCACAAGACAGAAATAAGGGGTTGGTCTAGTGTGTCAGTTTCCTAGGGCTGCCAGAACAAAGTGCCACACATTAGGCAGCTTACAACAACAGAAATGTATTGTCTCACTGTTCTGAGGCTGCAAGTCCAAAATCAAGGTGTCCGCAGGGCCGCGCTCTCTGAAGGCTTCAGGGGAGAATCCTTCCTCGCCTCTCCCACTTTCTGGGGTTTTGCTGGCACTCACTGTTGATCCTTGGCTGGCAGTGCAGCCCTTCAGTCTCTGCCTCTGTTGTCACATGGCATTGTCGCTGTGTCTCTCTGGCTTTCTTCCTATAAGGACATCAGTCACTGGACCTAGGGCCCACCCTACTCCAGTATGACCTCATCTTGTCTTGATTGTATCTGCAAAAATCCAGTTTTGAAAAAAAAGGCCACATTCACAGGTAACAGGATTTAGGACTCGAACATATCTTTTTAGGGGGTCATGGTCACCATTCAACCTATAAGAGCTAGCGTGGCCGGGGACATGGAGGTTAGTGAGAACTTCTCAGCCCAGCGGTGGTTTCATGCAGCACTCCTTGGCTTGTTGCCTCTTGCCTCAGTACCCTGGTCCTTAACCCTTCTCTGTTCCAGGCCCTGGTCAAATTCCTGATTGTGGGTCTGAAACCCGCTTAGTGTCTTCAAATGTTTTAATGTTTCTCCTCCTGCAATTTCTTAATAAAACGATGGAAATAACAAAAACGAGTGTTAATTATATTTTATAAGATCTGTGTGCACCGTTCTCCAAGGGAGATAAATTTCACATTATTGCAACAAACGGGGTATATAATGATAGCAAAGCTCTTGCAAGTCTTGTGTGTAAGCCCCTCCTTGCTGCCTAAAGAACAGTGAGGAATCTGTCCACTGAAGTCCCGGCAAGTGAATTCTCACCCTTAAGAGGATTATCGAAGGCAGAACTGCTGCCTCTTCAGAAGTGGTTCCGTGTGCTGGCTCTTCCCCACTCCCCCAGGAATAGGGAGCCTGGGTTCCTCAAACTTGAAAACAAGTAATTTCTTATGCAGAGGGCTGAGACTAGTGTGGCAAAACCTGAATGCTGGTACATTAGAGTAAAGTCTGTGGGTGGTAGAATAATCTTTCTCCAAAACAACCATTTGGCGAGGCGCGGTGGCTCATGCCTGTAATCCCAGCAATTTGGGAGGTCAGGGTGTCGGGGGGAATCACTTGAGGTCAGGAGTTTGAGACCAACCTGGCCAACATGGTGAAAACCCATCTCTACCGAAAATACAAAAAAATTGGCTGGGCCTGGTGGCGCTGCCTGTGATCCCAGCTACTCAGGAGCCTGAGGCAGGAGAATCACTTGAACCTGGGAGGCGAAGGTTGCAGTGAGCCGAGATCGCGCCATTGCACTCCAGCCTGGGCAACAGACTGAGACCCTACCACACACACACAAACCATTTTTCCACTGGTGGGCACCCAGGATGAATGTGTGTCCATTCTTGCTTCTTGCTGTCGACCCAGCCCCTTCCCTAACAGCAGACAGAGCACGGTTCCCCCTCGGAACCCACTCTGCATTGCTCCTCAGTACTCGGCTTCTGAGGAAAATTGCCATCTCAGTACCAGTAGGAGTTTCCTTGTGTGTCTTACAGATACTATGTGAAAAGTGGTCATTTTATCAAACTAGGTGTGTCACTTTTACCTCCTGTGTGGAAGAAGACACAATGTATCATGAAGCATTTTTGAATTCTCCAGTTATCAAACTGGTCCAAAGGGCCCAAGGTGTCGTTGGATTTTCCTCAGTGGACCCACCTTTTGGGGGTGGGGAGGATTGGGGTAGCAGGGAGGGTCCTGGCCACCTTCCCCCACCTGACTTGCCTTAGCCAGGAGCTGCTCTCCTTTGATTTGTTTTGTATTCTGGGAGTTTGCCTAATATTTTGTTTGCTGCTGTTTGAGGAAATCAGTTGGGTCTCATTTCATGGGGTACACAAATAGTAAAGATATTTGTACATTATTTTCTATGACTTTGTAAGGAGAGAAAACTGTGCAAGGTTGTGTCCCATGGAATGTCGAATTTTCAGTTAGGAACTCCCTGAGTCTTTGGGGCAATTATTTATTTATTTATTTATTTATTTATTTATTTATTTATTTATGAGATGGAGTTTCGCTCTTGTCATCCAGGCTGGAGTGCAGTGGCTTGATCTCTGCTCACTGCAACCTCCGCCTTCTGGGTTCAAGTGATTCTCCTGCCTCAGCCTCCCGAGTAGCTAGGATTACAGATGCCCGGCTAATTTTTTTGTATTTTTAGTAGAGGTGGGGTTTCATCATGTTGGCCAGGCTAGTCTCGAACTCCTGACCTCAGGTGATCCACCTGCCTTGGTCTTCCAAAGTGCTGGGATTTCAGGTGTGAGCCACTGCACCTGGCCTGTGGGGCAATTTTAGAGTAAAGACCGTGAAGGTGCAGTTCATGGGGTCTATGTCCAAGTCTGGTTCCCACACGCCTTTTTCCAGCAGGGCCCATGGCCAGTGGAGGCTTGTGGAGTGCTTCCTACCTGTGCAGATATGCCTGTTCCTACCTCCCTATCAGTGTTAGGTTTCTTTCCTGGAATATCCTCCTCAATTTACTCATTCCTTCAATTCTTATTGCATAAGGTTTATCACAGTTTTCATGTTCTGTAATAAGACTACCAATACGGTCACCAACATCTGTGTGATAATAATCGCCATTTGTAACACACTATTACCATTTTAAAAATATTCTTCAGGACCTAACACAGAGTCTGGCTGAGAACAGAACACTCAGTTGTGTATCAAGTTGAATTGTATTAGATTTGTCAACTAGGATTCCGGACCTAAGTATAATCATAACTTAAGATCAGTTACTTTTTCTGGATTAGAATTAGATTAGGTTAACATTATCACCTGCACATGTATCTCTCTGAAATTCTTTATTTTTATTTTAGGGTAAAATGGTGCAGAAGGGGACTTACACTGAGTTCCTAAAATCTGGTATAGATTTTGGCTCCCTTTTAAAGAAGGATAATGAGGAAAGTGAACAACCTCCAGTTCCAGGAACTCCCACACTAAGGAATCGTACCTTCTCAGAGTCTTCGGTTTGGTCTCAACAATCTTCTAGACCCTCCTTGAAAGATGGTGCTCTGGAGAGCCAAGATGTGAGTTCACCTCCTGTTACAACATGGCCTGGTTTTGTTCACTGTTAATGGCCTTATGGATCTTTGGTCTACTCTGTTCAAAGCTTCATCTTTTGTCCCAAAGTGGATTCTGTGGTTTCAGGGCTCTATTCCATGATATTGGTAGATTAAAACGGAACCAAGGCAAACCACCCTGGTTGGAGTTATCCTTTGTATGTAGGCTGGGGAATGTCAAGGAGGTGAGTAGCGGGTGTGTATGCTGGTGCAAGTCCTAAGCTGTGTGTGACTCACACTAATACTACAATTCTTGAATTTACTGTAGTGAAATCCTACTTAGTCTGGTGGCCCCCGACTTCTCTTTGCATCTGGAGGCATAATTTGAAGACCCCCTTAGAGAAAGTCCTGCTGTGGGCCACATGAAATTAGCCACTTTTCCTGTATGTTGGAATGTTCTGATGCTGCAGGTGGCTGATGGAGGTATTTTGCCCTGTTGTCAGATGGTTTATGTTAGTTAGGCCAGAAGTAGCATGTGCAAAGACCCAACAGTTCCTGACACACAGCAGCCCAACTTCCTTCTTTACCTTTCAAGAATAGGAGCTGCATCTTACTCACCTTGGTGTTCCCAGTGGCCAGCATAGAGCTGCTCAATACATCTTCAGAGTATGTGAATCTCATGCCTTCTAAGTCCTCCGGGCAGAAATGTACCAGAGCTCACTTAAAAGCATAGATATTCCTTGCCACACAAACCCTGACTATCCAAATCCAGGAGACTGAAGGATTCTTGCAGATATTCAGATTAGGCCCTCACATGCCAAATTATCAGGAGTCAATTTCTGAAACTCAGGAACCAAATAGATTAGGATCATATGCTATCCCTTCCTTTCCAAACTCTGGTTACTGAGACTCACTGCTTGACCCCAGTTACTGTGTTGAGCTCATGTTTTGACCCCCTGCTCTTTTATGTTTCCATCTTGAGTGATGCAGTTGAGAGTTCCATATCTTTTTGTATATGATTTTGGAACAAGTTTCTGTATTGACACTTGAATTTGGGTGTGCTAGGTAAGTGCTGAACATCCTGATGGCATCCTTCCAGCAAGCCACGCCACAATGTCCAAATGATATTTCCTTATCTCTAGTAGAACCTTGAAAGTGGGATGGCTGGGTCCAAGGATTAGTGCATATAGCTGGGTGTGGTGGCTCATGCCTGCAATCCCAGCGCTTTGGAAGTCCGAGGTGAGAGGATCACCTGAGGTCAGGAGTTCCAGATCAGCCTGGCCAACATGGTGAAAACCTGTCTTCACTAAAAAATACAAAAAATTAGCCAGGCGTGGTAGCAGGCATCTGTAATCCCTGCTACTCAGGAGGCTGAGGCAGGATAATTGCTTGAACCTAGGAGGCAGAGGTTGCAGTGAGCCAAGATCGCGCCACTACACTCCAGCCTGGGAAACATGAGCAAAATTCTGAGTCAAAAAAAAATTAAATAAATAAAAAATAAGTGGATGTATAGTTTGGCTAGCTATTTCCACACCCTTCTCCACAGGAGATGGATCATTTTGGACTTCTGCCTGTTTCCCCACAGCTTTGTCAACAGAGTGCATTGTCATCTTTGGGAACAGTTTTGTATACTGTTTTGTCTCTTACCACCTTTTTTCCTCTGCAGACAGAGAATGTCCCAGTTACACTATCAGAGGAGAACCGTTCTGAAGGAAAAGTTGGTTTTCAGGCCTATAAGAATTACTTCAGAGCTGGTGCTCACTGGATTGTCTTCATTTTCCTTATTCTCCTAAACACTGCAGCTCAGGTAAATAATGACATTTGTTTTGCGCCCTCAAAATGATATTTACAGTACCTATGTTTATGCTATTATGACTGCATCTTGCAGTTCACTTGGGGTCTGAATTGAAATGTGCTGTCTTTGGGGAACAAAGTGAGGGCTGCCTACTGGTGTTCCATGTCCGTTACAAAGACCTGCGAAAAAAGGGTATCTTTCAATGATTTTAAAATGGAATATGCATTTTCTTGAACCCTTGATATCTGGGAGTTTGGGCTTGGCACAGACCTGAGCTGGAAGAACTATGCGAGTTCTCTGAGCCTTTTATTCTTTCTTTCTTTCTTTCTTTCTTTTTTTTTTTTTTTTTGAGATGGAGTTTTGCTCTGTTGCCCAGGTTGGAGTGCAGTGGCGCGATCTTGGCTCACTTCAACCTCTGCCTCTGGGGTTTAAGCAATTCTCCTGTCTCAGCCTCCGGAGTAGCTGGGACTACAGGCACATGTGCCACCATGCCCAGCTAGGCTAATTTTTGTATTTTTAGTAGAGATAGGGTTTCACTATGTTGGCCAGGCTGGTCTCGAACTCCTGGCCTTAAGTTGATCCGCCTGCCTCAGCCTCCCAAAGTGCTGGGGTTTACAAGCATGAGCCACCACGCCCGGCTTTGAGGGCTTTCTTTCGGTTGTCCATGTTAGCGATTGAGAGTTTTGAGTTGGTAAGTCATGCCCAAGTTTGATTTTTGTCTTTGTTGTTTCTCCCCTCCTAGGTTGCCTATGTGCTTCAAGATTGGTGGCTTTCATACTGGTAAGTTATTTCTGGTCTGATGTATGAAATACTCCAAAATCAGTAAGAAGACTCGCTTTTCCATAGAGTTAGAGGGAGGTGTTTGTTGATCCTTCTCTTCTAATCCTCACTTCGTTTACCCGAAGAAAAATTAGAGTGCTTGCTGGTGGAGTGTAAACTGCGGTGGTCTCCACCCATGTCTGATCCGCGGCATCATGTTCACAGACAGTTTCGGGAACTGAAAGTTGTGATTTAAATTGAATTTTTATAAGGTAGATATACACAAGACTAAGTGAGCTGAGAATCATTTTCCAGCATGAAGCGTTTCTCCCAAATTGTGGTTCATTTTTAAAAAAATGTATTTATCTAAATTTCATATATAGCTTAATATTTTTTTCTCCCCATGTTCCATAGGGCAAACAAACAAAGTATGCTAAATGTCACTGTAAATGGAGGAGGAAATGTAACCGAGAAGCTAGATCTTAACTGGTACTTAGGAATTTATTCAGGTAAAGTTTAATCATTTGGTGTATTGTATGAGAGGCTGAGGTGCTTACAATGAGCCTGTGTGAGTAACTAGGGCTTCCAGGAGTCATTCAGTAATGTCTTAACAGATCAGGAGTCTCAGTCGAATTTACTCTGTGAATTAATTAGAATAATTATTTTAAAAATCTACTAGAAGAGAGGTTGACTGAAGACTCTTAATTTGCTCTGTACTGGATTTTGAAAGTTAAACCAGGATTGAGCATTCAGAAAATCAGCCACTGGAAATATGTGGCTATTGTCTATTCTAATAGGTTGCTTTAGCTAAATCTTATATCATTATACGGATGGGCAGGGGGATTAGAAACGGATCTCCACCCTGTGGTTCGGATGGTTCCAATTCTGTCTAAATAAACCCTGGCTTTTATTGAACTTGGATGAAATCCTCTGGCAGCAAGGCCCCCAAAATAAAAGCATTATTCCCTCCCAGGTATGCAAAGCTCCCTTCAGCACTGCTCATCTCCTGGGCTTCACTAATTACTTAAGAGGGAAGCTGAGCAGGGAAAAATCCAGTGTCTGGGAATTAGGATGCCTTCTATTTCTTACCTTGAGATCACAATGTTATCGCGTCCCCAACTGTGTGATTAATTTAACATTTGGCTTGCCAGACTAATATTAACGCCACACTCTGTTTTCACAAGAGTGCTTAGAATGTATGTAGCATTACATACTGTTTAAAGAAAATCTTCATCTAAAATTTTAAATATTTCCACAGGAAATGCTCCTACAAGCTTTCCTCAGAGATAGAGTGAGTTATCTTTGTAAGAACCTACTCAGTGAAATTTGGTGTTTATTTCATCGATCGCTTGCTAAGAAATCTAAATCTGTTAGGTGTTTACCTTCCAACTGATGGACTATGTGGAAACTAAAGGAAGAAGGAAATCTATTATGTTCTATTATGTTCGTGTAGGATGGCAGGCTAAGGATAATGCCCGTTGATGGAGTTAGGAATTTGAGCTGCTTTCAGAGGTTAAATAACAGTGACATGTCATCTGAAAGGGAAATATTTGTTATAGAAGTTACCCCCACTGTATTTAGCATTGTGAATGAAGAGATGTTAGGAAAGCTCTTTTAATTTCTATGTGAATAATGGATCCTCATTCATGTCTTAATAAAATGTATGATTTATTTTATTCATTTAAAAATGTCTTGTGTCTATGTAAAACAGTGGGGGATTAGTTGCTTATTTAGATTAATTATCTTATGTTAAAATATAATTTGTGTTTTCTTGCAATTCAATTATTCAAGAGGTTTTCCACATGCAACTTAATACGGTATTTTTAAATTCTTTAAAGCTACTTGGGCATTTTCTACAAGGAAAAGGTAAATCATTTCTCCTATTCCTTGTTAATATCACATGTTGGTATCAAAACATACCACCTTTTTTAGATTATGGGACATAATGTAAGTAATAAGATTTGGAATATGGAGAAGATCAACTACACTTCATGATTATCTATCCTACTTCTGAGTTTTTAATAGAACTTGCAATTGAATTAGAGCCTAGAATGAAATTGTATTATACACCTGATTTTTCTTTTCTGTGCAGTTTCCATTCAGTGAGAGAAAAATAAACTATTTTAATCCTTCTTTGTCAATGTATTTTGTAAATACATTATACTTATGTAGAATCCAGATGCTTTATGGAATAAATTAAGTAACATCTTTATAAACTACCTGGCTTGCTTTAGCAACTATTGAAGAAAATGCAGAGATATGCTGTGTTCTCTAAGTGATATTTCTTTATTTCAGGTTTAACTGTAGCTACCGTTCTTTTTGGCATAGCAAGATCTCTATTGGTATTCTACGTCCTTGTTAACTCTTCACAAACTTTGCACAACAAAATGTTTGAGTCAATTCTGAAAGCTCCGGTATTATTCTTTGATAGAAATCCAATAGGTAAGTCTGACACCAAGTTTCTCAGTAAGTATGTCTTGTTAACAACACATTTAGGATCTGATTACATTTCCATCTTTGAAAATGGAAGGGATGCTGGGAAGAAAATCACTATGCATGTTGATTCATTTTCCACAAGAAACTTCACTGATATTTTTCTCCTACCAGAGAAAATCTAAATATGCGGGGGGAGGGGGGGGCATACAATCTTTTATTCCAATTTATATGTGTGTGGAAAAATAAATGAATGTTCACTTTGCAGAATGCTTTAGGAATCCATTTGCTGTGAGGCAAGTGAAGCATCCTGCATTCCCTGTAAACATGTTTAAATGTAGTTGAATAGTTGCTAAACATTGGCTGTGTTTACATAGTGTTAGGTTATGCCATTTTTCAGAGGGATCTTTGTAATCAGGAATGCTCTGACGTGAGACAGGCCGTGCATTTCTTTCTTTCATTGGGAAACCCGTTCATTTCTGGAAACACAGGGTTTTTGTACATACCCTGACTGTGAGGTTTCCCTGAAAGATAATATGTGGTTAATTAAAAGCCAAGATTGATAAAATGTAAACTCCCCTTCAAGAACAGTTTCTAACTCTGTGGTTTTGAAGTAGACTTTTGGTTCTATAATAGAGACTTTGTTGAACCTGCCATATAGATCTTCAGTAGCTTGTTTCCTAGGTATACCCAACTATACCCAGTATTTTCCAAGTGGTTGATGCCTCTGCACTATGCGCTTCTTATCTGTCCTGCTTCTGAGGCTAGCCTTCCTGACCTGGGTTCCTAGGGAGAATTAGTTGTGCCTATAAGTCCCCACCCTGCTCAGTTGAGTGGACTTGTGGGGAGGCCTGAGTGACATTGTGCAAATGATAACTGCCCTCATAGAAGCAGGGAGGTGGCCTGGAGAGAACACAGGCACAGCTTTGGCCTGGCCATTGACTAGCTTTTTGACCAAGGCCAGAGCACATAGGTGCTATTACACAGGCAAGTCTCCAAGCAGATGCTGTAGTTCAAAGTGTGAACTCAAGCTAACTACCTGGGTTCAATCCTGGTGCTGGTTACTAATTGTTATAGCTGATTATAGTTACATTCATATTCATGTCCTAGTTACTTAATTTTTCTGTGTCACAGTTTTCTTATCTGTAAAATAGGGATACTATTCATACCCACCAAATTGAAATCTTATGAGAATTAAGCATGTTAATACATTCCTAGCACATGAAACTGGGTGTAGCAACATGGTCAGTGCCTAACGAATGTTAGTGACAATGAAGCCATGTATCTGTGAACTGAATCACCTTCACTGTGGGGTGGAAATTACTCCTACCCTCTCTGTTTTACATGATTTTTGTGAAGATTAAAGAAGACTGTTCTGGAAAGCATCTTGTGTAGATTTATTTAACAAATACTTTTCAGTCCAAGCACTGTGCAACGTGCAAGGATTTGTAAACTGCAGAGACCACACAAATATCGGTCTGATTTCAGCTGTTATTAGAAAGTCATTGGAGGACCTCTGCGCTATTACAGCTGTAACGTTGCGCCACTTTGCCAGTTAATTTGAAACTACAGTCATAACATTTGGAGCATTAAGTGGGACTGCCTTTCTGTTATCACAGGCCTCGGAATGCTCATGACTACCATTAACCAGCCTCTCCATGTTTGAGACCTGTGGGCTTCTCCTCATGCTGATTTATTTATTATTCAGGGATTTGGGACCCAGTCTAAATCTTGGAGGTGACTAATCTTACAGCAGCACCTGAGTGTTTATCTTGCTTCCTCCTCCTATATCTATTAGCATGACTTTATTCCTTCAACAAAATAGAAGCCCAAATAAGTACCCCAAGAGAGGTCTACTTTGTCCAAAATGTTTAGAGGTCATGAATTATTTACTTTTTTTAGTGGTAGATGTTGAAAAAATGTAAAAATTAAAAGTTTTTTAATGGTAGAATTAAAATTTTCATTTAGATAAAATTTTTGCACTTTTTACAATGGTGAAGGATACACAAAATCTGTGAATTACGCCTCAGAATTCACATTACTGATTGTATGCACTTCAATAGTTATATATATATATATATATATATATATATATATATATATAAAATTTATTTAGAAATAAGGTCTCATTCTGTTGACTAGACTGGAGTGCAGTGATGTGATCACAGCTCACTGTAGCCTTGACCTCCTGGGCTCAAGCGATCCTCCTGCCTCAGCCTTCCAAGTAGTTGGGACCACAGGCCTGTGTCACCATGGCCAGCTAATTTTTAAAATTTATTTTATTCTATTTTGAAGAGATGGGATCTCACTATGTTACCCGGGCTGGTCTCGAACTCCTGTGCTCAAGGGATCTTCCTGCCTCAGTCTCCTCAAGTGCTGGGATTACAGGCATGAGCCACTGGACCCAGCCGGCTTTATAATATAAATAAAAATTCCCCTCTATGATAGTGAGGCAGGCATGCTCGATTTTTCAGTACTCTTAAACATACATGTTAAATATGTATAAGTATCTGGCATGATGTTGTGCCCCCTGAATTGCAGAGTGTTCTTTGAGTGGGGTAGAAAGACTGGGAAGCATGTCTGAATACTTAGTTATTAAAAGCAAGCTCTTAGAAGAGCCCCGGGGGAGTTTCCTATGAGCTCAGCATCCTGATATTCTCCCAGGTTTTAGAAAACTTAGGAAACGGGGAGGACCTCTGCTGGCATGTAGTTTCCAGTAAGCTCACCTTGGGATGGTGACTGGCACAGAAACTCCAGGTGATTCACACCGGGGGTCTGGCTAGACGTCCCTCATATCCCCATCTCCAGTGCCCTTGTGCTGGAATATTCTCAGTGACTCTGGTCTGCAGCATAGAAATGTCTTCTCCATTATTTTATGTCCACTCCCACCCCAGTGTGCCATCCCCCTCATCATGCTTCTGCCCAGATCCTCATCTGTGTGGTTAATGAATGGGCGACCCTTGCTGGTGACTCAGAGAACCAGACCTTCTGGAAGGGTCCCCCTGACTGCCCCACTGTGGTCCCAAGTTCACTTATTTGGATTTAGGGAGAAGGGGAAGGTAAACCTGGAAGGTCTGTGTTTCTTCTCAGCAGCGAAGTTTCTGTTTCTTTTTTTTTTTTTTTTTTGAGACGGAGTCTTGCTCTGTCACCCAGGCTGGAGTGCAGTGGCGTGATCTTGGCTCACTGCAAGCTCTGCCTCCTGGGTTCATGCCATTCTCTTGCCTCAGCCTCCAGAGTAGCTGGGACCACAGGCACCCACCACCACGCCCGGCTAATTTTTTGTACTTTTTTAGTAGAGACGGGTTTCACCGTGTTGGCCAGGATGGTCTCGATCTCCTGACCTCGTGATCTGCCCGCTTCCACCTCCCAAAGTGGTGGGGATTACAGGCGTGAGCCACCGCGCCCGGCCTGAAGTTTCTGTTTCTAGGAAGGCCACGCTTCTCCAACATGCCAGATATTAAGTTCCTCTCCATTTCGAACCCACCTATGGTTGCATGAAATTCATCTTTGTTTATATAATACAATACCTTTTTATCTACTGGCCTTTCGTTAACCTGATAAATCTTAAGCTAGCAGGATAAAATGTGAGCCAAACCAGTGTGCTGCCTTAGAATGACAAGAGCCAGTTCTCTCTCTCTTTCTCTTTTCTTTCTTTTCTTCCTTCCTTTCTTTTCTCCTTCCTTCCTTCCTTCCTTCCTCTTTCTTCCTTTCTTCCTGCTCTGTTGCCCAGTCGAGTGCAGTGGCATGATCTCAGCTCACTGCAAATGTCCACCTCTTGGGTTCAAGCAATTCTCATGTGTCTATCTCCTGAGTAGTTGGTATTACAGGTGTCTGCCACCACATCCGGCTAATTTTTTTTTTTTTTGTATTTTTAGTAGAGACAGGGTTTTACCTCCTATTGGTACTGAGATAGCAGTTTTCCCAAGAAGCCAAGTACTGACGAGCAATGTGGAGCTGGGTCTGAGGGGCAACCATGCTCTGTCTGCTGTTGGGAGCGGGCTGGGCCCCCAGCAAGAATGGACACACATTCATCCAAGGTGACCACCAGTGGACAAATGGTGACTGTTTGTGTGTGTGTGTGTGTGTGTGTGTGTGTGTGTGTGTGTGTGGTAGAGTCTCACTCTGTCGCCCAGGCTGGAGTGCAGTGGCGTGATCTCAGCTCACAGCAACCTCCGGCTCCCAGGTTCAAGTGATTCTCCTGCCTCAGCCTCCCGAGTAGCTGGGATTACAGTGTCCACCATCACACCTGGCTAATTTTTGTATTTTTAGTAGAGATGGGGTTTCATGATGTTGGTCAAGCTGATCTCGAACTCTTGACCTCAGGTGATCCACCCATCTTGGCCTCCTAAAGTGCTGGGATTACAGGCGTGAGCTACCGCGCCCTGCCAAGAGCCGGTTTTCCTTTCTCGTCTTTTTATCCTCCTCTCACCCATTGCTAGTTTTTATTCTTTCCTCTTTTGATGTAGGTTGGTGATGGGATCACGTGTGTCTGTTAAGAAGCCTTACATTTTCAGCTGCCCTCGGACACCTCCTTCATATTTTGATTATGACCTGAGTTGAATAGGGCATTTGCAGATATTTTCTGGTACTGTTCGCTGCATCTACCTCTTCCTAGTCAGTTTTTGTGTGTGTCTTAGCCCTGTTTCCGTTCTGTTCCAATCATAATAAATGGGTAACACAAATCCTAGGTCAAGAGTAAGTCTTCAGAAATTAAGAGATGATTTTTATTTTAAATGTAAATCCTGTTTTCCTGGCATGGGCAGAATTAATTTTGCTTTTGATATCCAGCACAAGAGGGCAGCATGATCTGCAGTATTTCAGTGATATAATGTAAGAGCACCTCATTGCAAAACCTGGTTTTTAATTTAAAGCTTTCTTGGAAATTCTATTTTTATAGCTTGGGTCTTTGTATCTTGATATGTGTTAATATGAAATTTAAAAAGTAATATTGTGGCGTATTATGTTTGAAACATGAAAGTCTTTGTGGAAGATATTTTTCTGATGTTGTCCTGGAATACCTAGCATTTCAAACAGGGTTTTTTTGGATTTCCTAATTACACCTTCTTGACTAGTAACTGGAATAGGCAGACGCTGACATCTTGAGTGGTTGGATGCATTTTAATTCCTGAAGCATACATTATGATTTGCTTGTATGATGTTTCTGTTTTCTTTGTAAGCATGAGTTTGCAGAGAAAGATAGTTACACAGTTAGTTTCTTTAGTTTTCTTCCACGCCAACAGAGTTAGCAGAGACATTTTATTCTTATCAGGTCTCTACAATTTCACTCTTTGTTTTGGAGAAAAGATGAGCGGTTTGTTGTCCTGTTTTCTCATGCCTAATTATGGTGACATAACATTTAGCTAAGTACACTGACTCTAATGGGTGCCAGATAAATGTTTACTTGCTTTCAATTTGTTAATTTGGCTTTAAGAACCCAAGAGCTGGTGTTGGTAGAAGTGTTTGTTTACTCTCTCAGGGAAGTAAAAGTTAATATTGGGTTACAGCCAGTGTGTTTTACACAACTGGTTTTTCTCCAGTGTGTGCGTGGGGAGTATGTGTGTGTATGTATATTTATGTTCATCGATGCCTTCAACAGTGTAACAAAAAAACCAGATTCATATCATTCTTTTTTCTTTATAGATTAAGGTAAATGAGAGCTAAAACACTAGATAAAAGAAAAAAGAAACATATTGACTTCTTCCCATGTTTCTTTTTTTTAATCCAGTGGAAGATGCTTGTGGTCACTGAGGTATGGAATGCGAATGCTAGTACTAGATTTTAAGATAGACATATTCTCCTATGTTCCCTAATCAAAAATCGAGGGTTGCCCCAGTGATTAAGATTCTCAGCTTTTAGCCAGGCGTGGTTGTAGTCCCAGCAGCTCGGGAGGCTGAGTCAGGAGGATTACTTGAGTCTGGGAGGTCAAGACTGCAGTGAGCTGTGATTGCATCACTGCACTCCAACCTGTCTCCAAAAAAAAAAAAAGAATGATTCCTTCCCAGCTTGACTGAATGGGAAGTTAGGATGTGCATCCTACAGGAATTGAGGGGAGGAGGGTGGTAGTGGTTTGAACTATTGTTCTGTTTCTGAAACCTGGAAAGGGACTCTGGAATCCACTACAAGTTGCTAAATAATTTGTGGAGAACTGAAAGCAACCTCCATGATGAGCTTTTTATATGATCAGAAAGACTGTCTTGCGATACTCTATAAAATCTGATGTCCATATCCCACTTCCTTGCCAGAAAAAAAGAGTCATCAATAAAGAAGAAACATAATTGTAGGGATACCTATTTATCTGTTTATTCAGTTCAAATGACCACTGGAGTTGGTGCTAAATGTGCATTTTTAACAAGTATAATATTTCAGCACTGTCAAAATTACCTCTACAATAATAGGCTTGTTAAATTATAGCTCTATAAGCTAGGGGGTAAGATGGCTCTGCCCAGCACACATTAATCTATGCCTGTTCACACAAGTGATTCTGCTGAGCAGGTAGCATGTTTAAACAAGAAATACTGGTCCTAAAACCTCTGATTTATGGTAGGTGTTGTTTTGACACAGCACCATTCAGACAATTTACAAGGCAAAGCTTCGTGCTAAAATATTTCCTCAGTGTCATCATTCGTCACCAGTATAAATATTCAGTAGTGATGCTGGAAAATTGGTAATATGCCCATTGATGCCAAATCACTCGCTATGTTTCCTTTCAAGTGAGATCTGTTGTGGATATGGTTAAAAGAAACTATGATTTTTCTTCCTTGAGAGCAGATGAGCTGTAAGAAATTGAGAATAACAACCGTCCTGACAGCTTTCATGTACTCAATCTTGCCTATATTGCTTTTAATTCTGGCTTAAGTCCTGCGGGCTTTCCCTCCCACCCCCTTGCCTGATGCGTATTGTAAAGAACACATTTATATGTACATTAGTTAGTTTAAGAGGCTTTTTGTGTTCAAAGGAAGAAGTTAGTCATCACCAGAAAAGCTTTGTTGCAAAACAAAAACACACATTTCCCCTTTCATTTTTTCTTGTTAATAATAACAAATGCAAGTGACTATAAAGGGAATAACACAAAAGATTGCATCAATCATAATGATTCTCAATAGCCACATAAATATTGTTTTTTCAGCTTTGAATGAAACAGCTAAGAGTTTGAAGTAGGTGTGGTAATTAAATCCTGTCGGGTTATCACAAATTAAAAATAATGTTTTTTTCACATAACAATGGTTATATGTACTTAAACTCTTATCAGGGGTGATACGAAGTCATATTTTATGGGAGTTGCTCCTTTACTGCTAATAGTATCATAAAAGCCTTTGTTAGGAGTTTAAATAGTTACGTAGTTACATATATTTGATTGCTATTGTTATTTTGTCAGTAATCTGTATGTAAGCGATTACTGTAGCACTTGTCTACAGCTGGTAAATATTGCATCATTTTGGCATAATTTTTAATCTACTAGAATGTTCTGATTCATGGTTTTTCTCCATAATAAATCATACATGGAGATACTGACAACTTAGTAACAGAGAAAGCACTGTGTTTGTCCAATAAAATGTTAAAAAGATAAAAAACTAGGGAAGAATGTGCTTTGTTCAAAGTGATAATCATGTAATATTTCAGGAAATTATAAGATGACATTTTACTTAACTGTGTTAAATTGTTTTCCTATAGTGTATATAATGTGATACCTGCATGTATTTGTATATGCCTGTATCTCTCTCTCTCTGTCTCTCTCGATATATGTAAGTTCTCCACTTCAGTCTAATGTCCGTGGCTATGGTTTTAACGCCCCCCCATTAACTGATTTGATATGTGTTGTCTTTATCTTTATCTTCGGCTAACTTGGAACTAGCTAACTTGGAACTCAGGGCTTTGTAGCATATCCCAATATCTGCTGTTAATGTGTGCTTAGTAATTTGGCATTAGCCTATGGGATGTGTGACTGATAATAGTAATTCAAGTATTGTCATTTAAAACTGTCCCCCACTGTTAGATCAACATTATAGTTCTCTGTGACCTTATTGTCAGAAAAGAATCAAAGTATCTTCATGACTTAGTTCTTAGCTGTTGGATAACCATTTCAAGGGAAAATAGAACACTGTTTCTGGAATAACCTAATGATATTCCATTAGCCACTTGCAGTGGCCGATTTCAACATGAATAAATATTGATAAGTATATTACTGAGAGCCTAATATGTATAAAGCATAGTTTTTGGACACTAAGTGGAAGTTGTTGGGATTTGCTAGCTTGAAACGCTGTTCTGTTTTACTGTAAGGCCAACTGCTTCCCCTCAAAGATTTGACTTTGAAGTTCTCATATGAGAACTCTGGTTTTCATTTATAATTGGAGTTTTAATTTGAGAGTTTTCCATTTATAACTGGAGTTTAATTTGAGTTTTATATGAGAACTGATTTTCACTTATAATTGGAGTTTTCTTATTCCATTATTTTATTCCTTCCCCCTTTATTATAAACATGATTATTTATATTGCCATGAAGACAGTGGAAAAAAAATCAGAATATTTACAACGCTGAGGTTGTGACATTTTGTTTTCCATGAAGTTTAAAACATTTTTGCTTTTATCAAGTTTTTGATAGTGTTTATGAAAATGATAGTTACATTCTAATTTAGGTAATTACGTATTTACCACCCTTGTCTTATGTTAGCCTTGTTTCCCCCTTGTCTTCCTTGCCTTGTTTTCCCCTTGTCTTCTTGGAGCTTATCTGTTGTTTCCTTGCTAAATCCCCTGAGCCCAGGATTGGATACACTGTATCTGATTAGTAAATATTTGTTGGCTGGACAGAACAAGAAATAGTTCCAAGAGTGCATTTGCATCTCTTTAAGCAACACCCATAAAGAACAATGGGACTTTACAGTGTTGAAATAAAATTAGAGTGTTTTTTGTCTTACAGCTGGTACTTATATTAAATTTAACTCTTGCTTCCAATTTTCTTTTTCAAAAGTACAGTTTGTAATAGATTACTTTGGTGGACTTTGTTTCTGATACGTGATGGCCTGAAGAGAAAAACCGTACATTGGTTCTTTGGAAGCTGTGATTCATGGAACTAGACCAAGTTCTCCTGTTGTTTACCAGTCAAAGAAATGAAACTGTCAAACACCTAATAACTTTTTTGGGGGTTTAGTTGTGTGTTGAAGGTGACTTTTAACACTCTGTGGGTTAAGCGTCTGGTACTGTATAGTTTTGTTTCATAAACTTCATGCCCTTAAGAAGTAAAGAGAGGAATTAATCCATTTAAAATCATCAGTAGACATTGAAAATCTGTTCTTGCACAGGGAGTTGAGGTGTTGAGATGCCCCAATTCTGCTAGGATCATAGTTTGTGGTAACTAAGTCGGTCACATTACTTCTCTTAGCCTCAGGGTTCTAACAGGTAAAAAGTGGCTTTTTCATTCATCAAGCATTTCTTGGTCTTCTACTCATCGTCAGTTGTGGTCCCAAACATTGAAACAAAAGTACCTGTTTTCAAGGGACTTGCAAACTTAAATAGTTGCCGACAGTGGATGATGATGATGATGATTTCTTCTCCTTCTTCTCCTTCTCCTCCTTCTTCTCCTTCTTCTCCTTCTCCTTCTCCTCCTCCTTCTTCTCCTTCTCCTCCTCCTTCTTCTCCTTCTCCTCCTCCTCCTCCTTCCTTCTTCATTCTTCTTCCTTCTTCCTTCTTTCCTCTTTGTTCTTCTTCTTCTTTTTTTTTTTTTTTCTTGAGACAGAGTCTTGGTCTGTTGCCTAGGCTGGAGTGCAGTGGTGTGATCTCAGCTCATTGCAACCTCCGCCCTCTGGGCTCAAGCAATTCTCTTGCCTCAGCCTACCGAGTAGCTGGGACTACAGGCATATGCCACCACACTTGGCTGATTTTGTATTTTTAGTAGAGACAGAGTTTCACCATGTTGGCCAGACTGGTATTGAACTCCTGACCTCAAGTGATCTGCCTTCAGCCTCCCAAAGTGCTGGGACAGGTGTGAGCCACCACACTAGACCAACAATGGATTACTTCTAAAAACCATCCTGTGTCAGAATCTATGATCTCATATCAAAAAGATGCATATTAAAATTAATGCAGCTGCCAAATGGAAGTCTAGATACTTTTCTAGATACAACACACATGAGCATAGCTCCATCAGATATGTCTTCTTCATAATTCATTGGCCTTGATTTTATAAAATTTCCAAAAATGGTTCTTTTGGCACTTCAAAACCAATTGTGTTCAAAAGAAATCATACCAGTGGGAGTAGCAGAGGTGTTCAGGAAACAAAATAAATGATTCTTTATTTCAGATCATAATCTCTAAGCTTCAAGTGGACTCACAACAATTTCTAGCTAGACTCTTGACTGGGCCTAGATGCTTTTCTGAGCCACTGGGGGAGGTCTAAGTGCTACAGCTCAGCTTAGGAAAGTGTGTTGGAGAAAGGGGAGGGACTTCCAGTGTTGCCCTTTACAAGTACCTGTACACGCTTTGGGCTTTTAGAAGTATTGATAGGAGAAAGAACATAAGTAATGATATTTTCCCTGTAAGTAATGTTATCATGAAATTCAACTATGATTCACTGAGTGTTCTCATTCTTGGTCACCAGGATTAATGTTTGAGAAATTTCTTCCTCGTTTAAATAGAAGCTCTTTCATATCTCAAATAAAGACTCGACAAGCTTCAAAGTACATTTTGAGGCCCTGGCAGTGGGGAAGGGGGAGGGAGGGGGAGGAAAAAAACAGGACATTTTTGAGAGGAAGTTTATTAAAAACAAGTTCTCTGTTCTGGAAACATTTTCCTTTCATGTCTTGTTTGCATTTGCATTTTAATAGATTATATCACATAGGCAAATGTTCCAGCACCTCTTGAACACCTGGAAAGCCTGTCTTAGACTTGTTCTGGTGTTTAGAAATCTTTAGGCAGACAGTGTTCCAAATACAGTCATGCTCGCCAGGCATGGTGGCTCATGTCATATAATCCCAGCTACTTGGGAGGCTCAGGCAGGAGGATCGCTTGAGGCCAGGAGTTTGAAAGCAGCTCGGACAATAGCAAGACCCCATCTCTAAAAAAAATTAGCTGTGCACAGTGGTGTGTGCCTATAGTACCGGCTCCTCGTGAGACTGAGGTGGGAGGATTGCTTGAGCCCAAATGTTAGAAGCTGCAGTGAGCTATGATTACTGTATTGCCCCCCCAAGCCTAGGAATCAGAATGAGACCCTGTCTCTAAAACTGTGCAGCAACATCTGAGAAAACAGTATATCTCCCCTGGTTGATCTTCAGCCTGATAGTAGCTAATCAGACTTCTCTCTGAACTTCAGGTGGAAGTTTATAGAAATGTTCTTTTGCTTCAGTGACTGGTCTCATTCCTCACTCTGATTGAAGCACATAATAGAAGAGTTCAGAGATTTTGGGAGTTGGAGGAAAAAATAGCATACCCAGTTCTTTCTGTGTTCCGCACAATGATATTGGAACAGGGAATATAGTTGAAGCAGATTTACCCTTAAATATATTTTCTCCACATACAATTCCACACGCCTTGATCAGCAGCAGTGCTTTGAGGCATAGTTACAATCATGGATTATTTTTTTTCATTACCTTTACATATTTAAAAGTAGAGAAGGAAGGAAATGGTTGCTTTTTTAAAAGTAGTCATTATTTTTAATTTTTTTTTCCTCCTGTTGGTGTCAGAATGGCCTGGGCGCATAAAATTTATTTCCTTTGGGGGAACTATAAATGTATTCTTCTTCTCTTTTTGGAGAATAAAATGGTAGTGACATCTTACAATTATCCCATGCGAATATAAATCTTCTCTATATACTCCCTATTACTTAGCATGAAAATGAAAAGGGAGTCAAGTATAGTTTAATAAGTTCTACCAATGAACTGTATTGTAGACAGAAGTATTTCTTATTGGTGCCAAGTTGGAAAAGTTAGTCTTGACGTGGTCCTGTAAATGAAAGGAAAATCAACACATACATTTCAGGATCATGAGTGATCAGTGTCACTAGAAAAGTGTTCTTCTTTCACTTTAAGATTAAATAAATAGTTGTTGACATAAATAGCCGGGGTAATAAAAGGGAACACCTGTGTAATCCAGCCATCAGCAGTTTTATCGTACAATCAGATAAGCTGCTGTTTGTTAAGGAATTGTCAAGTCTTTAGACCAGATGAATAGATTTAGCTCATACGTTAGAGAATTTTAAAAACTGAACAGAAGAAGCTTTAATTTCCCTTGATGCCAAATGTTCTAACCACTCTCATCTCCTTTCACACACGAGAAGCTGTAGGAGTTTAAAGCTCAATTGACCTAGCCTTCAGGTATGTCTTCTTCCATTAGTTATTGCTGTACCAAAGTAGCTAAATGTTCTAGATGAGATTAGGGTTTGAAATTTTATATGGCAAAATAAGTACCTCATCATTTTTGGATAAACATGGGGTATTTTTTTTCTAATACAGCTCATCTTTTCTCTCCCTTTAATTCTCATGTCCACTTTCATTTGATGTCAAATGAGAGAGAACTTTGGTTGTCATTTAAGAGCCTCTTGATCAAAACAGTTATCTTAAGAAGCATTGATTGTGTGTGTGTGTGTGTGTGTGTGTGTGTGTGTGTGTGTGTGTGTGTTGTGATGGGTAGGGGAGAGGGAGAGAGAGACTTTTTAGTTAGCTTGTCCCACCACAATAAGAATTATATTTTTGGATTCTCTTAATAATATGTGAAATTTAAAATTTGAAAATTAATCAGCAAATAAGATGTCCTTTGACTTCACCCACCAGCAAATGGAAGGATTTTTCTTTATTTTCTAATAGGGGATTTAAATCACTATATGATTTGGGATCCATGGTACCCTTTTGGTAAAAAGCATGACTTTAGAATCAGCCTGCCCAAATGTGAATCTCAGCTCTTCCTTGCTGAATTACTTAAACTCTTTCTGCTTCAACTTATTTGTAGTATGGCGATGATATTAACAGTACAATCCTTTTTTTGTGTGAGTGACAATTAAGAGAATCAATATATGAAAAGCATTTGATATGGTACCTAACAGCTAAAAATTGATTTTTTTGACTAATTGAGATGATGAAATTTTAGTAGTCTTAAAAAATGTACAAATTCCAAATTTGCTAGTTTTGATGAAACAATAGGAGTCTGGGAAGGGTGTCTGTGTTTTCCTGGATGCAAAGAAAAATAGATAAATGACCAAGACTAACAAGCCACAAAAGAAAATCAATAGAGTATTTTTTTTGTTTGTTTGCATGTTTTCTTTTTGGTTGTGTTTTCAATGGGGCTTAGCTTCATTCCAGAGTTAATTTTAAATTTAATTTGGTTTTACAATGAGAGCTCAATTTTGCATGTAAGTACCAAACATCTGGTTTACTTTTTGTTTGAAAACGATA
Source organism: Homo sapiens (assembly GCF_000001405.40). Taxonomy (NCBI): domain Eukaryota; kingdom Metazoa; phylum Chordata; class Mammalia; order Primates; family Hominidae; genus Homo; species Homo sapiens. The sequence continues at coordinate 95,147,821 of NC_000013.11, read as the reverse complement.
CAGCTGAAGTTGAGTACAGAAGTCTATTGTGTAATTAAGGAAAGAGAGTTTGAAATTTTGTAAAATAAGTTCTATTTAAATGGAATATTGGAATTATTCCAGAGAAGTGGATATACTTCTTAGGAGTAGGAGAAACTTACATTATTTTTAAAAAATGCTATAACTAGTCCAAATGTATAAATTCTATGTATTCACCTTTTTCAAAAAGCATGAAAAATGACAAATTTCACAAGTGAAAGTTAAAGTTGACCTAAGGCAGTTTTAGATTGTTGAGCCTTCAAATTTTATTCATGGGATGTTTTTAGAGACAGTCTGTGGTTTGATCACTCCAGTTAATTCTGGGCAATCTTTCTACATTTCTATCAGATGGACATTCTGATATTTTAAAACTTCCTCTTGCGCAAAATATGTTTAAAGCAACCTGGGAAGAAAATGAGATTTCTGGTTAGTTCTTGTAAACTATAAATTATGTTTTTAAGACATTTAAAGGAATTATAAGCCAAACATAGATAACTCCTGTTACTGCACTATTACCATTAATAAACTAACAATTAAAATGCCGTAAAGTACTGACTGGATATAATACTAGCATTGTGATATATAAAAAATAGAATTTGGGGTGGAGAGACCTAAATGAAGATAGGACACCTACTAATTTTCCACCTGCTTGCCAGATAGTTGTGTCTTCAGGCAGAGACACCCAACTAGTCCAGAGTCTTAGGATTCAACCTCAGTAATGTCAGAAAGGCCCTCAGCTCTGAACTGCGATGATTCTCTCATTCTGTGCAACTCTTTTAGAAATAATTTGATAAGAGCTTAAGAAAGTCAAAAATAGGTTGTTTGTAAGACATCAGAGGATTTTTATAATAGTTTTGCCCCACCCTTGAATGTTTTAGAGGTCTGTTGTAGGACAGAGGTTTTGGTTTCTGGCAGTTGCATTCTAGTTCTCTACCAAATTGAGGATCAGCCAGAGGTACAATACATTTGGAATCTTGCCCTGTGTCTTATAATTTTATAGCAACATTATAAATTTATTTGACAACTTAAGCTTATAAAACTTCTGTCACTTCCGTTGTCTTGTTTCATCTGCAGTAGCAACAAAGCAACAAGAAATCTGTTGCAGTCTCTCTGCCTCTGAGCATCCACACAGTAGATCCACCCTCTTCTTTGCCTTCTTGCCCAATACTCTTGTTATTGTCCCTATCGGTTTTTATGTGGCAACCGCAGGGATGTGATGCCTGTAATTGAAAATTAAATGATTGCCATAAATCATTAATCAGACTGCAGATTATAACAGCATTTATTAAGCATCTTGGTAGGCCAGGAGTGTGCTGGGAATTTTGCATAAGGTAACCGGTTACTGTCTTGTGAATTCTGTCTGGGTATTTTCCTGTGTTTGTTTCTTCCAACTTTTATTTTTGGTTCAGACGGTACATATGCAGGTTTGTTACATGAGTAGATTACATGTGGTGGAGGGTTTGGTATACAGATTATTTTGTCACCCAGGTAATGAGCAAAGTACCTGATAGGTAATTTTTTGATCCTTGCCCTCCTCCTACCATAAAGTAGGTCCCAGAATCTGTTGTTGTTCCCTTCTTTTTTTTTTTTTTTTTGAGAGAGTCTTGCTCTGTCACTCAGGCTGGAGTGCAGTGGCGCAATCTTGGCTCACTGCAACTTCCGCCTCTGGGGTGTAAGCAATTATCCTGCCTCAGTCTCCTGAGTAGTTGGAATTACAAGCGCATATCACCATGCCCAGCTGGTTTTGTATTTTTAGTAGATGTGGGGTTTCACCATATTGGCTAAGCTGGTCTTGAACTCCTGACCTCAGGTGATCCTCCTGCCTTGGCCTCCCAAAGTGCTGGGATTACAGCCGTGAGCCACTGTGCCCGGCCTGTTGTTTCCTTCTCAGAGTCCACATGTACTAAATGTTTAGCTCCTGTTTGTAAGTGAAAACATGTGATATTTGGTTTTCTGTTTCTTGTTAATTTGCTTGGGATAATGGCTTCCAGCTCCATCCATGTTGCTGCAAAGGGCATAAGTTTGTTCTTTTCTATGGCTGCGTAGTATTCCATGGTGTATATGTACCACATTTTCTTTATCCAGGCCACCATTGATGGGCACCTAAGTTGACTCCTTGTGTTTGCTATTGTGAATAGTGCTATGATAAACATACAAGTGCATGTGTCTCTTTTTTTTTTTTTTTTTGGAGATGGGGTCTCCTCTGTTGTCCAGTGCAGTGGCAAGATCTCAGCTCACTGTAACCTCCACCTCCCGGAGTCAAGTGATTCTCCCATTTTAGCTTTCCAAGTATCTGGGACTACAGGCATGTGGTACCTAATTTTTTTTTCTTTTTTTTTTTTTTAGGTAGAGATGGGGTTTTACCATGTTACCCAGACAGGCTGGTTTTGAACTCCTGGGCTCAAGTGATCTGCCTGCCTCAGCCTCCCAAAGTGTTGTGATTACAGGCATAAGTCACCGTGTCCAGCCATGTGTGTCTTTGTGGTAGAATGATTTATTTTCCTTTGGGTCTATACCCAGTAGTGGATTGCTAGGTTGGATGGTAGTTTTCTTTTAAGTTCTTTGAGAAGTCTCCAGACTGCTTCCCACAATGGCTGAATTTCCATTTCCTCCAACAGTATATATGTGTTCCTTTTCTCTGCAACCTCACCAGCATCTGTTATTTTTTGACTTTTTAATAATAGCTCTTCTGACTGGTGTGAGATGATATCTCATTGTGGTTTTGATTTGCATTTCTCTGATGTTTAGTGATGTTGAGCTTTTTTTCATATGCTTGGTGACTGTTTTTGTCCTTTGCCCATTTTTTTTACTGGAGTTGTTTGTTTTTTGCTTGTAAACTTAAGTTCCTTATAGATTCTGTTCTTTTTGCTTAGGATTGCTTTGGCTCTTTGGACGCTATTTTTTGATTCCATATGAATTTCAGTATAGTTTTTCTAGTTCTGTGAAAAATGGCTTTGGTAGGTTGATAGGAAGAGCATTGAATCTGTAAATTGCTCTGGGCAGTATGGCCATTTTGACAATATTCCTATCCATGAGCATGGAATATATTTCCATTTGTTTGTGTAGTCTCTGATTTTTTTTCAGCCATGTTTTCTAATTCTTGATGTAGAGATCTTTTACGTCTTTGGTTACCTGTGTTCCTAAATATTTTATGTTTTTGTGGCCGTGGTATTCTTGATTTGGCTCTCAGCTTGGATGTTAGTGGTGTATAGAAATGCTACTGATTTTATGCATTGATTTTTGTATCCCGTAACTTTGCTGAAGTTGTTTATCAGATCTGGGAGCTGTTGGGCAGAGAATATGGGGTTTTCCAGGTATAGAATCATGTCGTCTACGAAGAGAGGTAGTTTGACTTGCTTTTTCCTATTTGGTTGCCTTTTCTTTCTTTTTCTTGCTTGATTGTTCTGGCTAGGACTTCCAGTATTGAATAGGTGTAGTGAGAGTAGGCCTCCTTGTCTTACTGGTTATCAAGGAGAATGCTTCCAGCCTTTGTCCCTGGGCATTTTCTAAAGTTATGTCGCCCATTCCTATATAGTATAATATTTTATGTTATCATCATGCTTCACCCCCTCAGATAAGGGTTAAGTTACGTTTAATATAGTACTTCCTTTCCAATGAATGTGGATATCTTATTAATCATATGTTTAAAAATTTGACAAATTTGTGTGACCTGGAAAAATCCATCACAAATAACAGGTGTCACAGTGTGTATCTAATGGATGCGTTTATCTGTCTGAATGTGTATGTGTGTGTGTAATGTTGATATAAGAATTCCAATTTGAGTTACATGTGTGAAACTAAGAAATATTTTAACCTCTGTCTTCTTCACCTTCTGAAATGTTTACTCAGCTGTTACATAAACTTGCTTTTATCAATTTTCAGAAGGATTTAGCATTTGAAAATGAGTTAGTCCCACAATGGGAGAAAAAAGTTTTTACTATGTAGTAAATGTTACTGCTTCTGCAAACTAGATGATCACTTTTGCCTGTTATCATGGGCATACGTTTTCTAGACTTCTAGCAGTACATTGGCATGACTTTCTAAATCAAGTTTTTATAATTTTTTAACCGGTCATATGTTAGGAGAGTGCTAGCTCTGAAATTTGTAGTGTTTGGTGTCATAGGAGATACTGTGGAATGGTGCTACCATAGCTATTCCTTGGCATTTGTGTCCTACTGGGAGTGGAAATAATTCTGTCTTTGGTATGAACATTTTTTCCTTTTTTAGCTCTCCAAAGTGATAATGGAGAACTTTTTATTTATATTTTAATAAAAAGGAGAGAAAGAGGGAAAGGAGACAGAGAATAAACTCTCAAATCCTTCCAAATTAGAAGTCCTGTTAACTATTTCAAGATGTCTTTGGTCATTCTCATAAATTTTAGATTTAATTATAAATGTATCTAGAACATTTCATGTAGGCTATTTTGGAAATGCAGTTGAACTTTTAATAGGACTCATCATTGTTAGACTTTGAATGACAGAATAACATGGTCAGAAGGGGCATCTCAGGAGGTTCCTGTTAGAAGAACCACAGCCAAGTGCCTTTCAAGCTTGTGGAAATCCCATCCAGCTGTTCTCTAGGCCTGAAAAAATGTGGGAAATCGAAAGATTGGTGAATTCTCTTGGTGGTCTACTCAGAAGAAACCATATTAGTAATGTTGATGGTTCAGTATCAAACCTGGCTTGGGCTCAGAGCTTGTGAGCCTAGAGTCACACATGTACCAATCCAGGTGAGACCCCAGCTGAAAAATTTCTTTGCCTTGTTTTATTTATATAGCTAGGCTTTTTAGTACATGGCCCACTTTTTAGCTACTTGCCCTCCTCCACCCATAAATCATGGTGATGAGAAAGACAGAGATTCTTCTATCATCCATTTTATTCCTTGTTTCTTCTTCTTATTATTATATTTTTTTGGCAGTAATTTAAGAGATTTGCTTTCTTTCTTGTTTGCTGTAGAAGTCAAACAGTATTTGGAAATTTGCGGAAAATAGCGTTTCATAAATCTTCTAATTTAGTCTTCACAAGGCTTGATATTTTATAGTGAGACACTGATTTTTACTCATACCCTTTTCACAAGTAGTATGATGATAAGATCTAATCCTAATTCTAGCCATCTATTTGTTCTTTGTTCTAAAACTTAAGTGTGTACCTTAGATATCACTATTTCTTTTTTTTCTGGTTTACTCATGATCTTTTGTTAAATTTAAAAATTTTTTTTTTTATTTCCATAGGCTATTGGGGAGCAGGTGGTATTTGGTTACATGAGTAAGTTCTTTAGTGGTGATTTGTGAGATTTTGGTGCACCCTTCACCCAAGCAGGATACACTGCACCATATTTGTAGTCTTTTATCCTTCACCCCCTTTCCAACCTTTCCCCTCAAGTCCTTAAAGTCCATTGTGTCATTCTTATGCCTTTGCATCCCCATAGCTTAGCTCCTACTTATGAGTTGAGAACATACGATGTTTGGTTTTCCATTCTTGAGTTACTTCACTTATAATAATAGTCTCCAGTCTCATCCAGGTCACTGCAAATGCCATTAATTCATTCTTTTTTATGGCTGAGTAGTATTCTGTCGTATCTATATTCCACGGTTTCTTTATCCACTTGTTGATGGGCATTTGGGTTGGTTCCACATTTTTGCAATTGCAAATTGTGCTGCTATAAACAGGCACATGCAAGTATCTTTTTCGCGTAATGACTTCCTCTGAGTAGATACCCAGTAGTGGGATTGCTGGATCAAATGGTAGTTCTACTTTTAGTTATGTAAGGAATCTCCACACTGTCTTCCTTAGTGGTTGTACTAGTTTACATTCCCACCAGCAGAGATATCACTATTTCTGTTGCTTCAGGGAAAACCAGTTTCCAGTTTCCTTTATGTATTGATGGTCCTCTGAAAAAGATAGAGCTGGACACTGTGGTGCACACCTGTAGTCCCAGCCACTCAGGAGACTGGTTCAGGATGATCCCTTGAGCCCAGGAGTTTGAGGCCAGCCTGGTCAGCATCGTAAGACCCCGTCTCTTACGAAAGAGTCAATACACACAAATAGGTTTACTGAATAACACAGCCATTTTCTGTTGAGGGAGCAACTGGCTCCTTGGATGATTGGATTAGCTTCTCTTTTTTTGGCCCAAAGTAGAATAACTATGGTATTTTTACCATTTCCCCTCAGTCTCACTTCTAAGGTTCTTTTCAAAAATGGGCTAAGATATGTTAAGGTTTATTAAAAACTTCATTGATACCCCCCACCCCCCACCTTGTGTAAGCTGCAACTTAGTCAGAGAGATTACATGTGGAGCTTTATATTTATGGTACATTCTTTGTTCTCTGCTTTTATACTGCACCTCAGAGGATTCTTAAATTCTTTGACTTTTGAAGCTTTTCGTTTTCTTTGCTGAGTTTGAGGACAAATTTTGGGCAAAAACACCCGGATGATAAATAATGCATCTAGACAAAAAGAGAAACAAAGTGAAACTCAGTGAAAAGTAAATCGACCTAAACAGTCTAAGAACATTTAACGTTTTGATTACATCTCATGACATTTGATATCTTGACCCCTTCAGCCTGTGCTGGCTGTTGCCTTTGCCTCCGACTTGTAATGTCAGAGGATTAAAGCTCTTTTACTCCTTTCTGGTGAAAATATTTGCAATTTCAGATTTGTAACTAGTAGATCTGTTCAGCTGTAAGGAAACCTTTCAGTGATGAGCAACACGACTTTTCATCTGAGGGATGCAGAGTCTATGACTGCCCGAGAGATTGGGATCCTGTAGTGGTTTTATTTCATTATGAGCCTCCACCAGTATTATTTAATGCAACCAGGTTTTGAATGCTGGTGAGAACACAGTTAAGGTCATGGTCTGCAAGGACTTTGATGTCGTGCAGAAGCCTGATTTTCCCATAATAGGCATGAAAAGCTTGTGCAATATAGCTCTTAGGAGATGAATATTTGTTCCTGTAGGTTACAATAGCAGACATAACCTGTGAGTGATGGAAAATGTCGGGCAGAATATGGATTTGGAGGAAAAAGGGGAAGAACTAGTATGAAAAAATTAGCCATAGAAATCGATAGATACTAGGCCAAGAATATAACTGCAAACGTGTCAGCTGGGTTTTCCCAAGAATGATTGACAGACACTATTGCAGATCCTGCAAGTAAAGAATTTCTGATGTTTTCTTTTTTTTTCCTTTAAAGTTCAACTAAATGATTTCCTTATAGATTTGAAACTCTTTTCTCCTTATACAGAAATTTCTCCTCTCTTCTTAGTTCCCAGATTTTTGTGCTAAGAGAATGCATAAAAGGCAATTATTCTGTTGATATCTTTTTAACTATCTGTAAAGATATCCATATTGATTCTTAGGGCCACTACCCTGGTACAGTTTTTGGTGGCTTGAATTAATAGGATGGTTTGCTGTCCATTTTATTTGTGTCTGGAGAAAACTTTAGGTTTTAATGCACTTGCAAATTCCTTGGGCAATCTGTAGCCTGTTTGGCTGTCTTTGTTGCCTTTCCTTTAGATGCTATGCCGAGTCCATGAAGTGCTCTTCTCTCTAAGGAATACAGAGACTGGGGATAGTCCCCAGAGTTGAGGAAACGTAGAGCCCCGTAGGTGTACCAGTTATGGTGGGTGGTGGGAGTGCCCTGGGCTAGCGCTGAAACTTCAGGTTTTCAGTGGTTGACATCATGAGTGAGGAGACTTTTGGAAGAAGCAGAACTGAAGGTAAGACTGAGTAAGTGGATCTGTCCAAGAGTAAGGAGAGATGAGGCCTGGAGATGGTCAAGGCAACACACAGAATCTGACTTTGGCAGTGGATCCTAGACCAGATCAGAACCAGAACTAGAGATCAGGAGGTCAGCATGGAATCAGTGGGAAGCCTTCCATCTGCATGGTTGCCAGCTTCGTGCCAAGGGATGTTCTGGCAATTATGGAAGCACATATTGGTACAGGTTTGACTAACCACCCAGACTTTTAGCACTGGAGTTTGTTGTTGCTTTTTTAAATTTTTTCCCCCAGGACAGCTGTCAATTTGGGGAGATATACAGGTATGAATTGCATGGGAAAGAACCATTGAATATGACTCTGGGATGGTTAAATATCTTGAAGCTGCAAAGAAGGAACATAGAACAAAGAACAAGATGAATTCTCATCTTATGATTTAAACTGCATTTAAACAATGTCCGTAGATCCTGCCTTCCTGGAGGTAGAGGCCAAGTAGCACCATATACATATGCGTGCTATTTCTGAGCACTCACGGCCCCATTGGGCATGGGCTGTGTAGGTGCCAAGGCTGGAGGGGCTCCTGGGGCTGTGGGTGTTTTGCTCACCCCCTACACAGCTTGCCCTCATGCTTCTCTGTAACAGGGTCAAGTTTCTGGGTTACAGCTGCCACAGGAACAAGCTGGCACATTCTTCTTGTTTTGAATTTGACCACTGGGTATTTATTTATTTTCCCACCTTTGATTGACATCAACGTTTGGTGACCTCCTTCATCCCTCCTTTGGGCGGCCAATCCTGCCCAGCCACAACACTGGTCTCAGTTCTCATAATGATGTTCCCATCATGTCTCTTTTGTAAACAGAGCAAATACAGAAAATGCCAGTTTCTAAACTTTCACTTAATTTCTACCCATCCACTCAGAAATACCCACTGAGTCTTATCTTGAGTTAGGCACTGTGTTTGGAGCTAGGCCAAGAGGTCGTCAAAATTGTGGGGAAGATGGATGCGCAGTAAGCAGCAGAGGGCTGGGCTTGGGATTGGCTCCGTGGAAGGAGAGGCCCAGGGGCCACGGGAGTACAGGAGACAAGCCAACCAGATTTGAGGTGGGGCGAGCCTTGAAGGATCTCTCACGGACCTGTCATGGGGATGGGTGGTTGGGGTTACAGCAGCCCTGGAGGTAAGGGAAAGGAGCTGCCCAGCTGGCGTGGAGTGATTGCAGGCCAGGTGGTGTGAGGGCCTGCCCAGGCCAGGTTGGGCCATGCAGGGCAGATAAAGGATTTTAAACTTTATCCCTAGAGCAGGAAGGCTTTGTCTTCAGTAAAATGGATGCCTGATAACGTCACCTTTCGGTGCTTGCCGGAGCTCCATTTCATCAGGGAACCTATTAAGAGTAAAAATAGGGACTCATTTGGATTTTTAAACTTTTTTTTTTAGAATCAGGATCTCACGATTTTTCCCAGGCTGGTCTTGAACTCCTGGCCTCAGGTGATCCTACTGCCTGGGCCTCATAAAGTGCTGAGATTCCAGGCATGAGCCATCGTGCCTGGCCTGTTTGTTTGTTTTAAACATGAACTTATTTTAATGTGTCACAAATTTTGTAACTATCTGACACTTAGTTCACATTTCACCATATTGTTTGTGGCCATTTTGATTCTTTGATTTTCATTTAATTGCATTGAGTATAATAGCAGCAAAGTCTATCTTCTTACTGTTTGTTCCTGTTCCAAGCACCTCCCAAAGAGGAGTAAACCAACATATTTTATTATCTCTGTAATCCAGAAAATTATTGCATAAGGACATGTACACATTTAGTTTGGAACTCCAGGGCAAATTAGTATATTTCCTGGGTTTATTTTCTTATAAATAATGACCAATATTTCATAAATATTCATTTACCACTGGTCATTTAAAAAGTGGAATTGCAGTAAAGTTTTAATTGGTAAAGTGTAACGTGCTTGTGTGTGGAAAGGCAGCAACAGACTTGGAGACTTGAGCTTCTAAAAGTTTCATTAGTACTCTAAGGGCTTTATCTTAGGGAAAGAATTGGTCCTTTTTCTGTAAAAATAAAAATGCTGTTCAGTATTGGTTCCCCCCGCCCCACCGCCCACTTTCCCCAAAGAAAATAAAACTTTGCTGCTTAATCAGGGTTCCAGATGTCTGTATGTATTTATTTATTCAGATATTTATAGTGTTCTCTGTCAAACAGTTTGCCTCCCTGGGTGCATTCCAGCAATGTTAAAAACATACATGGCAAAGCCACAGAGATCAAAGACCTGTGTCTTGTGAACCCTTTGCAACATTTGGGCCAGTCTCTAAAATGATTTATATTAAAACAACCAAATAAGCACTCTTCCTGTCCACATCGTGCTTTAAGGAGTGTTCTGGATGGGGCCTGAAGAACCCGTGCAAATTGGAGTTCCCCCCCATCTTTCGAATGAGGGACACCACCAGGAAAGCTTCCTGTGGGGCTGCATTTGACCCGCAGGTGCCTCTCCCATTTCCTGTATTTCCACATTTTATTTTTGTTTTCATTATTTCTTCCTTTAAAATATGGGAGTTAACGATTTTACCCCCCCTTAAATATTCTACCATGTAGAATTTTAGACTGTCCATTAAAAATATGGGTTTCATTTTCTATATTATTTTCAAAATATGCAGTATCTACCATCTAAATGGGAAACAGCAAGACTTTTTTGTAGTGACAAATTAATGCCACTGTGACTAATATCTCTGAAAGGGAAGTGCCTGTAGCAGCTGAGGCCTGTGAGCTGGAGCAGGACAAAGCATAGATGTTGTGCTCTGAGTAAGAAAGTCTCAATACACGTGGCCTTCCTGGTGAGAGCTCTTACTTGAGTGTTTTAAAGACCAGTGATCTGGCTTAGTCCATCATTGGAAAGTGTTATGAAAGCGGCCAATAGACATTTTCCTACTTCCACTGCTTGTTGCAGATCTTCTCTTCTGGCTGGGAGCTGGGGTGGATCCGGTAGGGGACAGAGCAGATAGGTGTGTGAAGTGACAACCTTGAAAAGAACCTGGCCCTATCTACCTTTATGCCTACCATCTGTGATTTGCCAGAGTTCTCTGCAGAGCAAACCATGTAAAGTAAAATGTTGCATAAACCTGCTACTCTATCCCTGGCCCAACTCTGGGTGTCAAGAAGTATGCTGTGCTTTCTGCACGAATGTGATGAATGTGGGAACCTTTTTGAGATAGCAGCACATGCTGGCAGTGGCGAGCCGTGTGCGCCTGGGCAGGCTGGGCGTTCGGCAGGCATGTTCCCAGGCACTTCCTAGGGACTTGTTGCATCATCAGGTGTTTGATTCTCCACCCCGTCCTTCCCCAGCGTGTCCACCACCCTTAGGTGAGAGAGTAGAAAGGAGTTCCACTCAAACTAGGAGAATTGATGTGTGGCTGTGGAATTTCCTGTCTTTCCGAGTTAGCATGCTATTTGTAGAGGAACCTTTTGGCTTCCATTTGAGACTGGATCTCCTTTGTGGAATTCATCCGTAACTTTAAGAGTATAACTTAGGCTCCTGTCACTACTAGTTCATGCTGGGAATACCCTCAGAAAGGCTACTGTCAGTCCAAACCAAAGTTACCCAGATGCTTCTCTTTCTTTTTTCAAAGTTGAGATCTGGCCGGGTACGGTGGCTCACGCCTGTAATCTTAGCACTTTGGGAGGCCAAGGTGGGTGGATCACTTGAGGTCAGGAGTTTGAGACCAGCCTGGGTAACATAGTGAGACACTGTCTCTTCAAAAAGTACAAAAATTACCCAGGCGTGGTGGTGCATGCCTGTAGTCCCAGCTACTTGGGAGGCTAAGCCCAGAAGACGGAGGTTGCAGTGAGCCGAGATTGCACCACTATACTCACTTTTTGAGACGGGAGTGAAAACCCCCGTCTCAAAACACTAAATAAATAAAATAAAAATAAATTTGAGATCTTTCCCCACAATGAAAGCCTTGCTGTCCCTTAAATATTAATAACATTAATTACTGTTCTACTTAATTTTATATTAAATTATATCCAAAAAATCATGATTTGCTAACATTTTTAAAAACTGTGTTTTAATTTTGCTAGATGTAGTTTAAAACCTAGATTGAAATTTAACTAGAGATTGAAACTGGAATTCTTTCAGTCCTAATGACTAGCTGTGGTGTATTTTTAAAATAATATTTCTATAGTTTATGAGATAAGTAATAGTTTCATGTTGCTATTTACAAACATATCTCCTACAATTACATACAGTAGGTAGTTTTTATGCCTAATGATTTAAATTACATAAGTGAAAAGTCAAACTGAGAATATTTGTCAAAATATTTTCTCTTATTAATATGGGTGTTTAGAATGTGAGCAACATCTTTAATATAGGAATTATGGGCCAGGTGCAGTGGCTTATGCCTATAATCCCAGCACTTCTGGAGGCAGAGACAGGTGGATCGCTTGAGCTCAGGAATTCAAGACCAGCTTGGTCAACATGGCAAGACCCTGTCTCTACAAAAAAATACAAAAATTAGCTGGGCATGATGGTATGTGCTTGTAGTCCCAGCTACTTGGGAGGCTGAGGTGGGAGGATCACTTGAGCCCGAGAGGTCAAGGCTACAGTGAGCTGTGATTGCACAGCTATACTCCAGCCTGGCCAACAGAGCAAGACCCTCTCAAAAAAAAAAAAAAAAGAATTATGGACATTATTATATTTTACCTGATCGTGAAATGTAGAGTGTTCACTGAAAACTTTAGTTTCACGGAAAACTTTAGTTGAGTTTGCAAAATTACAATTTTTATGCCTCTGTAACTTTTTCTGATTTTGATATCATTATTCACTTTTACGAGTCTAAATTAAATATGAGCAAAACTAGAAACCATTTAAAATGGTGGGATTCTCAAGCTCGTGCTGGTGTCTCTTGCAGATAGCTAAATGGTAGATGAAATAGTGAATGAATTGTGAGTCTCTGATTTGGTCTCTCCTACCCACCATCAAGGCTTATCCAGAGATTTTCAAATAGCTTTTGCGTAAGGGAGACAATAATTAAGCTAATTATTTTCCTTACTGCCTTATGAAAATATAAATTAAAACAGATGTCACTTGCTGTCTTCCATGGCATGAACCTCTGTGGACAGGAGACTCTACACTAGACTAGTAATTTAGGGTCTGTTTTTCCCCCCAAGTTCAGACTTAATCAGATCAGTTGCAGATACCCTGAAAGTGAGGCCCCAAGCTCCTGGGTGTCATCGCTGCTTGGTGATCCTCTGGGCATTTGGTACTGCCCTCTTGCACTCCTCTTCCCACCTCCCAGGACCCCCACTTCCCCTGAGCATCATTTCCTTCTCTATGGCTCTTGTCCTTATTTATTTATTTATTTAAATTTTTTTGAGACAGAGTCTTGCTCTGTCACCCAGGCTGGAGTGCAGTGGTGTGATCTTGGCTCACTGCAACCTCCGCCTCTTGGGTTCAAGTGATTCTCCTGCCTCAGCCTCCCAAGTAGCTGGGATTACAGGTGTGTGCCACCTCCTCCGGCTAGCTTTTGTATTTTTGTAGAGATAGAGTTTTGCCCTGTTGTCCAGGCTGATCTCGAACTCCTGAGCTCAACTGATCTGCCTACCTCGGCCTCTCTTGTTTTCATTTAAATGGCTCCTGGGATCACATTTCCTTCACTACATATTCTTAGAACACTTTTCTAGAATAGTCTGCAGCATTTTCCTTCTTTAAACTCAAGACTCGCCCTTCTCCACTTCCCTTGATCCCGTTATGTATTTATCTTTACTTTTCATTGCTAGAAACACATCCCCTGGAAGTATAGAGAATGTTTGTACGTCACTGTCTTCTTCCATTTAGATCCTCTATCCTCTCTTTTTAAAAAATAACATATATATTTTTTGGCATTTCCCCCTCCTCCTTTTGGCCTTCGGTTCTCAGTGTATACAAGCTCACAGAGGGCTAGGATGGTTACTGCCTCTGAATGACCATTATTCATGCATCTGAGCATTGGTAACTGACCTAGGAACAATCAGCTTCTGATGGGCTCCTCTTGAAATTGTAGCGCATGGAAGGCTTTAGTGAATATCATTGTGTTGACTTAGCCATGTCACCCAGTGGGGTGGCATTTCATTCATATTCATCATTTACATCTTAACCTGAACGTGTTTGGCTTGGGCAGGAAAGTGGGGATCAAGAATATTGATTGTGTAAAATATTTTTCAGAAAGGTCAATTGCTATGGCGTTTTCTAAGGGTCACCCAATGCTTTGCAGAGTAAAATGCTTACCCACATCCTCTTCATTCTCCTTTTCTTCTCTGCATAAGGTGGCTCTTGTGTCCCTTCAGCACCCTTCTCTGCCACCACAGGCAGGCTCTTCCTTTGCCATTCCTCCCCTCAGATGTCGCTGTTGTTGTTCTTCGCTTTGCTCTCCTTATCCTACAAGGAGAGTTCTCCTTTGTTGGAGGTGGGAGGGGACTCTGGTCTCCAGAAGTGCTGTTACTGTCTCATCTCTCTCACCAGTTGGTGACAGAGGGGCTACCACAGCAGGTACCTCCTCTGTGACCCAGGCAAATTGGGTGCTGAGTGTCCACGTCGAGCTGAATGCTCTGATGGTGTCTCCAGGAATGGATGCATGTGATGGATAGACTGGATGCTGAGAGAAGGATGGCTGGAAAGTTTTTTTAAAAAAATGTTTTTAGGGACTGGGTGTGGTGGCTCATACCTGTAATCCCACCTTTTTGGGAGGTCAGGGCAGGCAGATCAATTGAGGCCAGGAGTTTGAGACCAGCCTGGCCAACATGGTGAAACCCCATCTATACTGAAAATACAAAAATTAGCCAGGTGTGGTGGTGCACGCCTGTAATCCCAGCTACTCGGGAGGCCGAGGTGGGAGAATTGCTTGAACCCAGGAGGCGGAGGTTGCAGTGAGCCGAGACTGTGCCCCTGCACTCCAGCCTGGGTGACAGAGCAAGATTCTGTCTCCAAAAAAAAAAAAAAAAAAAAAAGTTTTAAAATCATAGTAAAATGCACCTAACGTAAGATTTGCCATGTTAATCATTTTAAGTACTCTATATAGTTTGGTGACGTTAAGTACATTTGCATTATTGTGCAGCTGTCACCATCCTCCATCTCCTGAACTTATCCATCTTCCCAAACTGAAACCCAGGACCCATTAAACACTAACTCCCCACCACCCCTTCTCTCCACCCCCTGGCATTCACCCTTCTACTTTCTGTCTCTGAGTTTGACTGTTCTACATGCTGGACATAACTGGAATCAAACAGTCTTTTTCCTTTTCTGAGAGGCTTATTTTATTTCGTGTAATGTCCTTATGGTTCATCTATGTTGTAGAATGGCCCAGAATCTCCTTCCATCTTAAAGCTGAATAATATTGCATGGTGTGTATATACAGTCAGCCAGCCTCTGTATCTGTGGGTGCTCAGATTCAACCAACTGAGAATGGAAAATATTTGGAAAAACAATCCAATAAAAAATTATAATACCACAACAAAAAAATAATGTATTACAAATACATAGCACTTACATTGTATTTAGGCATTATAAGTAATCTAGGGATGATTTAAAATTAAATGGGAGGGCCAGGCGCGGTGGCTTACACTTGTAATCCCAGCATTTCGGGAGGCTGAGGTGGGTGGATCAACTTGAGGCCAGGAGTTCGAGACCAGCCTGACCAACATGGTGAAACCCTGTCTCTACTAAAAATACAAAAATTAGCCGGGCTTGGCAGTGCATGCCTATAATTCCAGCTACTCGAGAGGCTGAGGCAGGAGAATCACTTGAACCCAGGAGGCGGAAGTTGCAGTGAGCCGAGATCACGCCACTACACTCCAGTCTTGGCGACACAGTGAGACTCTGTCTCAAAAAGTAAACAAATAAAAAATAAAATTATATTGGAGGATGTCTGTATGTTATATGCAAATGGACTTGAGCATTTGCAGATATTGGTATTGGTGGGAGGTCCTGGAACCAATCCCACACAGATAGAGAGGGACAACCAACTGTACCATCTTTCGTTTATCCATTCATTTGTTATTGATGTCTTGGGTTGCTTCTGCCCTTTGACTATTGTGCATAGTGCTGCTGTGAACATGAGTGTGCGCATATCTCTTTTAGACCCCCGTAGTCTCTTCTGTTGTGTATATATGTAGAGGTGGAATTGCTGGATCATGCGGTAATTGTGTGTTTCATAATTTGGGGACCTGTCATATTTTTTTTTTCATTGCACCTGGACCATTTTTATGATCCCCCAACTATATACAAGAATTCTAATTCCTTCACATCCCTGCCAACACTTGGTATTTTCTGGTTTTATGATAGTAGCCATGCTCCTGGGTGTAAGGTAGTGACTTCCTTTATTTTCTTAAATCAATGAATCCTACAAGGCAGCTTTGAGTTGTTAATTGTGGGGAGTGCCAGGTCGCCTGACATCTTTGGGCAACTCTTTTTCTTTTCTCTTCTTTTTTTTTGAGACAGTCTTGCTCTGTTGCCCAGGCAGGAGTGCAGTGGTGCGATCTCGGCTCACTGTAGCCTCCGCCTCTGGGGTTCAGGCAATTCTTCTGCCTCAGCCTCCCGAATAGCTGGGATTATAGTCGTGCACCACCAAGCCCAGCTAATTTTTTATATTTTTAGTAGAGACGGGGTTTCACCATGTTGGCCAGGCTGCTCTCAAATTCCTGACGTCAGGTGATCTGCCCACCTCAGCCTCCAAAAGTGTTAGGATTACAGGCGTGAGCCACTGCGCCTGGCTGGGCAACTCTTCCCTGAAAACAAGGCGCCCATGTGATGGAGCCTGTGCGGGTTTTTGTTGTGCGTCCCCTCTTGTCGCCTTTCCTTGGCATGCTTCCCCTTTTTTTAATCCTACACTTGAAAATTAGATCAAACACAAACTGTGTTTAGATTTATTTACAGTTTCTTAACTCCTTTCCTGTTTGCCTTTTGACAGGCTTGGCATAAGAAGTCTTTTTCAAGTAGTAAATTAATTTAGGTGGCACGCACCCCACCTGAGTTTTGTTACATGCTGGCAGTTTAGATAAATGGATATTATAATCTCAGCACATTTCTGCCCAACACCACTGCACAGATTTGCAAGAGTCTACAAAAGTGATAATATTCTGTCAGTTTGGAGCCTAGAAAAAGAAGAAGAAGGAGAAAAAAAAGCATTTTCTTGTTCGTATTTCTAGGATGCCTGTGGGGAAGCCGGAAATGCCATATAGCAGTTTACATGGCTAAATACACATGAAAAAAGATAAGGGACCCAAAGATGTTTCTTTGTAGGCACACGGGAGAAGAGTCAGTTCAAATTGGTAATTGTCAGCTGTGTTTGGAGATACATTCTCCATCGCAACCAAAGATTTTTCTTTTTCCCCCTTAAACTCACCATTTCCTTGAAGAATGCAGTCTATTTTTAATGACTTTATTGATTTGACGATTGGGTTACAATGTACTTTATTTACTGCAGAAATGTTTCGTTCCTGTCAGCACTTAATGCGAATAAATCTACTTTTTGGCACCACTTTGATAGACTGTAAAACTGCTTATATTTGCAGGAAAATTTGTTTTGCCACGGTATGTTTATGTCAGACTCAGTGTGACTTTTTCTCCCCTCAAAATCATTTTATATCATAGTGTAGCTGACAAATAAATACACACAGTGCAGTAATCATTGTGTACTGTCAGAGCAGCAGAAAACAAAATGTGGGTTTTATGACAGGGATCAAAAAAGAGATTTAATATTCACAATTAAAGCCACTTATTTAATGCTTTCTGTTTTTGCTTCTGTATTAAGGCTTTCCAGTTTTTGGTTCATAGTTTGTATATCTCTTAAAAATAGTAAATATACAGTAAACCCTACATTCACTGATATTGTCTGCATGTGAATTTAATATTTATTATCCAAGAAGACCCAATAAAAGTCGATCTTTATTTCCTATTGTTCAAGGTATAAGCAAAGTCAAAATACATTTGCAATACGATAAGTTTTCTGTTAAGTTTCTTTCTTTTCTTTTTTTTTTTTTTTTAAGATGGAGTTTTGCTCTTGTTGCCCAGGCTGGAGTGCAATGGTGTGATCTCGGCTCACTGCAACCTCCACTCCCCAGGTTCAAGCGATTCTTCTGCCTCAGCCTCCCAAGTAGCTGGGATTATTGGCGTGTGCCACTGCACTCAAATAAGTTTTGTATTTTTAGTGGAGAGAGGGTTTCACCACGTTGGCCAGGCTGGTCTCCAACTCCTGACCTCAGGTGATCCACCCGCCTTGGCCTCGCAAAGTGCTGGAATTACAGGTGTGAGCCACTGCGCCTGGCCTGTTTTCTGTTAAGATTCTTAAGTTTTTCTTGAAAGCAATGTCATGTAATATATAGCTTTGCTCTATTATAATAAATTTAATTTGGGAAGGAAGCTGAATCATCTTTAAAAATTTTTTTTCATGAAACATTTTTCTTCTACAAATGTTTTCTAGTACGTATTTTTTCTTAAATAAGAGAAATACTATCCATTTTAGTTATATTATACATTTTTGTTTTACTTATTTTTCATAGGATAGCAGGATATAATATTGGCAAATTGAATATCATCAAATAGCCTACAACCTTAGTCCTGAATCAGTACTATGCCACAAGAGAATTTGGAATATCCACAACATGTCCATTATATTTGCAGTCCATCTGAAAAAATAATACACAAAGACCAACAAATGGATAACTTCCTGTACAAATGAACACATCAGAAATATCATTATGTTTATTGCTTTAGCTACCTTTATGCTTTAATATGATTGGCAATTATCCAGTAAACTTGTGCCAGGTAAAAATAAGCACCCATCTGGGTTATTCAATTTCAATGAACATGTAAAATAATATTTTAATAATTACGCAATATTTGTTTTTTTAAATTTACTTTTGAATGCATTTAACAAACTGGCTAGGAGTCCTTTAAAGAGAGGTAAATGCAATCGTCAACAGCATCTGCAAGCTAACCCCAAAGAACCCATTTTCAGCCAACTTCGTGATCTCTCATTCAGATTCAAATCTACAATGAAGTGCCAAAATCATGCTTTTAAAAAATGACAGCATTAGTGAAACTTTGGAGGTGCTTATATTGCTAGTGTAGGCAAAAACGCACAGCAATACAGAGCTAGGCCGTTTTCCTTGATTCTTTCACCATAGGAAGAAATGAACTTCCAGGGAGGTAATGGAGTCCTTCTGAGAACCATGATTAAAAGTCTTTGGGAATTATCAGCCAAACTTAAAATGGATCTCTAGGTTTTCATGGGGAGTTGTGTTAAAAAGGGACTTTTTAATTTAAAGGAACCAAGTTGATAAGGTAGGTTCAGGGAACCAAAAATGTTGAACAGATTTTTGCTGGATTGACAACTTGTACGGATGGTGGGTTTTTAGGGTGGTTAATCGTCTGCGTCTAGGGAAATGGCCACAGCTTGCCTCTCCTTCGGGGTGAAAGGTAGGTTCTGAGTCTGTGATTTTTCCCTGCTCAGAGTGAATAAATATTGTAAGTAGGTGTGGTCAGCTGTCCAGCTCTTTACTTTTTCAGTTGGGAAGGAAAGAGTTGCACAGCTATGATGTTCAGAGCCAACAAGGACTTGCAGACGCCCTGTGCATAGGAGCAGCTGAACACATTCAGAATCATGTAATTGAGCAGGCTGCTAAGTAATGGAGAAAAGAATATCATGCACAGAGATTTGATGTCTTTTTATGGGAGAACAAAAGAGTTTCGATTCTTTCACATTGAGTTTAGCCTAGCCATTGTGTGGCACAGGAGGTTTAATGAATCATTGTTTAACTAGGATCCTGCCAAGTATTTGACCATTAAATAGACTCCAATGTGTATAGAGTTCTTCTCTGACAGACTCTTATTTGACTGTGATTAATTGGCATCGAATTGTTATTTAATTACCTCCACAGAAATCTAAGAACAGTGTGTATTCTGATTAAGTTATTTGATGTAGGAACAGGCATGGGGCTGGAGAGGTCAGCTCAGCCCTCAGGACTCCCTGCTACTACCAAGGCCAACTTCTGTGGCTGCCCAAAGCTCACAGAAGATCCCTGAGGATCAAAAATTCAGACAGAATCTGGATTTTACCTTTTTCTTAGAATATAAAAAATGTTTTGGCAACTCATAGCATAAATTTGTAAAGCTTTTTTTTTGCATGTTGAAATCCTTTGAAGTTATTTATTGGACTGTGTTAAACATGTTCAGTGACAGTTATTGAGGTTTCCTTCAGTTCACAATTGAAACATGTTACGCATTCCCATACATGGAGAAGAGGTCAGCCAGCAGGATGCATGGCACAGTAGGAGTAAGGCAGAAGAAAGTCAATGATTGCACAGTCTGGTTTGGGAGTCACTATCCTTAGAGAATGGCACCACAAGGGCATGAGATCACCACTGAGGGGATAGAGTTCTGAGAGGTGGAGCCTCTAGATGCAAGGGGAGACCACCTGTGCTTAGCAGATGGGCAGGGTAGCAGGAGTGGAAAGAGGCAGATATTAAAAGAAAGAAAATCAGGCCAGGCACGGTGGCTCACACCTGTAATCCCAGCACTTTGGGAGGCCAAAGCGGGTGGATCACTTGAGGCCAGGAGTTCGAGACCAGCCTGGCCAACATGGAGAAACCTCGTCTCTAAAAATACAAAAATTAGCTGGGCATGGTGGCACACACCTGCCAGCTACTTGAGAGGCTGAGGCAGGAGAATCGCTTGAACCCAGGAGGCGGAGGTTGCAGTGAGCCAAGATCGGGCTACTGCACTCCAGCCTGGGCAACAGAGAGAGACTCTGTCTCAAAAAATAAAATAAAATAAATTTATATCCCTGAAGCCAGCATACATAAATATCTCGAAAAGACGATGATGAACAGCATCAGATGCTGCAGGAAAAGTCAAGAGCAATGAGGATGAGGGAAAAGCTGGCTGCTGCGTTTAGAAATGACTGGTGAACGCCATGGTGTGAAGAGGAGCAGGAATGGGACTGCAGAGGGTTGTGGGGCGTTTGGATAGGTGAACATTCCCCCTAAGATGAAGATGATGGTTTGACTAAGAGGTAATGTGTATCTTAAACTGTTTATAACTGACAGCTTAGGTAGAATTATAAGAATCATAGTAATATTTCTAGTTCTTAAAATTTTATCTGAATTTTTAAAGAAGAAATTCAATGGTTAAATTTCCCCCCTAGCTTTTTAATGGTGTACTTAAATATATATATATATTTGGTGTACTTAAATATATATAAATATATATATTTGGTGTACTTAAATATATATAAATATATATGGTGTACTTAAATATATATAAATATATATATTTGGTGTACTTAAATATATATATATTTTGGAATATATATATATATATATATATATATATATATATTCCAAAAAAAGTTCATGCATTTTTATTGAACACAACCTAGCACACAGTTTGGTGTAACACCTGTTGGCGGTTCCCAGATATTAAAATGATGCGCCGGGGATGGAACTGACGATCACATTTGGGTGTTGGTTGATCTGTTTCCAGCACACCTTTGGTTGCTTTACATAGGGTGGGTAGTGGGAGGGCCCATTGTCTTCAAGTTCAGTCACGTTCTCACACTGAATGTTTTGCTGTCCTATTTTTGAGTATTACATATACTTGTATGTGGATTAGAGATAGAGCCGATTTTGCACACTGACTGGTAATTTCCATTCAAGGTAATCTCAGTGATTGAATTTGATAGTTGCCTTTGTGGAAGTGGAAATTCCTTGTCTAGGTGAATGCTGTATAAATATGCGTTGCTGCCACCATCTCTGTGGGAACACATTCTTGTAGACCGCTTGGTATGTCTAGGCCCTTGTTTTTACCCCTCCAATAGTCATTCTTTTGGAGATATTCCATGAGCATTTAGCCGCAAACGACAGTGACAGGATACTGGAGCAGTAAAAACTATGTCTTAGGGATTAAAGTGGTACATTCCCAGAAGAGGTCAAGAGATTGGTGATTTCTTACTCTCTTAGAATCAGAGGTTCTTAATGAGAGCTCTGCTGTCCTGTGGTTCCTGGTTTAGGAATCCCCTGAAATCATATGCAAACTGTACACATGTGCATTTCCAAGCGAAAACACTCTGTGGCATTCATTGGCCATGCAGTGTTTGAGAGCAGTCGTCCTAGAGATTCTACCTGTTGCTGTCCAGGGATCTGTACCTTCTGGATGCTACGTGAGGCTGGGCCAGGTTCACTCCTCCCTGGTGTATTCTTGAGATCCATGGGTAAAGGAAATGGCCTGGTCTGTCTTCCTAACTTTTTTCTTTTTAGCAAATGTAAAATAATCATCACTTGCTGTAGCAAAGCATGCATAGCTGCTATAGCAAAATGGTTTCCCGAGGCAATTTATCAGGTGTTTTCAATGGCTTCAAGGATAATCCCCTACAATACTTCCTGGCAATGAGTGATTCGGCTTTGCCCTGGGTCACACAGCATGTTAAGGTCTGGGATGAGGTAGAACTGGAGCCCCTGGACTTTCCTAATTAATTCTGCCTTTTATTAGGCTGCATGTCCTCATTCATTCATTCATTCATTCATTCATTTATTTACTTGTTACAAGTTATGGCCTCCTGTAACTTGTGTAATTTAATCCTGAGGTGGAGTTATTTTAAATGTTTTACTTTAATTATGATTAGCCAAGAGAGAGTTCCTGAAACCCTTCTAAGCAGGAGTGATAGCCAAAGTATTTACCATCCAGTACAGCAGGCAGTAGCCTATCAGAAGAGGCCTGGGCTGTCAGCGGCTGCTTTGGCCATCGTCATTTGTGTCAGCCCTGCCTGGAAATTTATTGGCTAATTTTTATTAGTAGACATTTAATAGAACTTGCAAATGTGTCCAGTAAAGTAGCTTGATGTCATGGAGGTGTTGACATGAGCACACCTTTCTGAACCTCCAGGAGCTGGGTATGAGTCACAGCCTGGATGCCTGACAGCCAGGCATCCTGGAATTAATTTCTTACTGTCTCTGAGCCTCCACTGTATCTTCTGTAAAATGGGAACAGTATCTGTGTCATAGTTTTGAGGTGCTGTATGTGGTTTCTGGCACTAATTTAGTGCTCTGTGGGGTGGTCTTCAAACACAGTGTTGAGTTCACTCTTCTAGGTTTGTGTGCCTCATTTGGTGCCTTAAGAAAATGGTCTGGGTTAGGATGTACCTTTATATTATTATTATTTTTTTATTTTATTTTATTTTTTTTTTGAGATCAAGTCTCACTCTGTCACCCAGCCTGGAGTACAGTGGTGTGATTTCGGCTCACTGCAGCTTCCGCCTCCCAGGTTCAGGCAATTCTGCCTCAGCCTCACGAGTAGCCGGGACTACAGGCACACACCACCATGTCTGGCTTTTTTTTTTTTTTTTTTTTTCGTTTTTAGTAGAGACAGGGTTTCACCATGTTGGCCAGGTGGGTCTCGAATTCCTGGCCTCAGGTGATCCCCCCACCTCTGCCTCCCAAAGTGCTGGAATTACAGGCATGAGCCACTGTGCCCAGCCTTTTTTTTTTTTTTTTTTTTTTTTAAGAAAGGGGGCATTTCTTGCTCCCTTGCCCAGTCTGGAGTGCATTAGCGTGATCATAGCTCACTGCATCATCAAACTCCTGGGCTCAAACAGTCCTCTCCCCTTGGTTTCTCCAAGTGCTGGGATTGCAGGCTTGAGCCACCATGCCTGGCAGCAGTGGGATGACATCTCCAATCATGAGTGAATGAACCAAGATGACCCTCAGGAAAAAATCTTGTCCAGTTGCCTGCTCTCAGTGAGGAAGGCACCGGGATGAGTTAGTGTGGGCTCTGTCTGTGCACACACAGGCAGAAGCCGAGTCAATCTCTTGGCTATCTTCTGTGGACTACTTTCTCCAGCCAAAGTCAAATGTGTAAAACGTCCATCTCTCCAAACTGCACTTGTGCCCCTCCTAAATGCTTCCTCTTTACAAATATGGCTTTGAAGAGCCATAAGTACAAGGAATTTTTAGCAGAGGCCCTCAACACCTGATCCTTTTCCACTCCCATTCCACACCCAAGTCCTCTCCTATCAGCACACCTTAGGTCATGCTCTTCCCATCAACTAGGCAAATATTTGTCATCCCGTCACCCTTTCCTGCCTCTCAGTCCTGATGGATGTCATTCCTTCCACCTGATCAAAGTCCACATTCTTCATCAATACATTCTCTTCCCTCTTTCCAAATTCTCAGGCCCTGTTCCCATGAGGGCTGACCCCGCCTCACCCTGGTAACCCGCACCAGCTGGTGATGCCCCCCTGCTGTTGTGCCTTCCTCATTGCCGCCTGCCTTGGGCATGGTCCGTGCTTTCTTATTTCTGCCACCTGCGTGTGTGCTCATGTCGGGTTGTGTCACTCTACATGCTGTGCTCACTTACATGTATCTATTAACCTGCTACCAGTGTGATCATAAGACACTCAGAGAGGGCTGGGTGTGGTGGCTCATGCCTGTAATCCCAGCACTTTGGAGGCTGAGGTGGGCAGGTCACCTGAGGTCAGGAGTTTGAGACCAGCCCAGCCAACATGGTGAAACCCCGTCTCTACTAAAAATACAAAAATTTGCTGGGTGTGGCGGTGCACGTCTGTATTCCCAGCTACTTGAGAGGCTGAGCGGGAGAATTGCTTGGATCTGGGAAGTGGAGGTTGCGGTGAGCCGAGATCGTGCTAGTGTGCTTCAGCCTGGGCAACAGAGTGAGACTTCGTCCCCCGCAAAAAAACAAAAAACACTCCAGAGCGACATCAAACAAGCATCAATTTTAAGTCATGAAACAAGTAAAATTTTAATTCCAATTAGCAGGTTCTGATGAGTGATTATAGGTGTCTTACCTGATGGGTGAGCAGCAGGAAAGGAATGAGTCCAAAGTAGGAGATTATTGTTACCCAGAGGAAGGAAAACTTGAAGCTGGATGTGGAAAACAGATGATGAGGTTGCCTTTTGCCTTGAAGCCATTTGGGTTTTTATAAGTCACTTAGTGTAGACAGTCTCACCTAGCATCTTCCAGTTGGGGAAAAAAATGAGAAGGATCTGATTAGAAAATGGAAGAACACATACATACTTTTGAAACTCATTTTCTCCAATTTGTCATGTCATGTAATAAAACCTGGAAATTACTTTTTCAAAAATATGTCATAATTATATGAAAAGGCAAGAAACAACTACACTTTGAAAACACAACACAGTCCTGGGACTACAGGCATGTGCCTCCATGCCCGGCTAAGTTTTGTATTTTTGGTAGAGTCGGGGTTAGCTTCCCTAGCTGCGGAGGGTTTCTGAGAAAAGCAGCACAGTTATCCGTAGCCGGTCCAGTATAAAGGCACTCGCATTAGTGGCAGGTTCCTGAGAGCTACATTTGTCAGCAAGAGTTTCATGGAGGAGAAAGGGCGAAGGCTGAGATCCTGGTAGGTGGAGGCAAGCAGGGACTGAGGACCTTCATGACAGGTGGATGGAAGAGAGGGAAGGCCCCCTGATGGGAACAGGGACACACGGCCAGGAGGAATGGAGGGGAGGTTAGGAAGAGACCTCTCTTCTACCTCTTCTTTCCTCACTGTTTCTAAAAACTTAATAGCTTTGATTTGACAGATGAATAAATAAGGATGTAAATGAGGTTATTTTAAATGAAAAGTAAAGACATGCTGGTAATTATGTAAAATAAAGATAAGTCAAAAATTACTTACAAGTTTTCATGCTGTATGTTTAGGCATAGATCTAAGGTAGGGTTTGAGAAGTTAGGCGTGGGTTGTTGTGGGTCAATTTCAAAGGATTCTGTTTAGTTTATTTAGATACGCGTAAGATGTTTTGTAGGATAACTGAGTGTCTGAGTAAGCCCTGGGCTGGGAGATCAGGAGTACAGATAAGATTTGGGATGTATAAGCAAACAGGAAATCTTTGAAATGAAAGTGAGCAAAGTTCGAGAAGAGAATCAGAAAAAGGAAAAAATGGTCAACAGATTTATCCTTAGAAAAAAATAAGATGAAGCAAAGGATATTGAAGGAAGTTGCCCTGAAGAGTGGGGTTTCTCATTCCTCTTCTCTCTGCCTTATGGAAATCCCAGAATGGCTTGGCAGAGAGTTCCCACCGCATTAGAAAACACTGCATCACCTTGAGCAAGATTGGCTTTTGTCTTCACATCTCTAACATGAGGAGTTTGGTCTACAAAGTGCTGTGAACATTTCTGTTGCCTGCAGAAACCTTTCTTCAGAGGCAATCTCTATGTGAAGGTCCCAATGGATGTAAGGCCCTATGTTTGAGAGGGGAAGGGCAGAGAAGGGAGGAGATGAGGTGTCTGGGGTTGGGTGTGCTTGGCCTCCTCTTCATCCTCTGTCTCATTCTTTAAGATTCTTCAAGGCAGTCTCAGAATCTTCATAAGACAAGGTTTGAGGCTGGGCGCTGTGACTCATGCCTGTATTCCCAGCACTTTGGGAGGCAGAGGTGAGCAGATTGCTTGAGCCTCAAGAGTTTGAGACCAACCTGGGCAACATGGCAAAACCTCATCTCTACAAAAAAATTTAAAAATTAGCCAGGCATGGTGGTGCACCAGAGGTCCCAGCTACTTGGGAGGCTGAGGCAGGAGGATCAGTTGAGCCCAGGGAGGTCAAGGCTCCAGTGAGCCTTGACCTGGGCAACAGAGTGAGACCTTTTCTCAAAAAAAAAAAAACAAAAAAAAACCCCATAAAGTTTGAATGTTATCAGCCCTGGGGATCCTTCGCACCCATTTAAGCTCTATAATCCTACAATAATAATACAAAGAATGTCTCACCCATGTGAGCTACTCTAGAATTTAGAAGATCCCTTCATAATCATGATCTCTTTGATCCTCATGATCTTTGGCCCTGTGAAGTAGTCCAGGCAAATATCATCAGCTCCATTTTATAGGTCAGGAATTTGAGTGTCAGTATAGGTTGGGTGAGTTGCCCTGTATTGTTGAGTCCTGTTGCTACTGAGCCTCCGAGGAGGATAAGTACCTCATGTCTTGTCCCTGCCTCATTTTCTCTTTCATGCCTTCTGTGAGCCTCTGCCATGTTGATGGCCTGTTCTGATGAGATATACTGAAATACTGGACTTCTAGATCTCCTGTTTGGTTCTCATTTTGGTCTAAGCTGAGTGATACAGGATGTCCAGGCTGGCCCATCCCCTCAAATGGCTTCCTCCCCTCCCAGATCACAGTGTCATAGATGCTGTCATCCTTTTCAGCCCAGCAACTGTCTCCAGGCTCCACCCAACAGCCTGTACTCTGGACCAGTCTGTGCCCCGCCATGTGGCACCACATTGTACCTGGAGTGCACAGGTCAATTCTCTCGACACCATTTGATAGACTCTGCTCTTTGGGACAGACTGCTTGCATTTACATTCTACTTCTCACATCTCAAGATAGTGGTTCCCCCATCCTACCTTTGCCCTTTGCACACTCCACCTACCATCAACTATGGGTACCTGAGGGTCCACCCTCTCTCTGTACTTCTGGCTTCCAATTCTCTGCAGGAATATCTAAGGCCAATTCTTTTTTTTTTTTTTTTTTTTTGACGGAGTCTCGTTCTGTCGCCCAGCCTGGAGTGCAGTAGCATCCATCATCTTGGCTCATGGCAACCTCCGCCTCCCGAGCTCAAGCAATTCTCTGCCTCAGCTTCCCATGTACCTGGGATTAAAGGCGCCCACCACCACGCCCACCTAAGTATTTTGTAGTTTTAGTAGAGACAGGGTTTCACCATCTTGGCCAGGCCGGTCTTGAACTCCTGACCTCGTGACCCACCTGCCTCAGCCTCCCAAAGTGCTGGGATTATAGGCATGAGCCACCGCGCCTGGCTCAAAGGCCAATTCTTATCAAAAGTATTAGTTTTCAGAACCATCAGTGAAGCTATAAGTGTGGATACCTATAAAGAAGTTTACAAAATTGAAGAGTTCACTAAACACATCTACTTTTACCTTCAAGGTCAGATGTGGCACCTAAGACCATTTTTGTGGTACAGAATGGGCTTACCAGGAAGGAATGAGTGGCACATGCTACATCATGGGTGAACCTCAAAATCTTGAGATACGGGAAGGAAGCCAGACACAAGAGATCACATATTGTGTGATTCCTTTTCCATGAAAGATACTGAAAAAGCAAAGAGGCAGAAAGTAGTTGCTTGAGGCTGGGGTGGGCATAGGGAGGCACTGTGAGTGCCATGAGGGATCTTAGTGGGGGCATAAAAATGTCTTGAAACTTATTTTTGGTAATGACTGCATCACTCAGTAAAGTTACTAAAATTCATTGAATTGGATACCTGAAATGGATGAGTTTTATGAGACGTAAAATATGTATCAATGCAAATATGCCTCAATATCTTCATATTTAAGTGTACTTTTTTGTTACAAAAAAGAATGGGGCTCACAGTAGACATGGGAACTTACAAGTTTTAAATTGTAGTACGGTTATAAGGGAATTGGGAAGTCTTCGTCATGGGAGACGTATCAGAATTCCGGAGGTGACTTTAACTTCAGATTAGATTCTAGAATCAGTTTGTAAAATAGAGTCATTTATGAATTTGTATTTTGACAAAAAGTTCATTAACACCTTTTATAATATTCTATGTTGTGGAAAAAAGTTAGGAGCAACCTGACTCTGTATGTGATATTATGACTTCAAAGGAGCTTGGTTTCTCTCTCTCTCTCTCTCAGAGGAAAATTTTAGTGTGCTCATAACTTAATATAGACCCTTTTCAGACATTTCGGTTGTTTCCTGCTTCTGATTTACCAAATAATGCCACATTGACCATCTTTGATGCACTTATTAATGCCTTGAGATACTTCTTATAAAATTGAATTTTGGGGTCCGTGGGGATGCACTCAATAGTTGTTTATTGTCCAGCTCCCAAAAATCTACCTGTGCCATCATGCAGGATTGGAGTGATGTGGATTTACATTAAATGTGAGTCCAAAATGTGGTCTGGCTCAAAGAATTTACTGTGATTGTGGGCTTAGTCATGGGATATATCCTGACCCTGAGATATGCAGATAATACCTAGGGTATTTATTTTAATCCTGGCTACCAGGCATTCAGAGAGGCTGGCTACCTGACTATGTGCTGAGGCAATGGCCAACATGGGACCCTGTGTGTTATGAGAGATAATTGAGGTACCCAAGGGATAGGTGCCTGTGAGAAGTCTGGAAAACTTGTGATTAACTTTCTTCAAGTAGTTGAAGAGCTGCCCTGTCAAGAGAAATTCGATTCACTTTGTATGGTTGTAAGGGCAGAATCAGCAGCAACGATTGGATGTTCCCGGAAGGCAAGATTCGGTTTAATGTAAGCAAGCCTTGTCTAACAGAACAGTCCGAAAATAGATTGGGTCTCCTCAGGAAACAGTGACTCCTCTTCTCTCGACATCCCTGGAGATGCTCCAGCAGGGGCCAGATGTCATTTGGATGAAGAGGTGTGGCATGTGCATGGAGGGAATTTATCATAAGTGTTTGATTTGGAGACCTCTGGGAAAATGACTGTGAGACTGTGAACTTGACATCACAGCTCTGATTATGACAGTTTACTGCGAAGCCAGATGAAAATATTCTGGCCGGGTGCTATGGCTCACACCTGTAATCCCAGCACTTTGGGAGGCTGAGGTGGGTGGATCACCTGAGATCAGAAGCTTGAGACCAGCCTGACCAACGTGGTGAAACCCCGTCTCTACTAAAAATACAGAAATTAGCTGGTCATGGTGGCATGTGCCTGTAATCTCAGCTACGCGGGAGGCTGAGGCAGGAGAATCACTTGAACCCAGGAGACAGAGGTTGCAGTGAGCTGAGATCTCCTCCAGCCTGGGCAACAGAGTGAGACTCCATCTCAAAAAAAAAAAAAAATTAAAACTTTTATTCTTTTTGCAAACACCAGTCTTTGAATTGTTTCTTAGAACAAGGAAGTAACTATTGAACCTTCTAATCTTACACTTTCTACACTGAGATCATTGTTGATAAGAGTTTTGATTTCAGCTGATCTTTGACATTCAGTTCAGTTATTGGCGTAGCTGTGTGAGGAGGTGGGCTTTCTCAGTTGTTTTTGTTTTCCTTGTATTTTATGCTGTTTTCCAACCATGGGTCTTTCAGATTTTAAGATGCTCCCAAATGGTCAAGATAAAGGGTTGGTTTTCACATACTAATGATTTATGTAGCCTTTTTATCTTTTTTTCTTCTTTTCTTTTTTGTAGAGATGAGGTCTCGCTATGTTGCTCAGGCTGGTCTTGAACTCTTGAGCTCAAGCAATGCTCCCACCTCTGCCTTCAGAAGTACTGGGATTATAGGTGTGAGCCCCATACCTGGCCTATCTTTTTTTTTTTTTTAATTTGAATATTGCTTTCAACTTTTTAAAAGCTGAACCATACTTGCAATGTTTCTGAATATTGCCTATGTTAACTTTTCCACTTAAGAAATAATTCATATTTTAATAATTATGTCTTAAATTTTTTAACTTATATTTTCCTTTTATTGGTATTGATACACTGAGATGAGAAAAAATAACAAGAAGGACGACAAACAAAATCCATAAGTATCTGTCGGAAAAATACTCATTTAATTTTAATGTTTCTTAAGTATAGCTGATAAAATAATAGCCTGACCTCTTGCCCTGCATAGCATGGTCTGGCAAACAGCAGAAGGGCCCCCGGAAGCTGGTTGGAAATTCAGGCTCCAGCTCCTCCCCAGGGCCACTGCATCAGGACCTGCATTTGAAAAGTTGAGCTTCCTCCCCGGTGGCATGCTGCAGAACCTGTGGGTCATAGTCATCATCGCACCTTTTTGGTTTTGGTTTTCTAGCAGCCATGAAAAAGTACCTGGCGTTGTGCCTGGGCTTTTTTTTTTTTTTTTTAACAGGCATGAGCCCGTTTAATCCCTAGGACAACCCTCTAGAGGAGGTGTTATTAGAGGCTCAGAAAAGTTGTCACTGGGCCTGCCAAAGGTGTCACTGAATGATGCTTTCTGGAGTCTGTGTGTCCGAAGCCTGAGACAAGAAAATTGAGGTGCAGCTCCAACTTGTACACACTGTGCTTCTTGGCCAGCTGGATGCCTCAGGAGAACTGCAGAGGCTGCATTAGCCCCAGCAGCGGGAGGCAGCTCCGTCTACAGCCTCTGACCATTCATGGTCCACTTGCAGCCTGGTATAAAGGCCCCAGGACGAAGTCAATCCTGACAAACCCTAGGAGGCCACACATCTCATCTGTAAGCAGGGCTTCCGGAAGCGTTGATTAGAAAAGAAGTTCAGAGGCCTAGACACACACACTTCTCAGGGGTCACCTGCATCCACGTAGGCTATGTGTGTATAGCTTCCATTTTTTTGAAGGAAATCATTTGAAAGAATAGATATTTATTAGAAACCAGGTTTGATCTGTTTGTGATGCCTTTATGACATACTGTTTTCTTGGATTCTACTTGACGGGAAATAAAGTCGATGCTAAGCAGTGATCTTCAGTCATTAAATAATATTTCTGTTTTCCTGCATAATTTCCTCTTGTGTTCTTAGATAAGACTAAGCCTGTTTTTGTCATACTGTTTGCACATCTGAAAATGACAACTTGTTTGCCAGTAGTAAACTCACAGCCTGGAAAATGATAGGATCCCAAGTTTCCCCAAAAATGTGAGGTACAGTCAAGCAGGCTGGGGAAAAAAAAATACAGAGGTTATCATTATGTTTATATAAAAAATATACCACTTAGCAAAAGAAATTCTGATAAAGCAAAATTAGTGAAATAATTAGGATCAATTTCTGTACGTTCATCTACCTACTTTGCACTTGGATGGAAGTCCTAGATTGGGTCTTAAAAGGAGGGAACATTCTAGAACCCACCAACCCTTCCTGATACTGTCACAAGATTTTTTTCCCTTAATTCTTTTAAAATCAGGGCCACATTTCAACTCCCTGCCCGCTGCCATTTGATGATATTTTTGTTTCTCTTTAGGTATCGTCCTATTTTCTTTTTCTTTACCACTGACATCGGCTTATTTCATATGAATAATATATTAAATACATATGCATTTAAAATATTGTTTTGATTTGTTTGCGAATTGTTTCTCTTAAAGGGTCTATCTGGGGAAATGAGTAATTTTTCATATCCTGTTCTTGCAGGAAGAATTTTAAATCGTTTCTCCAAAGACATTGGACACTTGGATGATTTGCTGCCGCTGACGTTTTTAGATTTCATCCAGGTAACGTTGAGAGTAATGTCAGGATCTCAAATGGAAAACGGAAGTTCCTATTTTTTCAAGCCCTTTTCATGGGGTCTGGGGGTGGGACTCTCGGCCTGGCTGTGTGTAATGTTAACTTAATAAAGGGCCATGTTTGTAAAAGAAAGGTGCGGTTATAACTCAGAGGCTAAGTTGGCATGAGTAATACCTTGTGTGTGGGAGTGGCTATACAGTCGCGTCAGGGTTAGTTTGAAGCAGCTTCGTGCTTGGTAAGTGGCTCTCCGTCTGCCTCTAGGTATCTGGCGTGGATTTTGCTTTACTGTGAACACATTTCATAATACAGAAACAATCACCTCTCACGGAAAGATAGCCTAGATTAACTAAATTATGCATTGTATTACCACAAAGGGCAAATACTTAGGCACTTTTTTTTTTTTTTTGGATAGAACCAGGTGTGGTTACTTACAAAGAAAAGATTAGTAATAATAAGGTGAAAATAATACTTTATTAACAAGGACAATAGAGAGCAGTTATTGCGGATACAAAGCCTTTAAAGGCAAGGATATCTAAGCCAATTTGAGTACAGGATCAAAGTCAACTCAGAAAATGTCTTTTTTGTTTTCACACGTTGATTGCTCTAAGTCTTAAGCTGTCTTTAAAAAAAAAAAACCAACAATCCTACAGAAATACCTTCTGTAAAACTTTTCTTTTGTTTGTGAACTTGAGGCTCTAAAAAATAATATTGGGTCATCTCTCATCTCCTTATTCAGTACTGTTGCTCATGTGGTTTGGTTTTATTTTATTTTTTCCTATTGTTTAATTTTGTCTACTTGTCAGTGGTTCAAGCTGGGGCACTTTTTTTTTCCCAAGTGTTTATTTTGGAAATGCATCTATTAAAAGCTATACATATTCCAAAATCTCAGCTGCTGTTGCTAACACTTTATGAAATTTGAACCTCTGTGACTTTTTCTAAGTGCCAACTTAGAATAGTTGTAATCATTAGCTGAATTTAAAGCCATTAAATAGAAATACTACAGTTGGGGTCTGCAATTTTGGCTTGATCCTGTGATCCCCCTACCCCTGCTTTTTTCTCAATGCTCAGATGCTTTAGATCTCCTCTGGAGCCACAGTTATAAAGGAAGCAAAATTACTTAATTTGGAAAATTAGCTATGTAAGAAAAATCAGTCATAGGCTTGAAATGCTTATAGGAATTCCTGTTTGTCACACAGCAAGGCAGCAAATGAGCATGTGACTGCAAACAGTATAGCCCATGGGCGAAGGCATCCACTGTTTATGGAGGTGAAGTAAGCTGAGACTCACAGGTGGATTATTTTTACTGCAAACAAGGACCTCTGATTTTTTTTTTTCTTTTGCAAACATTTTTAAAATGTGCCCTCCTGGGTTTAGCTATATTATTTATCCCTCAGAAGCCATCACTAAAACAGTTGCCCCGTTTACATAGAATGCAGATTATTGTCTGTACACGTTTTGACAGGGATTGTTAATTACTTCAAGAAGATTTTGTGAAAGTTTCTGTTTCTTTGCAACAGGAAGCTAGGCAAAGGTTGAGTTTCCGAAGCTGGCTGGCCCACTATGTGCTTAGCAGAGTGAGCGGTCGTAATTAGTATCCCTTATGTGCTTTGTCTCACATATGGAGGGAGAGGGATGGATGCTACTTGATGTCAATATAAAACATTTCTTAGAAGCATGAGGAGGGAAAATTCTAGTCTCGTTGTACTTCTATTTAACCAGAGAGACAAGGGCGTTTGTTATTATCCACTCACATAATCTTGGTAAACTTAATGTTGTGGAATCCTACTGGCCCCAATTAGCTGATTTCTTGAATCTACAGCGAAGGTTAAATCCTAATGTTATTGTCTCCAAGAAAGGAGTTTTATCTAAAGGATAACTTAGTTATCAATTATGATAAAGATCTATTGTCACTTGTTTTGTTTGCAGGTGTCTTTAATAAGGCTTCCCATAATCCCTTCAGGAAGAAATATTTTCTCCTTTTAAAAATAGTATTAGCTAAATATAAAAGCTCTGGTCCCTGCCATTGTTGTTGATTCTTTGAGGGACATTTCCCAACATTCATTGTTTAAATGGTTGTCAGGAAGAATCAAGTGAAACGTGGTAAACAATGCAGTAACTGGTTCATCTTACTTTGTGTGCCGAGCCTTTCTCCCGGGGATTTGCATTCGATGAGTGGGCTTTTGACTGAGGTATCGCCAGGATCATTTTAAAGTATTTGGGCCTGTTGCTATATTAGGAAGTGAAAATTTTTATTAAAGCCACCCACCCAAAAAAATGCATTTAACCTGCCCTCAAATAAAGGCCAACAAAAATCTAAATGTAATTTTTTTTTTTTTTTTTTAAGTTGCCTAGGCCTCTCTGTAAGGATGAAAACAGCCCAGTGCTGTTCTGGGACTCTTAATGGAATCATGTAAACTTAAAATAAACACTATTATGGTAAGCACATAGAATGAAAACTAATTTTCCAAATCAAATACATTATATTCAATTCATTTTCCCCAATCAACCAAATGTTTAAAACCTGTTAGTTATAACAGCAATCTTCTGGAAATTAATTAGAAGCCTATTAGCTCTGCTAGCTGAGCCGAATGAAGGGGGTTGCTCGGTACATTTCTAAGTAGTCTCCTGAATTAAAGCAAAGCAAGGTCAAAATGACAGTTAGCTTTGTTCACCTCATGGCTTTGCTTAAAGTCGTTGATCTTTTAGGGGGGAAGGAGGGAGGTGTTTTGTTTTGCAAAGGAAATTTTGTCTACTTTGACTCAGTTCTGTGATACATTTTTAAAATTTATTTCTAGAGCCAGTGGGGTGAGCCATACAGGAAGCCTGATGTTATCTGTGTGGATAGTAGCCTTCTCCATTGCATGGGCATCTGAAATGGAGTTGAATTTTAGGCCTCGTCTACCGCATCAATTCTTCTACAGGGTTTATTTAGCCCCTTTCAAAATTCAGATAGTAGGAAATTTCCTGGATGACTTTGTGTTTAACATCCTTAGCAAAACATGCTTCGGACACTGGGGCCCTGGGTTTTGTGGCTGTCATCAGGTTCTATGGGTAATAAACATGCTGCTGACATCACGGGCCCTGGGTTTTGATGGCTCTCGTTAGGTTCAATAGGTAATAATCACAGTGACTAGCAGTTCCTCCTAAGCCCAGAGAAACTCACAGAAAGTGAGGCCTTCTCAACCCAGCAGCTGAGATTGACTGAAACAATTGAGTTTAAAAAAACTGGAAATTTCTTTGTCAAGATGTTACCCTTGGTGTTATCTAGCTGACTGATCGACAGGGGAACTACGTATCATCAGAACCAACTACGGATGGTATTCTTGAGCCAGAAAGAACTTTGGCAGGATGTATAGTAACAAATAGAATGAAGATTAAAATCCACAGAAAAGTTAGGTATCTTCATAAAAAGGGAGTTGAAATTCTACACTTACCAGAACATTCAGACTAAGACTGTCGAGTTGTTATTCTTACTAAAGCTGAGATTTAAAATCAAATAGCTATAGAAATAAATAATGTAGTTGCATTTATCCATGTGACTTTCTTTTTTTTTTTTTTGAGATGGTCTCACTCTGTTACCCAGGCTGGAGTGCAATGGTGCGATCTCAGCTCACTGCAACCTTTGCCCCCCAGGTTCAAACGATTTTCATGCCTCAGCCTCCTGAGTAGCTGTGATTACAGATGACCACCACCACTCTAAGCTAATTTTTGTATTTTTAGTAGAGACAGGGTTTTGCCATGTTGCTCAGGCTGGTCTCGAACTCCTAACCTCAGGTGATCCACCCACCTCGGCCTCCCAAAGTGGTGGGATTACAGGCATGAGCCACTGCACCTGGCCTCATGTGACCTTTTTAATCCAGAGCATTCATGTTTGATTACGTTTTCTGTATGATGGTGATCGTTTTATTGGTTTTGTAAGTAGGAGTCTGGAACTGTGGACCATTGGGTCAGAACTGAACTGTTTCCAATTGAGTTTGCCAAAGACTGGAGGGGTAGATCTGAGAGGAGAACCCTCTGCTTGTGGCTTGGTGTCTAGAATGTAGGCTCTGTAGAAGCAAGTCTGAAACCATGCACAGATTTTATTACTCTCCCGATGAAATCGCTGAGATAAGGAAATTCTGGTTTACATGTGACCAGATTTGCTGGCCAGATAGAGGCAATTAACCTAACTTTGATTTTTGGACTTCAATAAAATATTTGTATTTGTGAGTTTTCATTTGTTTTTATATAGTTAGATGTTGGCACTCATTGCAGATGGGAACAGTGACACTGGTAACTTAAAAGTGGGTGTCATTTGCTGTCCTGTATTAAGGGAAGAAACCCAGAGGGGCAGCGAGGGTAATGTGTCACTTTGGAACTCAGATTGGCTCAGGTGTGCAACAGTAGTGAATAAAGAAAGGTGAGGTTTTTGATTAGGCCTTTTGGAAGGAAAGCCAGAATTAAGGGAAGTTTTTGAATATATCATAAGATATAAATATATCACTGGAAATAAATAACTTATAGAATACAAATGAACAGTCTGCAAGTTACCTCAAGGTTGCCATGGGCTAATCAGATAATTTAGCCAAGGCTGGCAGTGCACATCTGGCTTATAAAGAGTTGTTCAAACATGTTTTTCTTGTCTGCTTTTTCAAAACTTGTAACAGCTTTGAACATCTACAATATTTCTAAAGCCAAGTCATTTATGAACATAGAATGGCTCTTCACAGGTTAAAAGTGAATATCTTGTTTTCATAAAGAATTGAAATACAAATAGCATAAAGATCTTCATCTGGAACTTATGTTCTTTGAATAGGAATTTGGCATTCAAAACATAGTATGTTTGCGTAAATCAACAAACAAAAACATAGAGATGATAGTCAACATTCACATTTTAAAGTGCTTGATTACTTCCTTTTTTTCTGTGGTTTTTTTTTTTTTTTTCTTTCTTTTTTTTTTTCTGAAACAGGGTCTTGCTCTGAAGCCCAGGCTGGAGTGCAGTGGCGCAGTCTCAGCTCACTGCAGCCTCCACCTCCCGGGCTCAAGCAATTCTCATACCTCAGCCTCCCGAGTAGCTGGGACTACAAGTGTGCACCACCATGGCCAGCTAAGTTTTGTATTTTTAGTAGAGATGGGGTTTCACCATTTTGCCCAGGCTGGTCTCTAATTTCTGACCCCAAGTGATCCTGCTGCCTCAGCCTCCCAAAGTGCTGGGATTACAGACATGAGGCACTGCGCTGGGCCAGAAGTGCTTGATTACTTCCTAATATCAGCACCAATGCCAGCATCATGAATCTCTTCTTCCATTTTCTTAAAACAATAATTGGATTAATAGGTACCCTACCTGTAATATTTGTATTAATAATATCTTATTAGCATTTTAATTAGAAATTTAATATTAATGATTTGGAATCAGTAGTTTTCAACAATTTTAATAGTGCAAATTTATTTGTAGTATTTGATGGGGAGATATGGTGTTTTGTGACTATATTTACAACTGGATGTATCTGGGAATATCTCAAAGTTTCTCCCAAAAGGAAAACATTTCTATTACAAATATGTGACTTGTGAAAATAATTTGTAATTCTTTTCAATATATCTCATTTTTTTTTTTTTTTTTTGAGACAGAGTCTTGCTCTATCACCCAGGCTGGAGTGCAGTGGGGCGATCTTGGCTCACTGCAACCTCCGCCTCCTGGGTTCAAGCAATTCTCCTGCCTCCGCCTCCCGAGTAGCTGAGATTACAGGCACCCACCACCACGCCTGTCTAATTTTTGTATTTTTAGTAGAGATGGGGTTTCACGATGTTGGCCAGACTGGTCTGGAACTCCTGACCTCAAGTGATCTGCCCGTCTCGGCCTCCAAAAGTGCTGGGATTACAGGCGTGCGCCATCACGCCTGGCCAATACGTGTCATTCTTATTACATGTCTTCCTTTTTATTTTTTTTTCCCACCAGCTTTTTATTGAGCTCCTACTATATGCTGAGTATGCAGAGGTGGAAAAGATAGAGGCTTTATCTTCATCCACCTGAGAAGCATTTATTGAGTATCTTGGGTGTACTAGGCCCCATGTTGGGCTTGGAGATATGGGGCTAAGTGAAATTGAATTCCCTTCTTCTATGAGTTTACTCTATTGGGAGGGACAGATAGAAAGCAGTTACCATGCTGTGTGATAAGACTTACAATAGAAGGGATACTGTAGGAGAGAATGGTTAAGGTCTCAGCACGAGACAAATTTCCAATCCTAGCTCTTTCACTTTAAGTTCAATTATGGCTTCCTCCAAGACTGGCCATGCAACACCTAATGCTGGAGTGAGGACTCAAACCCTCTTCTCACAGTGCAGCCATATGTTAGAATAAATATCTAAATAGATTTGTTTTGCTTTGCTTGCCTTTGATTTGTGGCTACAAAGGACATACAAAGAGCAAAATTCAAATTTTCTGGTCCTTAAATCTAATCTCTCTTTAACTTTTGGAAAGAAACTATGTGCATGCCAGACTGTTGGCACCTGTGTGTGTGTGTGTGTGTGTGTGTGTGTTTGCACACCTGTGGCTCACCCTCAAATGTACCCTTCTAATTCTTCATCCTTTAAGGACCAGCGAAAGTCTCTCTTTCGCATTAGTGATGCTTTTCTTTACCACTCCATTCTGTAATAAAACAATCTCTAGGTCCTGTAAAAAGAAGGGATCATATAACACCAGGCTGAGCACTGCTCTGAGCATATTTCACTTGCCCCATCTCATTTAAACTTCACTCATAGTCGTTGAGTCAATCAGTATTTCTTGGACACCTCCTGTATGCCAAGTACTTTTCCAGGATCTAGAGCATGGAGCAGTTAACTGGGTATCAGCTTCTAGGAATTGGCATTCTAGTGCAGGAGGTCGACAATAAACAGACCAATAAACATAAATAATCTAAGTTAGTATAGGTCTAGTGTGTTCAGCAAAGGAAAGTGTTTGCTAATGACTGGACCAGCATAGTCAAGGAGGAGGTGACGTTGAGTTTGAAAAATAAGGAAACAGCCGTGCAAAGAAGATATGGGGGCAGGTTGAGGGAGGGGCACATTGTATGGAGGAGGAACAGGTGCCAGGTCTCCAGAAGGGAACAAAGTGGCATTTCCTCAGGCAGAGAGATGCCAAGCATGAGCAGGGTACCTGTAGTCCCAGCTACCTGGGAGGCTGAGGCAGGAGAATCACTTGAACTTGGGTTGTAGTGAGCCAAAATTGCACCACTGCACTCCAGCCTGGACGACACACTCTGTCTCAAAATAAAATAAAAAAAAAAAAAAGAAAATAGATTTAACGGACTCACAGTTCCATGTGGCTGGGGAGGCCTCACATGGTGGAAGGTGAAGGAGGAGCAAAGGCATGTCTTACATGGCGGCAGGCAAGAGAACATGTTCAAGGGAACTGCTGTTTATAAAATCATCAGATCTCATGTGACTTATTCACTATCACGAGAATACCACGGGAAAAACCCAACCCCATGATTCAGTTACCTCCCCCTGGGTCCCTCCCACAACATGTAGGGATTATGGGAGCTACATACAGTTCAAGATGAGATTTGGGTGGGGACACAGCCAAACCATATCTATCACTAAGTCTCTAATAATAGATTATTTGTCATCTGGTGCCCACCCATCTCCCTATAGAAAGTCATATAATGCTCATTTAATATGAGCCTATGATATTTTAGATATAAACCTTTCAGAAATTGTGGTACTAGCCTTTTTTTCTTACCCCCTGTGTCTTTAGAATTAAAGGTAGACAAACTTAGTTTCCTTTCCCCAAAATTCTTTTAGACATTTTGAGTGGTCAGTAAGATTCCCAGCTGTGGAGACTACTCATTTAAATAACTTTATTCCTGGTTTTATGATAAACCTGGTCTCAAACCCAGGTACCAGAGAAACTGTGACTGTTTTTTAGATATGAGCATCTGGAAGCTCAGGAGAGAGAGGACACTAGATTTTCTTTTCTTTCTTTCTTTTTTTTGAGATGGGGTCTCGCTCTGTCGCCCAGGCTGGAGTGCAGTGGTGTGATCTCTGCTCGCTGCAAACTTTGCCTCCCAGCTTCAAACAATTCTCCCATCTCAGACTCCTCCACAGTGGCTGGGACAACAGGTGTGTACTACCACGCCTGGCTAATTTTATTTTTTGGTAGATATTTGGTAGATACAGGGTTTCACCATGTTGGCCAGACTGGTCTCGAACTCCTGACCTCAGGTGATCCACTCACCTCAGCCTCCCAAAGTGCTGGGATTACAGGAGTGAGCCACCATGCCCAGCCTATATCTTTATCTACAGTATTCTGATGCACCTTTGTTCAGGTTGTGATATATATAGCTCTGTGGTAATACTGTATAAACAAGGAAAAACAATTAACTGTGGCAAAAGCAAAGGCACATTTCTATAGTTACTGTTAAAAAATAACTTTACATTAAAACTTTGTAACAACTGGTGATTGTACATTGTACTAATATTATTCACTGGAAGTGCATTCTTTATAGAAAGTTACATAAGTATACTAAAGAGTTAAATTTAAATACTATAAACATATACAGTACACAGCATAAATATTTTTGTGAAATAAAAACACCTCATGGTTTAATTAAATGGAATGTTTCTGTCACAATTTATACTTTGAATACTCTAGTTTTGTTTTGTTTTGTTTTTTTGAGAGGAGTTTCACTCTTGTCACCGAAGCTGGAGTGCAATGGTGCCATCTCGGCTCACTGTAGCTTCTGCCTCCCTGTTCCAAGTGATTGTCCTGCCTCAGCCTCCCGGGTAGCTGGGATTACAGGTGACTGCCACTATGCCTGGCTAATTTTTTTATTTTTAGTAGAGATGGGGTTTCACCATGTTGGCCAGGCTGGTCTTGAACTCCTGACCTCAGGTGGTCCACCCATATCAGCCTCCCAATGTGCTGGGATTACAGGCATGAGCCACCACGCCCAGCCTGAATACTCTTAAAAACTGTCTGTAAAGGATCTGAACTCCCCCACAGCCCCATGTATTTGATTTTAGACAACAAAGTCTGGGTGCCTTATTTCATGTGTGAAAGAGAAATAGAATCTCAGGTCCCAGACTCCCTATGCCAAAGGGAAAGTTAAGCTTGGGAACAGAGTCACCAGTACCATCTTTCTTTTGTTCCCAAACAGCCATGATTTCACAACCCTACTATCCTGTGTCACTGCCTCATTTCCTGTACTCCCTCCTTTATCTTAATATAAAATACAGATCGACTGAGTGTGAGACAATGCACAATCCACATTTTCTTCTACTCCCTCTTTTCACATGTAAAATGTAGATATACTGGGGCTAATCAGGGTCTCACAAGAAGGTGACCATCTCACTGTCTACCCTCCCTCCCTTTTTCTTTTTTTTATTTTTTTTTCCCTTCTGCTTGCTCTTCTTTAAATACTGAAGTTTACAAAACTCCCTCTAGAAAAAAGCATCACAGATGCCCCTGCCACATTCTCATCTGTGGCTAAATAAACCTCTAATCGATTGAGACCTGCCTTAGTTACTTTTTGGTTAAAATATACGTGTGTGTGCGTATATATGTATATATATATACGCGCACATATATACGCACACACACGCACATACCCCTCAAGAAGCAATTAAACCGTTGATATGTAATCTTCCAATTAAAGTAGCTTGATGCCCATCTTAAACTGTAAATTGAGGAAAATAACATTTGTGGCTGTAATAGATGATTTATGTAGGGCTCTAGGGCAGTCGGAGTCTACATTTTAGCCAGCCTTGTAAACTTGTGTATGGAATTCATAGTTGAACCTATAGAGAGCTGAACCCCTCTAAGGTCTTTGAGCAGCTAAGTGGCAGCTCATCTTGTAATTTTAAGGTTAAACAAGGATGTGTGATGTGTGCACATGCATCTCTCTCCTTTAGAGACGTTATTCCCAGTTGATGGGCTTTACTGAAAATCAGCGAGGCCGGTAACCGGCTTACCCTGTGCACACGTGGTGGTTGTCCTCTGAGTTGTGCCTGGTTGCTTCCTGAAAAGGGTCGTTTTCAGAGTTCTCCCTGCTCTTTGCGGTCACCTGAAAAAGGTCTTTGTGGCAGTGGATGTCTCCTCTATCTTGCTGTTATCATCATCATCTGCATCAGCATCTTGGGGTTGGACAGCAGATCACTCCATTCCAAGCTATGCTGTTGGGAGGCTTCCCTTGGCTTTGGAACTCTTCACTTACCCCATTGCAATTCAGTGTCCAGCAGTGCCGAGGCCACTAGGCTTAGTCACCATACTTCTGCCTGGTGGAAACCTGATTGTGTTTCAGGTTTGGCTTTGTTGTATGAGGTTTTCTGTTTTCGGGAGAATTGTGGATGGAGTTAGTGAAACCAATAGCAGCACTAATGGAGCTTTATGCACATTTGAGTGAAACTGAAAGTTAAGGTATTAACTTCTAACTTGTCCTTGAACCTCCAGGGGTAAATGTTAAATTTATTCTTTAATTTTCTTGCTAATTAGTGCTCTAGGGAGGATGAAGAAGTGAACAACTACTCTTGTTGACTAATCCAGTGGTCCCCAACCCCTGGGCCACAGACCAGTACTAGTCTGTGTGGCCTGTTAGGAACCTGGCCACACAGCAGGAGGTGAGCGGTGGACAAGAAAACAAAGCTTGCTCCCCATCACTCACGTTACCGCCTGACCTCTGCCTCCTGTCAGATCGTCGGCGGCATTAGATTCTCATAGGAGCACGAACCCTGTGAACATTGTGAAATGTGCATGCTAGGGATCTAGCTTGCATCTACCTTATGAGAATCTAGTGCCTGATCATCTGTCATTGTCTCCCATCACCCCCAGATGGGACCATCTAGTTGCAGGAAAACAAGCTCAGGGATCCCACTGATTCTACATTATGGTAAGTTGTATAATTATTTCATTATATATTACCACATAATAATAGAAATAAAGTACACAATAAATGTAATGGGCTTGAATCATCCTGAAACTACCTCCATCGCCATCCATGGAAAAATTGTCCTCCGCGAAACCAGTCCCTGGTGCCAAAAAGGTTGAGGACTGTGTTCTAATCCACTTGTTTGTTTTCACCACCTTCTGGATTCACAGCACCCTCCACTCCACCTGTAGCACATGCCTGCCACTGGGCTGCCTCTGGCGGACCCCATTCTCTGCCCCAATCCTTGGCCTCATTATGCTTCCTCAGAGTCAGTTGTGATTCTTCCTCAACGTATTCATGCTACTTATCCTTGTTACTGTAATTTTGTGATGGCAATACTTATCATATAAACTGATGAAACAGGAATGCCACAAGAAAGATTTGTTTGACAAGTCGAAGCCTTGGGAAAGAAATCTTCACTTTAAAAAATTGTTAACAAATTATGTGTGGATGAGAATAAATGGGGTGGAGATGAGAATTGGAGGAAAATAGGATTGTGTGCTAATAGCTTCACATGTGTCTTAAAATTCATAGATGATGTATTATGTGTGTGATATATACATAAGAAAGACCATGAAAATCTCCAACATCAGACCCGGACATGTTTTTTCATGCCTGTAATCTCAGCACTTTGGGAGGCTGAGGAGGGCAGATCACTTGAGGTCAAGAGTTCCAGACTAGCCTGACCAATGTGGCGAAGCCCCATCTTTACTAAAAACCCAAAAATTAGCTGGGAGTGGTGGTGCACACCTGTAATCCCAGCTACTTGGGAGGCTGAAAGAATTGCTTGAACATGGGAGGTGGAGGTTGCAGTGAGTCAAGATCATACCACTGCACTCCAGCCTGGGCAGCAGAGAGAGACTCCATCTCAACAACAACAACAAAAAAACCCAAACCAAAAAAACCTCAAAACCAACTTTAAGGATTTTGTATTGTGTATCCCTTATTTCCATGCTGGCCAAATACAAGTTCACATCACAGCAGCAAAGGGCTTTGTCTGTTGCCCTGCTTGGGGAAGCTGGTAAGGCTTCCTGGTTATTCCTGAGCCATGTAGGGGAGAAGGAGGCACATATGGCAGGAAGTGCAGGAGTTTAGGATATCTACAGGGACACTGCAGTGTGGAATAGCTGCATCAGGAGGTTTGAGACAAGGCATTAGAGGAGATCAGATGGAGAGATGCAGAGGGGCCAGATCACAAGAAGGCTTGTTTCTTAAGCACAGGAATTTAGAGTTTAGAGATTTGGGTGGAAGGATATGGAGAGGAATGGGAGACTGTCAGAAAGATGGGGTTGTACCAGCATCAGGAAAACAAGAAAGGATACTGGTTTGGACAAGTTTCTCTTTAGGACATCCAGGTCAGAATGCCTTGTGTGGCTAATGAAAGCCCTTGCTTCTGAATAGGGGGCCCACACTGCAGGATAGTCGATCCCCTCAGGCATGTGTCATTCACAAGGCTGTGTCCCAGTAGAAGGCCAGTTAGGTTTGCACACCTCCGTGAATGCTTTACTAGATCAACTGTTAAAGCTGTCAGATATCTTGCCAATCCTGTCAAATTATAGTTGCTTGCAAAATTGGAGCTGTTCTCAATTCCAAA
The DNA here is from genome assembly GCF_000001405.40 of Homo sapiens. Taxonomy (NCBI): domain Eukaryota; kingdom Metazoa; phylum Chordata; class Mammalia; order Primates; family Hominidae; genus Homo; species Homo sapiens. The sequence goes on along the minus strand of NC_000013.11, from coordinate 95,103,412 downwards.
ATTAAAAGGAAGCCAGCATCATTTATGTGGTCTGTTTAGGGTGATTCTACCTCAGGATATCAGAGCCATGAAAATTCCCTTTGCAAGTGCTCTTGGTTCTCTAGGAAAAGCTTCAGGTTTTGTTTTTGTTTTCTGTTTTTTTGTTTTTGAGACGGAGTCTCGCTCTGTCGCCCAGGCTGGAGTGCAGTGGCGTGATCTCAGCTCACTGCAAGCACTGCCTCCCAGGTTCATGCCATTCTCCTGCCTCAGCCTCCCAAGTAGCTGGGACTACAGGTGCATGCTACCACGCCAGGCTAATTTTTGTATTTTTAGTAGAGACAGGGTTTCACCGTATTGGCCCGGCTGGTCTCGAACTCCTGACCTCGTGATCCACCCACCTCAGCCTCCCAAAGTGCTGGGATTACAGGCGTGAGCCACTGCGCCCGGCCCAGCTTCAGGTTTTAAAGGTGTGAGTGTTGAGTGTGCTACTGTGAATAAGATTAGATGTGACTGGGCCAGGTGTGGTAGTTCACACCTGTAATCCCAGCACTTTGGGAGGCCAAGGTGGGTGGATCACTTGAGGTCAGGAGTTTGAGACCAGCCTGGCCAACATGGTGAAACCCCATCTCTACTAAAAATACAAAAATTAGCTGGGCGTGGTGGCGGGCCCTTGTAATACCAGCTACTTGGGGGGCTGAGGCAGGGAGAATTGCTTGAATCCAGGAGACAGTGGTTGCAGTGAACCAAGATTGTGCCATTGCACTCCAGACAGGGCGAGACTCGATCTAAAAAAAAAAAAGGTGTGACTAGATATCACTTGTAAGTAAATAACTTCAAAGTATAATGTAGGGGCCAGGTGTGGTGGTCCATGCCTGTAATCCCAGAACTTTGGGAGGCCGAAGTGAGAGGATTGCTCAAGGTCAGGAGTTCAAAACCAGCCTGGGCGACATAGTGAGACCCCCTTCTCTATAAAAATAATAAAAGACTTTGCCAGAGATGGTGTCTTATGGTTGTAGTCCTAGCAATTTGGGAGGCCGACCTGGAAAGAACTCTTGAACCCAGGAGTTTGAGACCAGCCTGAGCATTATGGTGAGACCCTGTCTCTACAAAAAAATAAAACAATTAGCTAGGTGTAGTGGTGCGTGCCTGTAGTCCCAGCTACTCTGGAGGCTGAGTCCGGAAGATCACTTGAGCCCAGAAGTTCGAGGTTGCAGTGAACCACAGTTGTGCTACTGCACTCCAGCCTGAGCAACAGAGCCAGACCCAGACTCAAAAGAACCAAAAAATAATAATAAAAAATTTCAAGTGTAGTGTAGGATGGAATGGGAGAGGCTTGGAATCATCCTTCTTAAGTTTGACTCCTAGCTCTACCGCTTACCTTCTCTTTCCTCACAAAGCCACATGCTACGTCTCTGTAAAATGGAGAAAATTCTACCTATTCCATGAGGGTTATTGTGAGGATAAAATGAAGTCATTTCAATAACATTCTTAGCATAACATCTAAGCTCACTAAATAAAAGGTACTTTTTAAATACTACGTATATTTTTAAGTGGGAGAAATAGCCTGACAATGACATTATGCTGCATTAAGGTAATTGTCAGACAGTTACCAGACCCATAAGTATTAGGACATGAGTTTGTATTCCAGATATTAGGTTTATTATCCCTGAAGGCTTTAATGGCTATTTTCTCTTCTGGAACCACAGTATCAAAATCAGTTGTTTTCAGAATAAACCAGTGAGCACTAAATATCTCATAATAACGTAATTTTCATAATATTGCTGAAACTTCCTTGGCCCTTGATAACATTGAGTGTAGAGTCTGAGTTATCTAGACTTCTGCTAGCTAAAATCTTTGCCTCTAAGAAGTCTTCCTACTAGAAAAAAACAAATGAAAAATGAAGATAAGATGCAGAGGTTGGATTTAGGCATTTTAATTTTTTCTGTTTAAATTTGGGAGTGCTCCGAGTGTGCTAACTTGCACACAGCTGCACTCAGCAAAATACTGTAATATATTGAGGCACACGGAATTGCAAAACCTTTCTTCCCTACACACCCCTCATCTAAAAAAAAAAAAAAATCAGCAGCTTGACTGAGCTTAAATAACTGACTTTTCATATCCTTTCATGGAACACAAAGGACTAGTCCTGAGGCTACTTGAGCCACCAATGCAGGCAGCAGTGGAGACCACCACTGAATGTGCCAGTCCCTCCTCCCACAAACAAAACACATTGACTGCAGCTTTATGAAGTGAAATGCCCAAGAAAAAGAAAATGTGAAGGAGGTGTCCTCAGTCATTTCTTCCCTAGGGGGGTGGGAGGGCAGGATGAGGGGCAGGAGAAAAAGCTGCTGCATCTGGATGTGGAGAACAAAGCCATCCTAAGACTTGAGTATAATAGGTTGGGTCACTCGCTTTTATAGAAGCAAAAGAGTGGAACTGCCTTGACTTGTCTCAGTACCACTGACCCTTACATTTCATTGTGTAGAGATGTCAGGGAAAGTGTGTAGAAAGCACACTGAACAATGACTTTGTCATTTTGAGATTTCTGAGGTTTGTTCACCCCTTCCCCCAACTCCTACCCTCAAATCCCCATTGGACAAAAGAGATCGTTAGTTAGGTCGCCTTGCCGTCATTTGAAAGATCTCTGTTTTACTGAGTCTTTCAAAAGTAAACTCATCCATTTTAACTGAATCACGGCGTTCTCATGCTTTCAAAGTCAACAAAAGAGTTTTAGTCACTGCATTTACAAGGATGGACTAGTCTGTGAAAATGCCAGCCCTAGAGATAATGATTCATGCCAACTGCCACATTAAAGTGGATTTCCTTGTTAATAGACAGGGCAGTTGATGACATGAGTTACTGGAAATATTTGCCAACTCTTGACCCCTGGATTTCTGAGATCAGGATGATAGGATTCACACAGGCCCACTCTAACAATTCCTTTACCTTTTCTTTTTTAATGAAAGATGCAATGGTTGGGTTTTTTCCAGTGTGATAGCACATGTAGAAAGCAGTACTGTCACCATTAGTGTGGTGACAGTTAATCACTGGGGACCCTCCCAGGCTTCCCAGGCTGGCAACCAGTGTTCCAATTTTTCCCAGCATGTGTGTTCCAATGATAATGTTTGTAGTTTAACAAGAAGCTAATTAAGACCTAAAGAAAAAAATTAAGAGTCTCATTTTTATCAAGTCTGGTGGTATTCAGCAGAGCATAGAACTTTCCATTCTGGCATATTGGATGATGTCCATTGCAAAACAATAGTGGCCATTCGTGGTGCTTTCTCTTCTTGTCATTTTGCATCCTTAGTAATGATAAAATGGACAGCTATTACCCAGGAGAGGAAAATGGCCAAATGTTTACTTAATTGAGGACCTTTAAATTCTCTCTATGCTATTCTTGATTGATTACATTCATTTTTGTCTGTATACCTACTGAGTTTTCTTGATAAGATGAACAAAAAAAGGTTTGGACTGGAGAACTTGCCTGAGTTTTATTAAAATCTTGCAGTCACTATTTTCTATATGGATGTATCACTTCCATCTGATGTGGGGCATGGGTAAGTGTAATCTGTTCTACTTGTGAGTTTTGTGACTCACTTGTTTTCTTTCAGCCCTTTCCCTGGGTTCATTGACTTAGTGTTCTCTCTCATTTGCGTTGAGTCATGAAGCCGATAGTGCCGCTTGTGCATCGCAGCAAAGGGCCAGCCACCTATGGGACACGTATCAAACATGGATCAGGAGCCATTTTTGTTCTAGGGCACATGGGCTGGTTACCATTAGTTCTCACATTTGCCCTTTCCCACCCTCAATGCACCTGAGGAGATCATCTCTTAGCGTTATGGTTGTGTATTGATACACTGCCCAACCTCTGCCTGAACATGGCCAAAGGGATGGGAATGAAATTCTAGTGTCATATTTTTTTTACCCTATCTATTTTTATTGAGGTATAGTTTATATACAATAAAATCGACAGTTTTTTTTAGGTTGAATTTTACTAATTGTGTACATTCCAATATCCACCCTCTAAAACAAGATGTAGAGCATTTCCATCTCCTCAGGAAGTCTCCTTTGCTCCTCTGCAGTCAATTTTCACACCTCTACACCTCTTCCAGATTTCTGTCAACATCAATTAGTTTTCCTGTTCTTGAACTACGTATAAATGGAACCAATAATTTTTCTGTGGCTGGATTCTTTTGTTCACCATGTTTTTGAGTTCTGTGTATGTTTCAGTGGTTCATTTCTTTGTTTTCTTTTTCTGAGTGATATTTCATTGTATGATGACATCAACATTTATTTGTCTACTCTCTGATTGATGGGTATTTGAATTGTTGCCAGTTTTTAGCAATGAATGTTCTTATAGAAGTGTTTATGGGTACACTACATATGTTTTCATTCATCTCAGATAAAATGCATAGGAGTGGAATTGCTGGGTTCGTAAAGTTCACTTTAAAAACCAAAAATCAAACTATGACAAGGATTTTTATAATGGTTGTACTATTTTACACACCCAGTGGCAATATATGAGCATTCTAGTTGCTCCACATCCTCGCCAACATTTAGTATGATCAATCTTTTTGTTTTTATTCTTTTTAGTAGAGTATAGATGATCCATTTGCATTGCCTTGATGATTAATATTGAGCTTTTTCCATACAGGCTAATTGGCCATTCAAGTGTCTTATTTTCTGAAATACTGGTTCAGATCTCCTGCCAGCTTTTTAAAACGTGTTTTTAAAAATCTTGTTGATTTTTTAGTTTTTAATATACATAAGTGTATTTGTATATGTTTAATATTAGGCATTTGTGAATATTTCCTGTTTTGCAAATTGTGGTTTTTAATACATTTGCTTATTTCGTCTTCACTGGAGAACTTTTTGCATGAAACTGTTCATAATCTCACATTTGTCCATTTAATGTCTTTATAATCTATAGTGAAATTTCTTCTTTTATTCCCGACACTGATAATTTGTTTCTGTCAATCAGTTTAGCTTGGAGTTTATCAATTTTGATTTTTTTTCCAGTGAATTCATGTTTGATTTTGTAATTTTCTCTGTAGTTGGTAGATTTTCTATTTCATTAATTTCTTATATTTTTTAAGTTACATTGATTTAATTTATCTTTTTCTTTAGCTTTTTAAGATTGAACATTAATCTGTTGGTTTTCATTTGTTTCATAATATATGCATTTAAAGTTATACTTCCTCTAAGTATTGCTTAGCTGCATCCAATGATTTTGATATGTTGTGTTTTCATTATCTACAGTTCAGAATATTTATGAGTTGACTTTTTTTTTTTTTTTTTTAGACAGTATCTCACTCTGTCGCCCAGGCTGGAGTGCAGTGGTGCAATCTCGGCTCACTGCAACCTCCACCTCCCAGGTTCAAGCGATTCTTGTGCCTCAGCCTGTTGAATAGCTGGGATTACAGGCGCACATCACCACACCCAGCTAATTTTTGTATTTTTAGTAGAGATGGAGTTTCACCATGTTGCCCAGGTTGGTCTGAAACTCCTGGCCTCAAGTGAGCCTCCCACCTCAGCCTCTAAAAGTGCTGGGATTATAGGCGTGAGCCACTGTACCTGGCCCATGAGTTGACTTTCTGAAGTAATATTTTAGTAGTGAGTTATTATGGAGTATATAACTTCATTTCTAAAGATTTAGGGATTTTTTTTTTTTAAAAAACCTTACTGCTACTGATTTCTAATTAGCCTTGTTGTAATTCGATAACATATTCTGTAATATTTCTAACCTTTGAAATGTATTGAGACTTCTTTAATGGCCCAGTATTTACTTTACTTTGGTAACGGTCCCCTGTGCATTTGAAAAAAAAAAAAAAAAAAAAAAAAGAATGTATATTCTGTAGCTGTGGAGTATAGAGTTCTAAAAATGACAGGTCAAGTTGGCTTATAATATCTGGATCTTCAGTATCTTTACTGAATTTTTGTCCACTGTTCTGTCATTTACTAAGAGTGGGGTGTTTTTGCTTGGTATCTCTCTCTCTCTCTGTATTTACAGTCTTTGTTGTAAGCAGCATCTAATTAGGTCTGGCTTTTTAAATGCTCAGCTGAAATTCTCTGTCATTTTATGTGGAGTTTCATCCATGTACATTTAATGTAATTATAGATATGGTTGGTTTTAAGTCTACCATCTTGGTATTTGTCTTCTGTTAGTCTCATATGTTCTTTTCCTTCTTTGCAGTGAATAGAATATATGTTCTTATTTTTTCTATCACATTTTTAGCTCTACTCTTTATGTTATTGTTTTTAGTGGTTGCTCTAGAGTTTACATATCCATTTAAGTTTATTGCAATCTATTTTCAAATAATTTCCTACCAAATTTGCAAACAATAGAATAATCTTACTATTATATAATTTATTTCTGCTATTCTTTGGGCTTATGTTGTCATATTGTTTACTTCTACATATGCTATAAACTTCATGATATATTGGGTCCATTTTGCTTTAAATAACCAATGGTCTTTTAAAGAAATTTATACATATGTATGCATGTATGTGCATACATATTATAGAAAATTGTGTTTTATATTTATTCACATATTTGTCCTTTCCAGTGCTCTTTATTTCTTTCTGAAGTCTGAGCTTCCATCTGGTATCATTTTCCTTAAGCCTGAAGAACTTCCTTTCAGGCTGGTCTGCTAGAGACCTTCTCCTAGCTTTTGCCCATCTGAGCATGTCTTTATTTCAACTTTGTTTTTAATGATCTTTTCAACAGATAGAAGATTCTAGGTTGACAGTTTTCTTTTTTTTTCCTTTTTTTGGCACTGTACATATATCACATCATTGTCTTCTCCCTTCATTGTTTCTGATGAGAAACCATCATTATTATGCTTGTTGCACTATACATTATGACTCTTCATGGCTGCTTTTTAAAACAATTTCCTCTTTGAGTTTTTGCTGTTTGACTATATGTGTTTAGTATCCTTCTTGGGATTAATGAGCTTCAATATATGGGTTGGTATTTTTATTTAATTTTGGAAAATTATGAGTACTTTATGTTTTGATACACTTTTCTTTTCTTTCTCTTTTAACTCCTTAACTTCTGGGACTGAAAATGATAGTATGTTAGACTGTTTGGTGTAGCTCCAAGATCTAGGGTGTTGCATTCCAGTCTTTCAGTCTTTTTTATTTTTGTCTTTCATTTGGATAATTTGTATTGCTCTGTCTTTAGGGTCATTGATTCTTTCTCTTATCCCAATCTGCTGCCAGCCCATTGAATATGTTTTTTTTTTTCTTTCATAGAGATGGGATCTCGCTGTGTTGTCCTGGCTGGTCTCAAACTCCTAGGCTCAAGCAATCCTCCTCCCTCCTCAAGCAAACCTCAGTGCTGGGATTATAGGCATGAGCCACTGTACCTGGCTAAATGTTGTTTTTTTGATATTCAATTTTTGTTTATAGAATTTTCATTTGTTTTGCTCTTATACTTTTCATCTTTTTATGTTTATTGACCAATTAAATATCATTTGGGTAAGCACCTATTTAAGTGTCTTAACAATTTTTCTATTGAGTACTCTGGGTTTTTGTTTTGTTTTTCTTACTGATTTGTAGAATTCTTTATGTATTCTGAATTGCAGATACCTTCCTTCTGTACTAATGCTTATCTTTTTAGCCCTGTAATATTGTGTTTTCATAAACATACTTATCAATCTTTTCCTTTATGGTCATTGATTTTTGTGTTCTGTTTAAAAAAATCTGTATCTATTTCAGTGTCTTATTTATTTATTTGTTAGTTTTCCATAAGTTACTGAGGTACAGGTGGTATTTGGTTACATGACTAAGCTCTTTAGTGGTGATTTGAGAGATTTTGGTGCACCCATCACCCAAGCAGTGTACACTGCACCATATTTGTAGTGTTTTATCCCTCGCCCTCCTCCCACTCTTCCCCCTAAACCCCCAAAGTCCATTGTATCATTCTTATGCCTTTGCATCCTCATAGCTTAGCTCCCATGTATCAGTGAGAACATACAATGTTTGGTTTTCCATTCCTGAGTTACTTCACTCAGAATAATAGTCTCCAGTCTCATCCAGGTCACTGCAAATGCTGTCAGTTCATTCCTTTCTATGGTTGAGGAGTATTCCATCAGATAGATAGATAGATAGATAGATAGATAGATAGATAGATAGATAGATAGATAATCTCACAGTTTCTTTATCCACTCATTGATTGATGGGCATTTGGGTTGGTTCCATGATTTTGCAATTGTGAATCGTGCTGCTATAAACATGTGTGTGCAAGTATCTTTTCCAAATAATGATTTATTTTCCTCTGGGTAGATAGCCAGTAGTGGGATTGCTGGATCAAATGGTAGATCTACTTTTAGTTCTTTAAGGAATTTCCACACTATTTTCCATAGCGACTGTACTAGTTTACATTCCCACCAGCAGTGTAGAAGAGTTCCCTGATCACTGCATCCATGCCAACATCTACTGTTTTCTGATTTTTTTATTATGGCCATTCTTGCAGGAGTAAGGTGGTATCACATTGTGTTTTTGATTTGCATTTCCCTAGTCATTAGTGATAGTGAGCATTGTATATCTTCTTTCCAGAATTTTCTCTTCATGTCCTAAGTCCACTTTCTGATGAGATTTTTTTTTCTTACTGATTTGTTCTAATTCATTGTAGACTCTGGATATTACTCCTTTGTCAAATGTGTATAGATTGTGAAGATTTACTCCCACTCTGTGTGTTGTCTCTTCACTCTGCTGAATGTGCCTTTTGCGGTGCAAAAGCTCCTTAGTTTAATTAAGTCCCTACTATTTATCTTTGTTTTTATTGCATTTGCTTTTGGGTTCTTAGTCATGAAATCCTTGCCTAAACCAATGTCTAGAAGGGTTTTTCCAATGTTATCTTCTAGAATTTTTATAGTTTCCAGGTCTTAGATTTAAGTCTCTGATCCATCTTGAGTTGATTTTTGTATAAGGTCAGAGATAAGGATCCAGTTTCATTCTCCTACATGTGGCTAGCCAGTTATCCCAGCACCATTTGTTGAAAAGGGTGTCCTTTCCCCACTTTATGATTTTGTTTGCTTTGTCAAATATCAGTTGGCGGTTAAGTATTTGGGTTCTCTATTCTGTTCCATTGGTCTGTGTGCCTATTTTTATACCAGTACCATGCTGTTTTGGTGACTATGGCCTTATAGTACAGTTTGAAATCAAGTAGTGTGATGCCTCCAGATTTGTTCTGTTTGATTAGTCTTGCTTTGGCTCTGCGGGCTCTTTTTTGGTTCCATGTGAATTTTAGAATTTTTTTTTTTAATTCTGTGCAGAATGATGGTGGTATTTTGATGGGAATTGCATTGAATTTGTAGATTGCTTTTGGCAGTATGGTCATTTTCACAATATTGATTCTATCCATCCATGAGCATGAGATGTATTTCCATTTATTTGTGTTGTCTATGATTTCTTCCAGCAGTGTTTTGTAGTTTTCCTTGTAGAGGTCTTTTGATTCCTTGGTTAGGTATATTCCTAAGTATTTTATTTTATTTTAATTTTTGCAGCTATTGTAAAAGGGGTTTAGTTCTTGATTTGATTCTCTACTTGGTTCCTGTTGGCGTATAGAAGAGCTACTGATTTGTGTACATTAATCTTATATCTGGAAACTTTGCTCAATTATTTTATCAGTTCTAGGAGCTTTCTGGAGGAGTCTTTAGGCTTTCCAAGGTAAACGACAGTTTGACTTCCTCTTTACCAATTTGGATGCCCTTTATTTCTTTCTTTTGTCTGATTGATCTGGCCAGGACTTCCAGTACTATGTTGAAGAGGAGTGGTAAGAGTGGGCATCCTTGTCTTGTTCCAGTTCTCCGAGGAAATGCTTTCAACTTTTCCCCATTCAGTATCATGTTGGCTGTGGGTTTGTCATAGATGGCTTTTATTACATTGAGGTATGTCTCTTGTATGCCGATTTTGCTGAGAGTTTTAATCTTAAAGGGATGCTGGATTTTGTCGAATGCTTTTTCTGCATCTATTGAGATGATTATGTGATTTTTTGGTTTTAATTTTGTTTATGTGGTGTATCACATTTATTGACTTGCATATGTTAAACCATCTCTACATCCCTGGTATGAAACCCACTTGATCATGGTGGCTTATCTTTTTGATATGTTGTTGGATTCAGTTAACAAGTATTTTGTTAAGGATTTTAGCATCTATGTTCATCAAGGATATCGGTTTGCAGTGTTCTTTTTGGTTATGTCCTTTCCTCGTTTTGGTATTATGGTGATGCTGGCTTTATAGAATGAATTAGGGAGGGTTCCTTCTTTCTCTGTCTTATGGAATAGTGTCCAAAGGATTGGTACCAATTCTTCTTTGAATGTCTGGTAAAATTCTGCTGTGAATCTGTCTGGTCTTGGACTTTTTTTTGTTGGTAATTTTTAAATTACCATTTCAGTCTTGCTGCTTGTTATTGGTCTGTTCAGGGTATCTAATTCTTCCTGATTTAAGCTAGGAGGGTTGTATTTTTCCAGGAATTTATCCATCTCTTCTAGGTTTTCTAGTTTATGTGTGTAAAGATGTTCATAGTAGCCTTGAATGATCTTTTGTATTTCAGTGGTGTCAGTTAATTTTTCTCTCTTCTTTTCTTGGTTAATCTTGCTAATGGCCTATCAATTTTATTTACCTTTTCAAAAAACCAGCTTTTTGTTTTATTTATCTTTTGTGTTTTGTTGTTGTTGTTTCATTTCATTTAGTTCTGCTCTGATCTTAGTTATTTCCTTTCTTCTGCTGGGTTTGGGTTTGGTTTGTTCTTGTTTCTCTAGTTCCTTGAGGTGTGACCTTGGAATGTCAGTTTGTGCTCTTTCAGCTTTTTCAATGCAGGTGTTTAAGGCTATGAACTTTCCTCTTAGTACTGCCTTTGCTGTATCCCAGAGGTTTTGATAGGTTGTGTCATTATTGTCATTCAGTTTGAAATATTTTTTAATTTCCATCTTGATTTCATTTTTGACCCAATGCTCATTCAGGAGCAGATTATTTAATTTCCATGTATTTGCATGGTTTTGAAGATTCCTTTTGGAGTTGAATCATATGGTCTATCTTGGAAAAAGTTCCATGCACTGTCGAATAGAATGTGTATTCTGCAGTTGTTGGATGAAATGTTCTATTTATGTATGTTAAGTCCATTTGTTCCAAGGTATAGTTTAAATCCATTGTTTCTTTGTTGACTTTTTGTCTTAATGATCTGTCTAGTGCTGTCAGTGAAGTATTGAAGTCCCCCACTGTTATTGTGTTGCTGTCTCTCTTATTTCTTAATTCTATTAGTAATTGTTTTATAAATTTGAGAGCTGTAGTGTTGGGTGCATATATGTTTAGGACTGTGATATTTTCCTTTTGGACAAGGCCTTTTACTGTTAGATAATGTCCCTCTTTGTCTCTTTTAACTGCTGTTGCTTTAAAGTTTGTTTTGTCTGATATAAGAATAGCTGCCCCTGCTGTGTTTCATGTCGATTTGCATGAAATCCTTTTTCCACCCCTTTAAGTTTCTGTGAGTGCTTATGTGTTAGGTGAGTCTCCAGAAGGCAGCAGATTGGTTGGTGAGTTTTTATCCATTCTGCACTTCTGTATCTTTTAAGTGGAGCATTTAGGCAATTTACATTCAATATTAGTGTTGAGATGTGAGGTACTGTTGTATTCATCGCGCTGTTTGTTGTCTGTGTACTTTGTGTTTTTTTTGTTTGTTTTTGCTTTTTAACTTGTATTTTTGTTTTATAGGTCCTGTATGATTTATGCTTTAAAGAGTTTCTGTTTTGATGCGTTTCCAGGATTTGTTTCAAGATTTAGAGCTCCTTTTAGCAGTTTCTTACAGTGGTGGTTTGGTAGTAGTGAATTCTCTTAGCATTTGTTTGTTTGAAAAAAACTGTATCTTTCTTTCATATGTGGAGCATAGTTTCACTGGATGCAAAATTCTTGGCTGATCATTGTTTTGTTTGAGGAGGCTGAAGATAGGGCCCCAATCCCTTCTAGCTTATAGGGTTTCTGCTGAGAAATCTGCTGTTAATCTGATAGGTTTTCCTTTATAGGTTACCTGGTGCTTCTGTCTCACAGCTCTTAAGATTCTTTCTTTGGTCTTACCTTTGGGTAACCTGATGACAGTGCACCTAGGTGATGATTTTTTTCAATGAATTTCCCAGGTGTTCTTTGTGCTTCTTGTATTTGGATGTCTAGGTCTCTAGCAAGGCTGAAGAAGTTTTCCTCGATTATTTGCCCAAATATGTTTTCCAAGCTTTTAGAATTCTCTTCTTCCTCAGGAACACTGATTATTCTTAGGCTTGGTCGTTTAACATAATCCCAGACTTCTTGGAGGTTTTGTTCATATTTTCTTATTCTTTTTCCATTTGTATTTGTTGGATTGGGTTAATTAGAAGACCTTGTCTTTGAGTTCTTTCTTCTACTACTTGTTTCTTCTTCTTTCTTCTACTTATTCAGTTCTATTGCTGAGACTTTCCAGAGCATTTTGCATTTCTGTAAGTGTGTCCAATGTCTCTCGAATTTTTGATTTTTTTTAAGCTATCTGTTTCTTTGACTATTTCTCCCTTTATGTCTTGTATTATTTGTTGGATTTCCTTGCATTGTGCTTTGCCTTTCTCTGGTGCCCCCCTGATTAGCTTAATAACTAACCTCCTAAATTCTTTTTCAGGTAAATCAGGGATTTCTTCTCAGTTTGGATCCATTGCTGGTGAACTAGTGTGATTTTGTGAGGCTGGTAAAGAGCCTTATTTTGTCACATTATCAGAGTGGGTTTTCTAGTTCCTTTTCTCATTTGGGTAGGCTCTGTCAGAGGGAAGGTCTTGAGCTGAAGGCTGTTGTTCAGATTCTTTTGTCCCACAGGGTGTTCCCTTGATATAGTACTCTCTCCCTTTTGGTGTGGATACGGCTTCCTGTGAGCCGAACCGCGGTGATTATTGTCTCTCTTCTGGGTCTAGCCACCCAGTGAGTCTGCCTGGTTCCCGGTTGGCACTGGCGGTTGTCTGCAGAGAGTCCTGTGATGTGAACCTCACAGAGATCTCTTTGGGTCTCTCAGCCATGGATACCAGCACCTGTTCCGGTGGAGGTGGTCGGGGGGTGCAATGGACCCTGTGACGGTTCTTAGCTTTGGTTTAATGCTCTATTTTTGTACTGGTTGGCCTCCTGTTGGAAGGTGGCACTTTGCAGAGAGCATTAGCTGTGGTAGCATGAAGAGGAACTAGCAGTGCACAGGACCCTAGGACTCCCTGGATTATATGCCCTTTGTCTTCCACTACCACAGTGCGTAGGGAAGGACCATCAGGTGGGGGCAGGGCTAGGCATGTCTGAGCTCAGACTCTCCTTGGGTGGGTCTTGCTGCAGAGTATTTGGGGTGTCTCCTAGGTCCTGCAGTAGCAGTCCACTTCCTTCAAAGGGTCTGTGGCTCCTCTTGGGATTGCTGGTTTGTTCTTGAAGTCGATCCAGAGCTAAAGTTCACATGCAAGCCTCTGCACACTGCTCTGTTAGTCCGAGTCAGAGCTGCAATCTAGTCCTGCCTCTCGTCTGCCATGATCCCACCTCTTGGGATTGGCTTCTTTTTTTTTTTCTTTTTTTGACAGAGTCTCACTGTCACCTAGGCTGGAGTGCAGTGGCATGATTTCGGCTCACTGCAACTTTCATCTCCTGGGTTCAAGCCCTGGTGTTTTCTTGCCACTATTTATATGATCATGTGGTTCTTCCTGTTTCGTTAACCTGATAAATAGCATTGATTGATTAATTGTCAGATCTTAAATCAGGCTTGTATTACTGGTGTAAACAGTTTATAAAGTATAATTATTTTTTATGTTCTTAGATTCAGTGTATTTAGTATGTTATTTAGTGTTCTTTTTTGTTGTTGTTTGCTTTTTCACCCAAGCTGGAGTGCAGTGGCGTGATCTCAGCTTCCGGTTGCAAGTGTTTCTCCTGCCTCAGCCTCCCAAGTAGCTGGGATTACAGGTGCCCGTGACCACGCCTAGCTAAATTTTGTATTTTTAGTAGAGACGGGGTTTCACCATGTTGGCCAGGCTGGTCTCAAACTCCTGACCTTGTGATCCGCCCTCCTTGGCCTCCCAAAGTGCTGGGATTACAGGTGTGAGTCACCGGGCCCGGACTTAGTGTTCTTAACACAGTTTGGTTTATAATTTTCCTTTCTTTGGTTTTTATATCAGGATAATGCTGGATTCCAATTCTCTAGAAGAATTTGATAAAACTTCTGCAAAATCATCTTGTGACCCATCTTTGTTTTTTCTATGGGAAATTTTTGTGTCATGAATTCATATTCTTAAATTCAATAATAGAATTATTCAGATTTAGGTTTTTTATTATGTCAGTCTTTGCCCATCATTTTTCCAGAAATTTGCCTTTTGCATCAAAATTTTTAATTTATTGGAACGGTGTTTATTATATATTCTTTTTAATGCCTGTAGTATCTCTTCTGTTATTCCCTGTTAATTCATGATAATGATAATTTTCCTCTCTTTTTTTCTTGATTAGTCTTTTTGAAGTTTATTGATTTCATCAGTTTTTTTATATAATGAGGCTTTGGGTTTGTTGATTTTTCTCCTTCAAATTAGTTTTCTATTTAATCATTTTCTCCTTTTTTCTAATTTCCATTTTTCTCAGATTTTAATTTAATATGCTACTCATTTTTCTATCTTTGTAAGGTATATTTTTAGATCCTTTACTTTTAACCTGTCTTTAAAAAAAAGTTTGAAGGAATAATTTTACTTGTAAACAGCATTAGTTGCAGTCCTGAAATTTTAATATTATTAGGTTTTCATTTTCTTTTATTTGAAAAGTTTCTAATTTTATTGTAATTTATTTGAAACAGGTGTTATATAGAAATATATTGCTGAATTCCTAACATTTCTAGTTACATTTCTAATTACATTGATTTCATGTTAAATCCACTTATGTCAGAATATATTCTGTATAATATCTGTCTCTTGAAGTTTGATGATACTTGCTTTATGGCATAATAAAGATGCACTTGAAAAGTGTGTTTATGCAGTTATTGGCTATAGTATTGTAGCCTTTAGGTCATCATTAAGTCAAGTTTATTAATCATGTTTTCAAATTTTCTCTGTCGATTTTTATGTGCTTGTTATATCAGTTATTAAGATAAGTGGGTTAAAACTTATCTTTTATTTCCACTTTTATATGCCTTTTCTAAGATGTGTATTTTTAAGGTAGCATATAGACGGACTTCAGCCTTGAATTTCATAATAAACATTAACATGGAAAAAATGTACAAAGGAAACCATCTGTCAGTGAGATATGCTGACCACAAAGGAAGGGAGAGGTGCACCACATTGCTCTAATGCCTTACACCATTCACTCTTCATTGGAGTTAGCTGGGACTCAGGATTAAGCACTAACCGAAGTCCAACACAGGTACCAGCGCTGGATGTCAAAAGATCAGATTAGCATATGAGGGATGAAAGGAGTGATTAATGTATCCCAAGGGAAGGACAAGTTTAGAAAAGCTTAGAGAATGTTTGTTTAGATCTTGTCATACACAGAAGACATACCAACACTCCATAAAGTTCTGATTTAAAGGCATTCACTGGGTTGGATGAGGTAACAAAAAAAACAGATGTAAAGTAGAGATCTCCCCAGGTGGGACCTGGGAACCAGAGTTGACCTCTGAACTCCCTGAGGCAGGTGAGATGCTACAGTAGCACATAATTTACATCTGCTGACTTAGTGCTGATGCTGTCAGTATTTGGGCTTAGGAGCTTACATTTAAGTGTCTTCCATATTGTCCCTTTTGCTTCTATTCATCCTGTAATTGAAGGTAATGATAATGATTTGACAGAATTACATTTTTATTTCTTAATATTCCTGTCGGTTTGTATACCCTGTTCATAATTTTAGTGGCTCCAGAAGAAATCCTGTATTAGCCAGGAGCACAACCTGTTATGTTAGTCATTTCATTGAGAAGTAGGTTTTATTTTTTTTTGAGACAGAGTCTTGCTCTGTCACCCAGTCTGGAGTGCAGTGGCATGATCTCGGCTCACTGCAAGCCTCAGCCTCCCAAGTAGCTGGGATTGCAGGCATGCACCACCACGCCCAGCTAAGTTTTTGTGTTTTTAGTAGAGACGGGGTTTCGCCATGTTGCCCAGGCTGGTGTTGAGCTCAGGCAATCTGCCTGCCTTGACCTCCCAAAGTGTTAGGATTATAGGCGTGAGCCACCGCACCCTGCCAGTTTTTTGTTTGTTTGTTGTTTGTTTGTTTTTTGTTTTAGTCTCATGTGTTCCCAAAATAAATAAGTAGAAGAATTTCTTCTGCCACCCTATCAGTAAACACCTTACTGATCAAAAACTAGTGGGCAATTTTTTTCTCTCTAAATCAGAAGAAAATCTTGCCATAGTCTCTCACCAAGAAGTGAACCCTGCTTTGTTTATTACACCTAAGATTTGTCTTCTGCGAAGTCAGTAATCGTTTAAAGCAATCTGGATGATTTGTACTTATCACAGCTTAGAACACAATTCTTCAGTGGCTTACAGCAGAATTAAAAGCTTTCCACTTTCTGTGAGGTGTTAGCAACCTTAATGATCCTGATTTTATGTTTTAATACCATAAACAAATCATGAAAATACCATCTACTGATTAAGTGACCTCATGATTAAATACATATTTCATCTTGTACCTAATAGAAGGTTGACAGAGAGAGGGAGAGTTCAAATGAGGAATAGAATGAGCCAGAAGGATGGATGGCATTTTTATTTGCAGAAAATAGGAATACATTTTTACTGCTGTTTATAGAAAACATGTTCGTTGGCACAAGCTTCACAAAGACTAGCAGGAACAGAATCCCACAAAATGAAGTTTAAAGTAAATAGTGGATAGATACCTAAAAATTTCTCCAGGACTCAAAGCAGTTTGGTGGTTAAATGCCAAACAGGCATTGTAGTTAAAATTATGCTTGTTAAAAGAATATGTTCCATTCTGTAATGTTCGGATACAAAATTAATTCTAGAAGAGTCTGCCGGGGGAAATTTTATATTTTTCACTACCATTCAAATATAGATATTGAATATGAAATGTATTCAACCTTCATTTTGTGTCCTGAGGTTTTATATATTTATTAAAATGTGGTTCTTCTTTTTTTCTTAAGTCATTTTGTTTTCTGGGTCTAGAACTCATCTTTTTGTAAGACTTTTAGATGTAAACAATAATTCTTAAATCAATATGTGTTGCCATGTTCTATTAGCAAATATTTTAAGACTTTTTAAAGATCAGCTCTTCTTTTTGAGCTGAGAAGTCTGTTATTTCCTAATTAGCTGGGAGCTGGGATTGGTCACCTCACTGAGAGACCAGATATAACCACACACACACACACACACACACACACACACAATAACCTTAAAAACTAGAGAATTCAGAAAACAAAAATATAAAAAATACAGATATATTTCGGTATTAAATGCTTTAAAAATATGAATCGTGTGTAGGATATAGTATCTTGCAGTGATTAAGAGAACAGGTGTAAGGTCAGTATGACTGAATTTTCTGTCTTTGAGGAAGTTACTGAACCTCTCTGAGACTCAGTTTCCTCCTGTGTAAATGGAGATGATAATCCCTCCTATTTAGATATGAGAGTGAAGTTAGATAATGGATGCGAAATACATATGTACTAAGGTTTGGATATAAGCAAGGCTTATGACATGTTGCCTCTTCTTGGTTTTTGGGAGGGCAGGGCAATTGTACCTTTCTTTGGCTGTCAGCTAGGTACAGAAAATTGTGGGTGGCCTAGTAGGCCAGATGCTGGGCTGGTGGGTCAAGATGCAGGTGGTGGTGCTGAGAAGACACACACAGAACTGCCTGTGTTCCCGCAGCAAGCAAACTGTGATTGCGACCCGCAAGTGATTATTTATGCTGTACTTTCTGGTTGTCTGTTAAACCTGCCTGTGAAAATCAGTTGTAAGTCTTCCTTAGAAACCTCTACAAAGTGTGCATGTATTCCTCCTTATATTTCTTTTTGTTTGTTTGTTTGTTTTGTTTTTTGAGATGTAGTCTCACTTTCTCGTCCAGGCTGGAGTGCAGTGGCACCATCTCGGATCACTGCAACCTCCAGCTCCCAGGTTCAGGCAGTTGTCCTCCCTCAGCCTCTCGAGTAGCTGGGGTTACAAATATGCGGCACCACACCCGGCTATTTTTTTTTTTTCTCAGTAGAGATAGGGTTTCACCACGTTGGCCAGGCTGGTCTCCAACTCCTGACCTCAGGTGATCCACCCGCCTCTGCCTCCCAAAGTGCTGGGATTACAGGTGTGAGCCACCACAACTGGCCTCTCCTTATATTTCTATAGCACTCTGTACTTTCTGCTGAAGTCATGTACTTTTATGTAAGACAGTGAACTTTGGAGGCCTCAGAGCATGTATAACGTGAATCTGCACGTCCCCCACTGTTCTATCCTTCTCAAGAAGCAAGCGTTGTGGTTTCAGAGTAGGTAGGGACTAACTTGAGTTGCACTCATATTTCCCGAAGCCATAGACCGTGATATCACATGTTTCCTAATAAAGATGAATACTGAAATGAGCATCATCCAGTGTCTTGGGTTTTTATGCTTCTTGCTTTTGTTTTTATATTTCACCTTTTAGACCAAGGTAATTTCCAAAGATAATGTCACCTTGCTGGGTGAGGTGATGGGTAAGTGAACATTCACAGACCCGTTAGCACAGTGCCTTGCACGTGCTCATACATGTCATTTGCTATTGTTATCATGTGCCTCTGAAATAGACGTTTGAAATACTCTCCTAATCGTGGAAAATTTAATGCATATCCAAGTGTTAAAGCTAAAAAAAAAACCCTGTTAGACATTTTGACTTGTTTTCTTGTTATCAAACCTCTTCCTCAGTGCTACTAAATGTAAGAGAAATAGAAGACAAAAATTTCTGACAATATAAAATTCAATATATTGTAATAAAAAGAAAAAAGTCTCAGGTCTTTTAAAACATGTAAAATTTAATTACATTTCTCTTATCTATTCTTTATTGGGCATGTTAATGAACTCTAATTTCTTATGTAAGTGTGTTTAGGGGAAAAATTAGAGAAAAATTCAGGGATTTTATCCTGACCAATAAAAAGCTAGCCGTATGCTGGGGACAAGCTAAAATGTAGTGGCTGACAATGCATGCTCCTCAGCTCTGTGACTGGTGCTGTGTGTTCTTGATCAAGTTACTTTTTTCTCCCTGTGCCTCAGTGTCTCCATCTGTAAAATGGTGTAGTAATACTACTTCATAGGGATATTGTGAGATTTAAGTGAGTTGATACATGTGTATTTAATATACAGCCAGATATACAATCAGCATTCAGTAAATGTTAGCAAAGGATAGATACCAAGAGAGATGACTCCCCACTTCCAAAGGTGAAGATTTAAATTATTTCCTTTTTTTCTGAGCACTGAATTTGCAATTAGTCACTTCCTTATCCCGTGCATAGCTGAGGCTTCTGGGTTCCTTGTCTATGATGCCTGCTTGCTCATTTCCCGCATAACATCAACTGACTCATGATAGTTTGGGATTCAAGTCCTACTCTAAATCTCAGTTTTCTCATCCATTAAATAGGGAAAGTAATAATGCCTGACTCATGAGGCTGGTGAGTGTTTCAAAAGAACTAATGGGGGCCTGGTGTGGTGGCTCACGCTCATAATTCCAGCACTTTGGGAGGCAGAGGTGGGCAGATCACTTGAGATCGGGAGTTCGAGACCAGCCTGGCCAATATGGTGAAACACCATCTCTACTAAAAATACAAAAATTAGGCATGGTGACATGCACCTGTAGTCCCAGCTACTCAGGAAACTGAGGCAGGAGAATCACTTGAACACGGGAGTGGGAGGCTGCAGTGAGAGGAGATGGCACCACTTCACTCCAGCCTGGGTGACAGAGCAAGACTCCATCTCAAAAAAAAAAAAAAGAAAAAGGAAAAAAAAACCTAATGGATAAGTTTATATCATAGTGTTTGGCACATGGCAGGCATGTAATAGATATCATCAGGACCACCTATACTTTTGTTATTCCTTTGTATGGAAAAGCAGTCCCTGGTACTACAATAAGTCTTTCAGAGAAAGGAGTGTAATCCTAACAACAACTCATGCAAGTATTTTTGAAAAGAATACTTGATAAGGAAAACCTGCATCTACTTCTGCTATTTCAGACATTGCTACAAGTGGTTGGTGTGGTCTCTGTGGCTGTGGCCGTGATTCCTTGGATCGCAATACCCTTGGTTCCCCTTGGAATCATTTTCATTTTTCTTCGGCGATATTTTTTGGAAACGTCAAGAGATGTGAAGCGCCTGGAATCTACAAGTGAGTATGGAAACTCGGGTTGGTATAGACATGCTAGCTAGTTTCCATTTATGCCATAAATTACAGAGACCCCCTGAAATTCGGCAGACTCTGTCTTCCAGAATTTCTCTAACATTAGGTAATTGAACGTATTGGCCATTATGAATCATTGTGTCCCTTAGAGCATGTGGAATTGATAGCCTGCAACGTGCAACTTTGCATTTGGAATAAGGAAGGAGTGAAGGCCATATGGGGAGTAATATTCTACAGGAATGTCAGCACTGTGAAGACAGGGACTCTCCGTGTCTTGTTTATGACATACTTTCTTACACAAAGCCGGCACTTAATTAAACATTTTTCTTAGAAATAAAATATTTGATCATGGTGAAACTAATATAGAAGGAAAATAATTAGGGTATTTTAGTATCTTTCCCCGAAGATACTAAAAATGACAAGGAAATGAGAAGGATGGAGAAAGGAAAAGAGGTGTCAGAAGCAATGTATTTGGTAAATTTATGACTTTTGCAAACTCACAAAATGGCTAGGAAGTTGCAGTTTTAAACGTTTTGAAAAGATAAGCATTGTTATTTTCAGTTTTCCATTTGTTACCAGCGGTGCTTGTTCTAATGTCACAGTTTGAGGTTTTTCCCCCTCAGGCTGTTTATATATATATGGACACTGAAAATAATCCCCTTAGATCACAAGGAGATATATCAGTTTAGAAAACATATAGTCTGTTGCTCTCTTCAATTTCCTAGTTTTGGAATCATGAGGAAGACATTTTATGATTAATCACTCTATTCCACATGTAATCGCAGAGATGAAATAATCCAGAGTTCATCTCATTATGCATGCACAAATTAACATATTTCATCATTGTTAAACACAAACTCATAAGGAGAGTAGAATTGCTTTACTTTTTAATAAAAGGTATAAGGATAATAGCCAAAAAATAAAGAAGGAAGATATTTGTATCAGAAAAGCTGAATGCCAACTCAGCTCTCTGGAAGCCACGCCTAGAAGAGAAGCATTGAGTCCCATCATTTTCAGTATCTTCTACTGAGTGGTAAATAGAAGTTTATTAGGACAAAGCAGTTTTTGGTTGTGACATATATATGTTTCTCTTTTAACAATGAACATTTATTTATTTATTTATTTATTTTGAGATGGAGTCTTGCTGTCACCCAGGCTGGAGTGCAGTGGCGCAATCTCAGCTTACTGCAGCCTCCACCTCCTGGGTTCAAGTGATTCTCATGCCTCAGCCTCCCAAGTAGCTGGGATTACAAGTGTGCACCACCACACCTCACTATTTTCATATTATTAGTAGAGATGGGGTTTCACCATGTTGGCCAGGCTGGTCTTGAACTCCTGACCTCAAGTGACCCACCTGCCTCAGCCTCCCAAAGTGCTGGAACTACAGGTGTGTACTGCTGCACCTGGCCAACAGTGAACTCTAAGAGGCATTTATCCTAAGTGTCTGCATGAAGTAGAAGGGGTGACAGTCCATAAAAGTTGTAGAAAAACTTTTCAGTCATCAAGAAAACCAGCTAAGCTACCATGAGGTCTAGTCTTGTAAGGTTTTCAGTGGGCAGGCCGAGCAGTGGAGTCCACATGTGAGTAACACTTGGCCAATAGGACTTGCTAGGGAAGGTAGAGTATAATTGCTGGGAGACCTTCCTTGTGCAGATGACTGGCCCTAGCCAGTGTTGTGTGTGGACAGCAAGGCTGTGCAGGCATTTTATGGTTTGGGCCCGCTCATGAAATGAAGTTATTCGAGAGTCTTGTTTTAAGGGAGTCTGTGGTATGTTGAAGGAAGCAGCCGTTCCAGAAGGAACATCTTGACGTAGACTGTCTGTGTCAACAGCCACATCCGATCCATGTGGATGTGGAGAAAAGGGGGACTTAGGAAGGCTTTTTGGGAAGCAGTGTAGGATTTTCTCTCTTGAATTTCAGCATGTACCTTAAAGCTTGAAAACATTTTCATGTGGAGATTCTGACAACCTTATCATGGCCCCTGAGGCATATTTGGGTGTTCCTGTACCCTGATTGGCTGTAACAATGAGTTAAATATGCAGGATTCTTTCTCCATGCGCTCAGATCACCAACCACGGGGGCTGGTTGGTTGGAACTATTTACTGTTATTCGTCCAGGGTGGTGGGTCTCTGCCATAAGTCACAATTCCACTGTTTCTTCTCAGCAGCAGTGGATCGTGGTTTTTGAGACCACTGCTGGAGTCACCAGCTGAAAGCAGGATGCCTGACTGCCGTGGCAGGGAGGCATAATCCAGCTTCATCCTTGTGCCCTCAAGGATTTCCAAAGCCTCTGTTGGACTGCCTCACTGCCCCTGGAGTCATAGCCGGCATTTAATGAATCTTAATAACAAATCTGGGCCGGGCGCATTGGCTCACACCTGTAATCCTGGCACTTTGGGAGGCCGAGGTGGGTGGATCACTTGAGGTCGAGAGTTCGAGACCAGCCTGACCAACATGGAGAAACCCCATCTCTGCTAAAAATACAAAATTAGCTGGGCGTGATGGTGCATGCCTGTAATCCCAGCTACTTGGGAGGCTGAGACATGAGAATCTCTTGAACCCAGGAGGTGGAGGTTGCAGTGAGCTGAGATTGTGCCATTGCACTTGGCAGGCTGAGGCAGGAGAATCACTTGAACCCAGGAGGCAGAGGTTGAGGTGAGCCGAGATTGCACCATTGCACTCCAGCCTGGGCAACAAGAGTGAAACTGAAAAAACAAAACAAAACAAAACAAAACAAAAAACAAAAACAAATCTGCAGTTGATCATTTTATGTTTGCAAGAGTCACCACATCAACAGTCAGTCATAGAGAAGTACATAAAAACCGGAATGGCATTTGGCTGCATTTCTCTAGCCACCTCCACTCATTTGGCAATGCCTGAAATGTGAAGCCGTATCCAATTTCTGTTTGTAAAGATATTGTGATCCACTAGCAATGTCTGCCATGAGTGTGAACCCATGTGTCCCATGTTCGTTCATCCTAGATTCCCAGGGACTTTGTTCAATGCAAGGTGGTTAATAAGCGGCACAGGAATAGGGAAGGCTGTTGGATATTAGCTAAGTAAGATTAGGGGATTTTTAAAGCGTGGGCTACAAAGTCTGGAGAAAAATGCCCTCAGGATGCATGAGAACCTTTAACTCTGATTATTCTCTCTCTCTGATACTGTGGCTCAGATTAAAAGCACAGCCTTGGAAATAAAACAGATATGAGTCCATGCCCAAGTCTACCACTTGCATGGCTTACTTTACTTAACCTTGGGCAGTGTTTTTTTTGTTTTCTTGTTTTTGTTTTTTTGAGACATAGTCTCACTCTGTTGCCCAGGCTAGAGTGCAGTGGCCGTGATCTTGGGTCACTGCAACTTCCACCTCCCGAGTTCAAGAAATTCTCCTGTCTCAGCTTCCTGAATAGCTAGGACTGCAGGCACCCGCCACCACACCTGGCTAATTTTTGTATTTTTAGTAGAGACAGGGATTCACCATATTGATCAGGCTGGTCTCGAACTCCTGACCTCAGATGATCCACCCGCCTCAGCCTCCCAAAGTGCTGGGATTACAGGCGTGAGCCATCGCACCCAGCTTTGGGCAGTGTTCTTAATGCCTCAAGTCTGTTTTTCCCTCTGTCAAGGATATAATACTTATGAGGGTTGCCTGAGACTGCTTGGAAACCTTGAACATACGGGAACTACCAGAGGCACTATAGCCTTGAGAATTAAAACCGTAATAACCCTGAGAGGTCCTACACAGCGTCAGTACCCCGCAGCAAGACTGGTAGACCAGATCTTTGCATGCAGTTCCTTTTCATGTTCTTTTCAGAGAAGACAGAAAATCTCTGTAGAGTGTATCCTAAAGAGTTCTCTGTGTTGTGGAAAACACAGCTATTGATCTTGTCAAATGGCAGGTTGTGTCAGCTGGAAACTGCTGACTAGTACGTTAGAGCTGAGGCTTGACATACGCTCTCCCTCGGTACTAGTTAGTTGTCTTTGCAGACCTCCCAGCTCACCCTCACTGGCAGCCCTCTCAGCCCTAAGTGGGGTGTGAAAGAGAAAGGACTATCTTTTCAAAGGTTACAAATTCCTGCTATACCTTGGTAATTTGGTGTGAATTAAAGTGTGTAGCTTGATCTTCATGATATTCCCGGGTGTTCCAAAACTGGGATGGTACCTAATTTCTCAAGTTGACCCTGCCCTGAAACCCAGTTGGAGATAAAACAGTGGCGACTTGGATCTCCTGATGAGGAAAGCAAATGACAATAGCTATGTTGAAGAATTTCATTCCAGGACTCTGTCCCCATGACTGCCACATCTCCTTCCTTCTCAGTGGCATTCTCTATATGATGGACGCGTTCAGTCACAACACTCCCTTGCTCTGGAGGTAAGAGCATGGTTCTAGTGATTTCTCTGAACTACTGGGAGCCAAACTCTTTGTAGGGTAATGGGGCCTGGAATTCTCTTGTGTTATTCCTAATATCACCCTGTTTCCAGATTGACCAAGTTCCAGGGTGCAGGCTAGAACATCTGGGGCGTGCAGAAAAGACCTGTGCAGAACATCCAGCCTTTCTCACAGAAGCACCAGCTCAGTCCTCTTACGGTCATGTCACCTGCCACCTTCCCAGTGCAAAGTTACAGGTTATAGAGAGCTGACACAAATAACGAGTAAAAGGTTACTCTGTGTGTTGAAGAGTCATCTTTTTGTTTTCTTGCTTTTGTTTTTGTTTTTTTGAGACATAGTCTCGCTCTGTCACCCAGGCTGGAGTGCAGTGGCCGTAATCTTGGCTTACTGCAACTTCCACCTCCCGAGTTCAAGCAATTCTCCCGTCTCAGCTTCCTGAGTAGTTGGGACTACAGGCGCCCGCCACCACACCTGGCTAATTTTTGTATTTTTAGTAGAGACATTGTGGATGCCAGAGATAGAGAATAGAGAGAACCCTGTGGACTCGTGGGAGGCTCTCTGCCTGAATTAGACATAAGGGAAGTGCCAGATCACATTCTGGTGGAGAATCTATGCTCAGGGAAGGTCTGGTTTCTTAAAGCACTATCACAGGAGAGGGCCCCTAAAAGTTAGTGCCCCCAGTCAGATGTATCAGTCAGGAAAGAGCCCCAAGGATGGGTGGACAGTCAGTAACCTGCAGCTCCATCTGCCTTTCCCCAACCCAGGGCTTCCCACTTTCTCAGAACCCCAGTGTCTCATACCTGGCGGCCTCCTCCTTCACTTACGGAACTGTGGACTCTGGACTCTGATATATGTGGAACCTCCATGTCTTGGCACACTGGTACCCCAGCACCCCCAAATGTGCAGTGTCTGTGTGTACAGTGGGCACACCAGTATTGAGTCAGCTGTAGCACAGATCGGCATGGGGATGCTGTACTAAGAGTCCGACCCAGAAAATGAGTTAGAATTTTTCTCTTAAATTTTCCACTCCCTCCGCCCCTTACCCCCACCCTACCCCCTCATCATTTTATAAAACATATGTAGCCATCGCCTGTAAGATAGATTGGCCACGCACGGTGGCTCACACCTGTAATCCTAGCACTTTGGGTGGCTGAGGCAGCCTGATTGCTGGAGCCCAGGAGTTCGAGACCAGCCTGAGCAATGTGACGAAACCCAGTGTCTACAAAAATATATAAAAATTAGCTGAGTGTGGTGGCACACCTGTAGTTCCAGCTACTCAGGAGGCTGAGGTGGGAGGATCACTTGAGCCTGGGAGGTTGAGGCTGCAGTGAGCCAAGATCATGCCATTGCACTCAAGCCTGGGTGACAGAGTGAGACCCTGTCTCAGAAAAAAATAAATAAATAAAAAGTTATCTTAACTTCTCCCGGACACCCCATGTTTTACTAACAGGGTCTTCTCTGGAGCTACACAGGTAGCAAAGTCAGTGTTTGCTAATTGCAAAGCACAAATCATTTATCTCAGAAAAGAATGCTAAAGACATTGTGCTAGGTCACGTGTCCCCAATATGCACCTGCCCCAGTATGGCCTCATTCATGGTAGACAATTGAAACTCTCAGGAATTCCTCCCTGCCCAAAAGTAGCTAGCCCTCATGTCCGCTGCTATGCAGGAGGGAGGTATGTCCTGGTAGTCATCAAATGGTGTGCTTGAAACACAGTGGCCTGCTGGAAATGGTGGCTCACACCTGCCTGTAATCCCAGCACTTTGGGAGGCCAAGGCAGGAGGAGGACCCTCATCTCTATGAAAAACTCAAAAATTATCCAGGCACGGTGGTGTGCATGTCTAGTCCCAGCTACTTGGGAGCCTGAGGTGGGAGGATCCCTTGAGCCTTGGAATTCAAGGTGGCAGTGAGCTATGATCACACCACTGCACCCAGCCTCGGTGACAGAGTGAAATCCTGTTTCTAAAAAACCCAACAGGCCAGGTGCGGTGGCTCACACTTGTAATCCCAGCACTTTGGGAGGCCGAGGTGGGCAGATCACCTGAAGTCAGGAGTTCAAGACCAGCCTGGCCAAGATGGCAAAACCATGTCTCTACTAAAAATTCAAAAATTAGCCGGCCGTGGTGGTGGACATCTGTAATCCCAGCTACTTAGGGGGCTGAGGCAGGAGAATCGCTTGAACGGGGGCAGGTCGGGGCAGGGCGGCAACTCCCTCTTAAAAAAAAAAAAAAAAACCTACACCACACAAACAAAAACACAATGGCTCAAGGAGGAGCAGCTGGTCAGGGAACCTCATGGGATATACAGCTCCCAAAGAAAAAAGAAGTCACACAAAAAAGAATTCACTTCTTAAAATTCTGTAGAGATGAAGAACCCACTGAGACCACAGTCAGATTCTGAAAAAAGCAATGGCACATGCCATAGAGACCTCCAGAGATCAGGACAAGTTTGCAGTGGGGCAGTCATAAAAACATCTGTCCGGTTCCTGGAGCCAATGTTAAGACCATTCAGAGACATCTTGGCTGGGCAGGTTCCTTGGGCACGGCACAAGGGCATTGCAGCACCCAGGTCCATGGAGATCACAAAGGATTCTTCCAGCATGAGTGGGCACAGAAGATTCCCCAGGATGCAGGGAAGTGACAGTCTGTCTGTTCAGCTCACTTACTGAGTACATGTCCTGTGCCAGGTACCATCCAGTTACCAGGGTGCAATGGCTATAGCTGACCCTTGAGAAATTAGCAATTTAAGGTGGGGACAGACACATAGATGGCTAATTGTAATTCAGTATGGTGAGTACTCTTAACAGAGAATTGTTTTTTAAAATCCTACTGGCTCAAAAATCAGAAAAATATCATTTCTGCCCAAAGAGATGTCAGGGAAGAATATGGAGAGGAGGAAGACCTGGAAGGCTGAGTTAGGAAGGAAAGAATTATAACTAGATTTGAATGTGGTCAAAAATAGGACGTTTATTTCCAGGCCCCTTATGTGAGGTGTGGTTTGAGCAGGAGCTTGAGATTCCAGTGGCAGGGTCCCCTCAGGCTATTGGGAACATTTATTTTTCCTTGAAACATGAAGCCTCCTAGGAGGCCTGCGTGTGCTGTTTGGTGGATACGTGACCATGGAGCTTGGGAGGCCGCAGGTTTTTCTGCACCCAGCCTCACTGAGCTGTTTTCTCTGTCTGTTTCCCCAGCTCGGAGTCCAGTGTTTTCCCACTTATCATCTTCTCTCCAGGGGCTCTGGACCATCCGGGCATACAAAGCAGAAGAGAGGTGTCAGGAACTGTTTGATGCACACCAGGATTTACATTCAGGTCTGTCTATTTCTGGAAATGGTTTCAAAGGACAGGATCTGCTGCTTTTTCTGGCTTAACCTCCCTGGTCAGATGAGCTTGTTGGCAGGCACCTCAGGGCCCAGCCCCACATCCTGCTTTTTTTGCGCATCTTCGTCTCCTTCCCCATCCCCTTCTTCTGGGCTTGGACTCCTCTCGGAATCGCTGCTGCACGTTCCCTCTTTGTGCCCCCTGACTGGCTTGTGGGGTCTTTCTCTCACCATGCATGGCCTGTGGCTCTGTCAGCAAACGTTTTCTGCAAAAGGCCACCTAGTAAGTGTTTTAGGCATTGTGTGCCATTATTGTCTCTGTTGTGATGAATCACCTTTGCCATTGTAGCACAAAAGCAGATGTCAATACATTGGCAAATGGCTGTGACTATGTTTCAATAAAACTTTATTTACAAAAATAGGTGCTGGCTCACGTGCTGTAGTTTGCTGACCCCTTGCATCAGTGAAGATTTTTTCAATATGGAAATTTCAGAATTTCCACCAAATCTACAAAATTCAGATCCGTCATTCCAATCTTTATTTTATCTTGCTGATTAAATGGCACTTTAAAAACCACATGCTAAAAGGAAAAAAGAAGTAGCAAACAAACAAACAAAAAACCACATGCAAATCCTGTTAGTGAGGTCATTTTTATATAGCCCCTAAGCAATAGTCAGTGTGTGTGGGCCTTCTGGTAAGTATGGAAGGTGGGAGAAGTAAAATGGGAGCTGCACTCTGCTGTTGGAGAACTGGACCAGTCAACCATGTGTGTGGGTGGACTTCACATGAGATGCACTTCACATAAGTATTTCTCAGCACTGTACGAGATGTCCTTATGAGACTACTTTTCTCAGTTCTTTATTAGGATCATATTTCTGGGTTTCATATTCGCATGCATCCTCACAGAAAGCCACGGTACCATTGTGTATGTGTATCGTATATTGCCTGTATCACTTAGCTTTCTGGAATCTAAAGGTTCCTTGGGTGTGCAACTTTGGTGCCCTACTCCACGTAAAAATCTTCTGTAGCTCAACTGAGCAAAACACACTCGCACATTCATCTACTTATTCATCATGCTTATTACCGTTCTCAAATTCAGAGGCTTGGTTCTTGTTTTTGACAACGTCCCGCTGGTTTGCCGTCCGTCTGGATGCCATCTGTGCCATGTTTGTCATCATCGTTGCCTTTGGGTCCCTGATTCTGGCAAAAAGTAAGTACAGATGTGAATAACTATGTATGGTATGATTACAATTTATAGCTGTGTTTACATTTATTAAACTCTTGCCACCTTGTCTACTACTACATACTGTTTGGTCCTAATGAAGTGTATTAAATCATTTACGATGTGTCAGGTTGGGTAGGATTCAGCAGTGTGACTCATTTAAGGAGTCATTTGGGTCTTGATGGGTTTATCTTTCTTTGAATGGGTTGAGATATGCGCAGTTGAGATTCTGAACATTCCTGTTAGTGTCTGGTAGTTGTGAAGAGAAAACCAATTTATTCTGAAGCATTTTGTCCAACTTAGGGTGTTAGCCTTCCAACTACTTGAATCTATTGTTTGTAGTTGCCTGGTGCATGAGGTTGAGAAAAATTCTCAGCAGGAGAGTATTATCTTCAATGCCACATGGGTACCAGACAAGCAGGGCATGAGTTCACCACCCCAGTAACAACAGTGCATTACAATACTTAATAATGGAACAAGGAGAGTAGTATTTTAGTCTCAAAAGCATTGGCACTTACAACCTATTGCTTTGTTTTTAGTGGTTTCCAGCTGTGGTTGCATTGCACGTAGAAAGTGGAATAATGTAATGAGCTTTGAAACCATAATAATGAATGTCTGAATAATGACATTATTTCTTGCGTTTGTAATACTGTTAATTAAATCTATGTCGATCCTGTTGGAATTCATAAAATCATCTAAAAATTTTTCTAAATATACAGTGTTGTTTTCCCCATTGTATCTTGATCTCAAGCAACAAATGGTAAAAGTATAGCTATTAATGTCATTAAATGTGAATTGTTTCAACATTATGAAGGGTTCCTCTTGGTAAGTGGCAGAAGGAGCCAGGCTTAGGTTTGAAGTGAGACTGACTTTATTCCCTTCTTCCTCCTTACGTAGCTCTGGATGCCGGGCAGGTTGGTTTGGCACTGTCCTATGCCCTCACGCTCATGGGGATGTTTCAGTGGTGTGTTCGACAAAGTGCTGAAGTTGAGAATATGGTAATATTTACCTTCACGTTCTTTGCCTTTTCAATCTCCTTGCCATTAAATGGTATAAAAGCCATTCTTATGTGAAATATTAAAACTGTTATTTTTACATCTTTGGTAACAGATTTTTTTTAAGATCCTTCCTCCATCTGTTTAAAGTTAATGTAAAATAAAATATATACATCTTTTTCTGAGTCTTATGGTTGCTCTGTCAGCAGGTTTTATATTCATCACAAGCTTTTTCAGATGTAATAAATGTCTCTGTAGGAGGGAGGTTCTGAAATTCTAGAGAGGATATAAGCTAATTTCTTAGAAGCCTGTTTAATTTTGTTTCTTAACGGGTAATTCCTCATTCCTGTTAAAAGAAGACTTCAGTATTTTGAGGTTGTTTACATTTAATTAATAGGTCTCCTCCTCTCCCAGTTCTAGCGTTTACTCTCTTATGTGAAGAACAGAAGGGAGGAAGGCCTTAACTTTGCTGGTGTGCCTTCTTGGTACAGAAAGCCTCCTCTTGGAATGTGCTAGTCAAAGGGTATTAGTTTATGGTGGTATAGGAGGCTTTAATCAATGTTTTAAATATTTGCACCTTCCCCTAAAGAGAGAAAAGCAATAAACATAAAAATCTTTTCATTCTTCTCATAGAGCAAAAGTTGAGTAATTATTACAGTGAGGTTTCACGATCATCCAGTTTAACTGACCTATATCAGGTGATCCTTCTATAGCAAAAGATTCTTTTTTGGGGGGTAGGGGTGAGGGGACAGAGTTTTGCTCTTGTACCCCAGGCTGGAGTGCAATAGTGCGATCTTGGCTCACTGCAACCTCCGCCTCCCGGGTTCAAGCGATTTTCCTGCCTCAGCCTCCTGAGTAGCTGGGATTACAGGCATGCAGCACCACGCCCAGCTAATTTTTGTATTTTT
The DNA here is from genome assembly GCF_000001405.40 of Homo sapiens. Classification (NCBI taxonomy): domain Eukaryota; kingdom Metazoa; phylum Chordata; class Mammalia; order Primates; family Hominidae; genus Homo; species Homo sapiens. The sequence goes on along the minus strand of NC_000013.11, from coordinate 95,072,298 downwards.
AGTAGAAATGGGGTTTCACCATGTTGACCAGGCTGGTGTCAAACACCTGACCTTAGGTGATCCACCTGCCCCGGCCTCCCAAAGTGCTGGGATTATAGGCATGAGCCACCGCGCCCAGCCAGCAAAAGATTCTTGATTGGTGGCTCTAAGTATTCCTTTCCTTTACAAAATTTTCTTGCCTTTAATACAGGTGTGAGAAGTGGATAAATAAAATCTAAGCATTCATTTCTCTCATTCTTTTAACCTAATGTTGAAGGAAGTGGTTGTAAGTGAAGGTGTTACACAATGATGAACCAAATTTGTAAGTCATCAACATCCTCGTCTGTCTCCTGCTTCTCTCCTTAACCAACTATGTATGAAAGAAGAACATTTCATTGACAGTCTCTTAACATCCATAAATGACACCCTCCATTCCTAACCCCTCGGGATGTCATATTTCTTTCAGATGATCTCAGTAGAAAGGGTCATTGAATACACAGACCTTGAAAAAGAAGCACCTTGGGAATATCAGAAACGCCCACCACCAGCCTGGCCCCATGAAGGAGTGATAATCTTTGACAATGTGAACTTCATGTACAGTCCAGGTGGGCCTCTGGTACTGAAGCATCTGACAGCACTCATTAAATCACAAGAAAAGGTTTGTTTAAAGCATCTTGCCTCTTCTCAATTTCAGAAGATTTAGTGCTATGTCTGCTTGTTGTCTTCCTTGTGGATGTGTGAAGGGGATCAGTGATACGTAGGTTAACCTGTCTTGGAAACTAACCATGGAATGTGGATACCAACATTCTTCCTGCTGTGAACTGCTTTACTGTGGTTGGTGGGCCCCGGGCCTCAGGGCTGGAGCTTAACGTGACCCAGGATACTCTGTTTGATACCTAATTACTCATGGATTTTTCCAGGAAGTCAACTCTGGCTTTGTGTCACCAACACTCCTATGTCTAATTCTGTCGATTTTTACTTTGTTGCATTTCTCAAGTCCTTCTCTTCCCCTCCACTGCTGCAGCTTCTGTTCCAGCCTTTCTCCTCCTCCATCCTTTGGTCCTGTATTAGTCTGTTTTCACACTGCTGATAAAGGTATACCCAAGACTAGGCAATTTACAGAAGAAAGAGAGGTTTAATGGACTTAAAGTTCCACATGGATGGGGAGGCCTCAGACTCATGATGGCAGGCAAGGAGGAGCAAGTCACATCTTATATGGATGGCAGCAGGCAAAGAGAGTTTGTGCAGGGAAACTTCCCCTTATAAAACCATCAGATCTCATGATACTTATTCACTATCATGAGAACACCACAGGAAAGACCTGCCCCCATGATTCAATTACCTCCCACCGGGTCCCTCCCACAACATGTGGGAATTTAAGATGAGATTTGGGTGGGGACACAGCCAAACATTATCAGGCCCTTTCCTTAGTCTTTCTTGCCTTCCTTTAACCTGTGCTTTGCTTTCCCTCCCCATCCCTTTCACTGCAAACTCTTTCTTTCTGAAACAGTTTGATCACAGATCTGATCCTTACGTGGCCAGCTCCTTGCCTGGGTGAGCAGCTGCTGCAACCTTAATGAGCCCCAGGCCCACCCTGACAGGACCTGTCTGGCTCTCAGCCCCCAAGGGAAGACCCAGATCCCATGACCCCATCAGTGCTCAGAAATCAGACCCCCAAGCTGGAGGCAGTAAAGGCACCAGAGACTCACTCAAAGTCAGTGAAAGGAAAACAAGGAGGGACTTGGGAGGCTGTGTGGAGTTTTGTGAGCTGGTTTTGCAGGTATCTAAGTCTGCCAGCAATGTCCCTTTCACATGTGTCCTGGGGCCCTTGGCTAGGACTAGGACAGCCTCTTGAAGGAACTAAACCAGAACAAACAAGACAGTAGAATCTCTTCCCCTTCCCACCCCTCTCCTCACAACTCCCAATATGGACACACATCCCCTGCACTCAGGGTGCCCTCCTTCTCCCCAAGCACCTGTCTGCCTTGCTCTTAGTGTGCACCCTTTTCAGTCAGTTCAAGCATCTCTGCCTCTTTGAAACTATATTCTCCACATCATCTTATAGATTCTTTTTTCGAGACAGAGTCTTGCTCTGTCGCCCAGGCTGGAGTGCAATGTCACATTCCCGGCACACTGCAACCTCCACCTCCCAGGTTCAAGCGATTTTCCTGCTTCAACCTCCCCCGTAGCTGGGATTATAGGTGTGCACCACCATACCCAACTCATTTTTGAATTTTTAGTAGAGACCAGGTTTTGCCATGTTGGCCATGGCTGGTCTCGAACTCCTGAGCTAAAGTGATCCGCCCACCTTAACCTCCCAAATCATGCCTGGGATTACAGGCATGAGCCACCATGCCTGGCCAGATTCTTTAATGTAACATCTGTGGCCCACCCGTGTTCATAACAGCATTATTTGCAGTGAGCAGTAGGTGGAAGCAGCCCAAGTGTCCATTGACTGAGGAATGGAAAAACAAAATGTGATACGCACGCATAATGGAATATTATCCAGACTTAAAAAGAAGGTGATTCTGACACATGCTGACATGTGTGATTCTGACATGGATGAGCCCTGAGGACATTATGCTGAGTGAATTAGGCCAGACACCTAAGGACGGTGCTATAAGGTTCCACTTACATGTGGGTACCTGGAGTAGTTAGTCATGGAGACAGAAAGTAGGATGGTGGGCGGCAGGGGTAGGGGAATGGGCATTAGTGTTTAATGGGTACAGAGTTTCAGTTTTACAAGATAAATGGAGTTTTAGAGATGGATGATGGTGACGGTTGCCCAACAACATGAATGTATTTAATATAATTGAACTGAACATTTTCAAGTGATTACAATGATCAATTTTATGTTACTTTACCACAATTTGAAAAGTACATAAAGTACCTTTTGTGTATTTTACCACAATTTTTTTTTAAAGAAGATAGCACGATGGCATGATTTATAATTCTGGGTCAGCATCTCACAGTACCCTGAGCCTCTTAAAGTCAGGGAGCATTTTATATTCGTCTCTGTACCCCCAGAAAATGGCATGCTGCAGGGCACATGGTGGGTGCCTGTGAGAGTGAGGGATATGCACATACAAAGAAATCGGTAACAAAACACACACGACAGCTCCCGCAACAGCCCGTTCTCTGGGTGTCAGTGTTAGATACTTTCGGAACTGCTCTTTTCAGCTCTTCCCACCACAGACCCATTTAATGGGCTATAGTCACAATTGAATGAATGATACCCTTGTGCCATGAAAAATAAATATACAGCTTCATGCCCAGAAGATACCCAGGGAACCAGCAAAAGCTGATTCCTCATTATCTACCCAGCATCCTTGTGAGTGTGAAGAAGGTGGAGACCACTCTGCAGGCAGCATCAGCTGTAGCTCTTGCTGAAAGCAAGGTTTCTCAGATTCTGTTCCTGATGGGGCCAGGGGGATGTTTGCTTACTCTCAGACAATGTGTTATTAGGTCCTACCTGATCAACATCATTCTGTTAGTTTGGCCACGTTGTAAATTTCTCTTGTAGCCATAAAATATGAATTATCTACAAACCTCTGTTGTACACATTAGAAAACAACCTATATCCCCACATTGATATCGTTCCATCTTAAAACCCCCCCAAATCATAGGATTACCTGAGATCTGAAATGTGGGAGGGTAAATTGAATTTGAAGACTGAATTATAGCTACAACCACTTGGCTTTTGAGACAGAGTCTCGCTGTGTCATCTAGGCTGGAGTGCAGTGGCGCAATCTTGGCTCATTCTGCCTCTCAGGTTCAAGCGATTCTCCTGCCTCAGCCTCCCGAGTAGCTGCAATTACAGGCACCCGCTGCCATGCCTGGCTAATTTTTGTATATTTAGTGGATCCGGGGTTTCACCATGTTGGTCAGGCTGGTCTTGAACCCCGACCTCAAGCAATCCACCTGCCTCGACCTCCCAAAGTGCTGGGATTACAGGCATGAGCCACTGCGCTGAGCCCCACTTGGCTTTTGATTTGTGTCCTGGTTCACTCACAGTGTCACCTTTAGCTTCATTTGTGTATTCAGGCAACATCGTGGTGAGTTGGTTCCACTTTTTGTGTGTATATTCAGGGTTCGTCTCCTCCACACCTGCCTGCAGCCCCAGGATCTCAGGCAGTCCCTTTGCTGTTGGAGCTGATGGAGAGGGGCATTGTTTCCAGTGGAGATGTAGGAATGTGTCCACACAGCAGAAACAGGGCTTCATTCTCTTTCAATTGCTTCATCTGCTCAGATTTCCTGGACATTATAACAAATAGGAAAAAGTAATAGGCGCTAAGTAGGTTTCTAATTCACAGAAGAAATAGCAAGTAAAAAAGAATGAACCAAAATGAGGTATATACCACCCTAGCCTTCCTGGTTAGATTCCAAACACTGGCTGCATTTTTCATTTAGATGGTTTTGTGGTTGATTTAATCATTTTAGAGAGTACTGGGCCATTTTAAAGCATTTTTCAGCTCTAGAGGTAGATTGATTTTGGTTTGTTATTTTTTTTTCCTTGCTCAAAGCTATTACTTGGATAATACCTTTTTACAGATGTGTACTAGACCTTGCTATAGTGTGCAAAAATATTAGTTTCTTATATTCTCTCCTTTTTTACATTAATGTTTGCTGAGAAACCCCTCCTCTCACAGCCAGATTGTCCCACTTGCCCTGCCTGCTTGCTCATCTCAGGGGCTGGGATCAGCATCACCTGCCTCTGCTTGGAAACATGTTAGAAATGCAGACTGTCAGGCCCACCCCACCCTTTTGATTAAAATTGCACTGGGACAAGAACCACCCCCACTCCTGCCCCTGCATTAAAGCCGTTGCTCTCCGGTAAGCAATTTTGGATGACTAATAATCTGTGATTTCCAAGAAACTTCCTTTGACAACTTGAAGTGGAGCTCGTGGATTGCCCCAGCCCCTCTTGTGACTAAACATGAGACTCTGGATAGTCCTGGGCCAAGTGCCACCCTACAGGTTTTTTGTTTTTTTACTTTTATATTCTGCAAATTATGAATTTACATTACAATTTAATTCTGTGTGATTCCCCATTTATGCATTCATTTGCACCTTTCCGGTCATCTCTGTCTTCTATCACAGTTTTCATCCCACCATACAGCCTTCCATGAATAGCAGTCTCTGTCCTCATACCAGCTCAGCACAGCGATGTATTTGAGTTCCGTTCACTACTGATGGGATCAAAATGGGTCTCACTGCCCCACAGTACACTAGGTCTGTCTGGCCTGTTTCCCAGTTGCCCCATGTCCAACGTAGCTGCAGGCTTCTCTCCCAGCCTCTTCTGTGGGTGCCAGTTCTTCCTGTCAACAGCTGTAATCCACCCTAATACAGGTACTGTCTTGGCTCACAGTAGTCAGCTTCTTGTCCTAGCCACCTTCTTATACTCACGCATGTCCACAGCATGCATTAAATGTATGACAATAGGACCAGTATGGCAGGCCAGTGCCTTTAAAGACAACCACACTTCTCCCCGCTGTCTCCCTTCTAGCTACACCAAGGGAATACAGAGCCAGGCTATCCAAGTGATTGGGAGGCCATCGGCAGAATGGGCAAGAGGCAGGCAGACTTGGGTTTCCGTCCCATTCCATCACTTAGGGGCTCAGTCATTTCAACAGTTTAATCAATCTTACTAAGCCTCGATTTTTCTCTTTTGCAAAATGCAAGTGATAGGGCCTAGCCATTAGAGTTTTATAACTTAAACAAGATAAGAGGTGTAAAACACCTAGCTTATTGTATACCTGAACAATATGGCAATAGATTTCCCATAAATGTTTCAAGCCTGAGTTAAATGCTTAACTCTCTGGGGGATTTCTGGTTTTTTTTGCAGGACACCACAGGTGATACAAATAATACAAAGCTAATTCCAATATAGGCCCTGCCCACAGCACCTGTCGCCTAGTAGAAGAAACAAAGTAGTATATAAATGCCTGCTCCGTAAGATAGAAGGAATTCGCAGATTTTATGGCTGTTTAGAAAAGATGTTACGACAGCCATTAAGTGTGGGAGAAATCCACACGAGGGGACAAGTGGAGGATTTTAAGGCAATTACACATTTGAAACAGACTTTAGAAGGTGGTTAGGATTTCAGCAGGTCGAAATGCATGTGAAAGGCACGATGGCATATGCCAAGGCTCGATGCCGTGATTTGATATGAAGAATTAGGCATCTCTGAGCATACAAGGGCATGAACTACCAGGTGAATAACACACATGTGCACACTTAGTCCTCACAGCCACCCCGCAAACTCAATCCTGCTCATGGAGCTAAGGATGGAAAGGTTAGTTGGGACTGTTTTGTAGAGGAGGTTTCCCAGTGTGGAGTGCCAGGCAGAGAGCTGTACTTCGGAAGTTTAATCTGAGAAATGAGTGCACGGGGAAGACGCTGAAGGCCTGAAGCCAATTGATTTTATGTACTGCTGGCAAGATGTGATGGGGCAAGTGATTCCACTTTGTAGAATCAAACTAATGTTGATTAAAACAAAGTTATAATACCCTGGTTAGTGAATTTGCAGGGATACAGGTGGGAGTAGAAATTGGTATCATATTTCTGGAGGGTAGTTTGGCATCACTTAACAGCCTCCTTTGAAAATGTTCATACCTGTTCCTCAGCAATTCCACATCTAAGAATTTATTTTAAGAAACCAATTAAGATTGCTTGCAAAGATGTAGCTTCAAGGATATTTAACATGGTATTATTTACAATAGCAAAATATTGGAGCCTAAACATCCACAAATAGGGGATTTGTTGAATAAATAATCATATATACTGTAATATTATGTAGCTACTGAAGTAAATACTTTTATTAAATAATAGATTATAATATTCTGTGCATATTCTCATTTTGCCTAAATATATGAGATTATATCTTTAGGAACACAGATAACTCACACTCAAGTTCAGAAAGAAAAGGTATTAACATGTGACAAGGATTCTGTCAGATTGCTGGGGTTGTGGCCAGCATTTATTTATTTTTCGAATTCACTTGCACTGATTATAACTAGCAAAAGAGTTTTTGTTTTTCAAATGTTAATGCAGCCTTGCACTGAGGTAATGGCTGCAGAAATTAAAGTGAGGGTATTGAGTCAAGAAACAGAACAAGTAATATTTTTAGTGCTTGGAGTTGAGAAAACCTGGGAGATGGGTGTTTTGAGCCTGTGAACTTGGGGAAGAATTTATTAGATTAAAATGGAGGAGTTAGAAGCAGCAGCTGTTTGGAGGGGGGCTGTTGGGTATTAATCATGTTGAGTTTCATATATGAAGAGAGATCCAAGTACAAATGTCTAATGTTTGGCCAAAGAGACCACTCTTGGCCCAGTTGGGGAAACAAAAAGGGTCAATTGTAAAGCAATTAAAATAAAACTAAGTGTCTCTTTCGTGTTATGAATGTAAACTTACTGATATTAGTGATATTCTCCAGAGGATTTGGTGAAACCCATTGGTGACTTATGAAAGACTTGGAGACTGTAATTTTGATGACTTTGAAGAGAACTAACCAGAGCCAGGTTTTCTTTGGTTGCCTTTTGCTGATTATATCCTCACCTGAGTTTGGAGTGCCTAGTCTTATGGTTGTAGGCAGCCCTCAGTGTTCCCTACCTTTGAGGGGGTCCATCCTGGCCATCTACTAATAATGGCCTACAAATGTCCAGGTTTGCACAGATGGATCAGTTTCCCATAGAGCTGATAACATGAGTGTCCACACATTCTCAAAAACACAGCATTTGTCTATGTCTAGATACGTGCTGATTTACTGAGAAACACACATAAGCCCCACACACACACACACACACATACACACATACACGTGTGTGTGTGTGTATGTGTGTGAGAGAGACAAAATATAGTCAGGTATTTAATATTTGGAAGTTTCTCTACCAAAGAATGTGTCATCTTAAATGATAGAAGTCTGGAAAAATGAATACCTGTTTATGTCACTTGTGACACCTCTGTCTTGAATTAATATCCCTGTGAAATTATCTCAGAAATTCAATTGGTGTGTGTGTGTGTATATATATATATATATATATATATATATATATATATACACACACACACACACCCGGATGTACCTATGTGCAGAAAATGGCCCACCTATAAAGTATAAACTAGGATTTACCATAAGGTAGAATATGACTCCAAAGTTAATAAAATTAGCTAAAGCCACTTTTTAAACATTTACATTTTTATATTTTGTACATGTATCTCTTTAAAGATAAAATTCCTTGTGGAAATGCCATTATTGACTTTACAGATATGGAGGTGTTCAAATGAGGTAATATGTCACATTTCCAACACATACCCAGTGCCCAGTAAAGTTTTGCAGTGAGTTTTAAAATTTATTAAATAATGGACAAATGATTGAAGGCATGTTTTATGTCCTTCGTTGACTCCAGATTTCTAAATAAGGAGGATGTCATTTCTTGGGAAGTTCCCACCAGGAAATTTGCAGTTGTGCAAGGTCATTGGTGCAGAGGCCAGTTTCTGCATACAGATTTATATGCACACATGTGAAAGCCAGTTTTTACAATATAGACGTATTGCCCCCACCTTTTTACCAGCATTTTATTGATTCTTTGATCGTATTGGCAGTGCACTTCATTTCTCTCTGTCTTGGCTTTAATAGAGGAGTGATACTTGACACAAATGTTTCTCAAGGGGCAATTGTAAGTATTAATTAGTTTGCAGCATGCCTTTTGAACTGTGCAGATGAAAGGCCTTACGTAAATAGCAAATGTTACTTGCGTTGTTGTTGATCTCATTATGTGTTTTTTGGCTACTGGTTACTACTGTCTTTTAAGACATTGCAATCTTCACTTCAGAATTTTGAAACATTTTGAGACAAAATATAGGCAGATATTTAATATTTGGAAGTTTCTCTACCAAAGAATATGTTATCTTAAATAATAGAACTCTAGAAAAATGAATACTCGTTTATGTCACTTCTGACACCTCTGTCTTGAATTAATATCCCTGTGAAATTATCTCAGAAATTCAGATTACTCAGATCCTGCAAGCAAAGCTAATTTAAAAGTTGCCTTTTCATGGGCCACTTAGGAGACTGTTGACTTTTCAATGCCAGTAAACAGATTCTGTTATTTTCAACTCTTTTTTAGAACAGTGGATCTCAACCAGGGGCAGTTTTGCCCCAGAGGACGTTTGTCAGTGACATTTTTGGTGGTATCATTTTGGGAGTGTGCTCCTGGTATCTATGCAGTAGGGTCCAGGGATGCTAGCGAACCTCCCACAATGCCTGGGGCAGCTTCCAAAATGAAGAAGTATCCAGCTCAGAAGGTCATCAGTGCTGAGGTTGGGAAACTCTTAGACTACACTCAATATAGAATGTCCTTAATTCTTCTTCAAAAACCGAAAGTTTTCTCCTAGTTTTGCTGCATCCTGTGATTTTTTTCTTTTTTTTTTTAATCCTGCCGCCTGGATCTCTCTGTAGGTTGGCATTGTGGGAAGAACCGGAGCTGGAAAAAGTTCCCTCATCTCAGCCCTTTTTAGATTGTCAGAACCCGAAGGTAAAATTTGGATTGATAAGATCTTGACAACTGAAATTGGACTTCACGATTTAAGGAAGAAGATGTCAATCATACCTCAGGTATGCAAGTCATAGCGTCCTTACCTGCCCCTTTTATAAGAGCTACTATGTTTAATTGCTTTTACTCTTATTGCTTTTTTTAATTGGATGAAAGGATTGTTTTTTTTTTCACCCAATAGAGCATGTTTTTATGAGCAGATATTTTCAACAGGTATTTTCATCAGATATCCAGCTTTGTTCATTTCTCTCTCTCTCTGTGTGTGTGTGTGTGTGTGTGATATTTAATAACTTACGCAGATAGATTTCTGTACTAAGATGCCACAGTTTTATCCACTGATAACCATAAAGAACAAAATGATGCATTGTTTGTTTAGCACTGGGGAGGTTTCTATGGGGAGATGTGGATTTTAAGTGTCTTAATGTTGGAATTTTGCTGTAGGAACTAAAGCTACCTTCTCAAAGGTGATTACCTCCATGAAGGGCTTTCTGTGAAACTGTGGGCTGTGAGAGTTAAAAAACTTATAGTTGGCTTTGTGGTGACTTTTAGAATCTAGCTCTTGGTGAATGATTTTAACCAGGAGGTTGTTAAAGAATAGCAAGGAAGAACATGAGAGACGGAATTCCATCTCTCTGCACTTCTGCTTCATCTTCCTTACGATCACCATTGTGAGAGTGTGTGGTGTATTTCACACAGACCCAGTGAGTGTTTGCTCTGATGGTGGAGGGTTAAATTGGCCATCCTTTCCCGGACTCTGATTCTATTTTCTTTTCTTCTCCTTTGCAGAAGTGACTCTCAAGGAGTGTTCTAGAGATTGGATTATTTGTACAATAAGAGCTCCTGTCATTGCTTTGGTTCATATTTAACATAAATTCAGAAAGTATTCATTGAGTAATTACTATTCTCCAGGTGTATAGTCATGAGCAACATAGACCTTGTCCCCACCGGCATGGGGTCTGCAGCTGTGGGGCCTCATGGCTTCCATCGGACCTCACAGTTCCATCCTGTCCTTCACTTTAACACCTCCACATATTCAACTCCAGACATGGCTGGGTTTTTTGTTTGTTTTCTTTTAATGTGGGTTTTTTTTTTTTTTAACACTCTATAGTCATTGAGGGGAGCTGAGGAACACACACACACACACACACACACACACACACACACACACACAAACACATATTCTGGAGAAGAGAAACACAGAGAGGAGACAAGAGCAAAACCCAGGCAGTAATGAGCTTTCTGGGCATGTGGATATAAACAACTCTTCAATGCCTGTTTAGTAGGAAGCATAGAGAACGTGCCACCGGAAGGGAAGGAGAATGTGATTTTTATCTTAGACCAAGTACAGTTATGGCTATCCTAGCACTGACCTCTAAAACAATTGGAATCACGCTTAAGTAATTTGGAGGATGTGAAGAAATTGGAACCCTGTGCACTGTTGGTGGGAATGTAAAATGGTGCAGCCACTTTGGAAAACACTGTAGAGATTCCTCAAAAAATGAGAGCTAATGTGATCCAGCAGTTCCACTTCCAGAAAGAATTAAAAGCAGGATCTCAGAGTTTTGTACATCCATGATCATCACAGTACCCAAAAGGTGGAAATAGCTCGTGTCCATCGCCAGATGAGCAGATGAATAAAACGTGGTCTATCCATACAATGGGAAATTATTCAGCTTTAAAATGGAAGGAAATCCTGACAGTCTATAATGCAGATATACCCTAAAGACATTATGCTAAGTGAAATAAGCCAGTCACAAAAGGACAGACACTAGATGGTTCCCCTAATATGAGATACCTAGACTAGTCAAATTCACAGAGACACAAAGGAGAAGCGTCGTCACCAGGGGCTGAGGGAAGGTGGGGGGTTGGGAGTTACATTATTTCACATAGGACTTCAGTTTTGTCAGATGAAAAGCGTCTTGTGAATGGATGGTGGTGATGGCTGCAAAACAGTGTGAATGTCCTTAAGACCACTGAAATGTTGACTTTGAAATGGCAAAAGCAGTAAATTTTATGCTATGTGTATTGTACCACAATTTTTATTTTTAGTTTAAAGAAAAAAAAGTATCCCTTTCAGGATAAAATGGGAAGAAATGTTTAGCACGTTAGATTCCCTCTGGCTATTAGAAGCATGACTTAGTGCTTACAGTAGAAAATGAGAGTATAAATTCTCAAGTTTTATATTTTGGTTATGCCCATCTCAAAAATGGGCCAAATGAGGTTTACTTAGCAGAGATAATGGGCATGTCTGTAAAGTGCTTTTATATCCTTGGATGAAAGGTTCTAGGAACGTGCCCTGCATTACTTTGAATGAATTCTTAATAAGAAATAGTTGTGTGCTTGTGTACATAAAAGAACTCTAAATAAAGAAGTAACATTAGATGATTCTTGGCTCTGCCAGTAATGTTTTGGAAGCACATCTGAGCAAAGACTAAATATACCTTGACATCACCAGGTTTTGGTTCAGTTCCATAAGTTTCCACCCTACTTTTGAGCAAATGCTCTATGTATGTAGTCCAGGGAGCATGCTTACAAAACACTGCTAAGCTTTGTATCCATGTAGATCCTGATCTCCAAGCATTGTAAACAGAGAGACTTTCCTTTTTAACTTTGTATGGCTTTGTCTCCAAGGCTCAATGTTGGTTGAAAAAAAGAAACATAGTCTAGAGGGACTGTGCAATACTTAATGCGACCCAGGAAATCATTCAGCAGACTGCCTGGGATAGAATCTTTCAGAGCATCTTCTAAGCGTCAACACGACCCACATTTTTATTCCAGCACTGCCTGATAGAAGTGTGACCTCAATGAAGTCACTTAGCCTCCAAGCTTCAGTTTCCTCATCCTTAAACCAAACCTAGTAATTACTAACTTACAGATTTGTTGTGAAGATTTTACTAGATGAGAACATGTTTGTGGCCCTACTCTGGGTTCTGAGGAATGCTCAATAGTAACTATTTCTAATTAAGGATTGGGGTGCAGGCCTTTAGGGCATTATTGCTACTCGCTATTCTAGAAGGACTTGGCTCATTAACTTCTGTTTCTATTTTTGTGATCCTTGGTGAATTCCTTTAACCAAATTGTTTATGTAAATTTAAATAGTGAAGCAGCAACAAACAAAAAAAAATGTGCACAATAAAAGCCTAAGAGAGAAATCTAATGTTTTTCTCACAAGGAACAAAAGGTGAGGCTATCACTTTGTTTTCTGGCTTTCCCCCACCCCGGTCTTAGCGGCATTCCTCACCACTCTCAGTACCCCTCTAATGCTTTGCATTTCGCGAGCAGGCAGCCGACACTGGTTCTCAGCCCTGCGTGAGAACAGGGGCTTGTCCCTCTTAGATCCAGTGCTTTAGTGATTGTTGCGTCCCAGACAAGTTACACAAGTAGTGAGAATTCCTAACATTTGCAGAATCCTTAACATGGTTATCTTCTTTCCTTGCCATCTCCCACTTCGTCCTCACAGCAATTCTGTGTCATCCTCATTTGACACATTTTCAAACTGAGGCACAGAGAGCTTAACCCACTTAACAAGTAAACAGCAGAGTCAGGATTCAAATGGAATTTACGGCGAATCTCAATGCCAGATCCTGAGTTCCTGAACCCTCTCCTAGGGACTTTAAACCCATGTTGGCTGGCGCAGTCCCCGATCAGAACTCTGCTTTGCAACATGATTTAGTGTGGGCTTGTGCAGGTGCGCACACACGCACAGAAACAAAAGTCTCACAACACGATATTACTCCATGCTTCTGCGCCCTGATATTTTCTATTATATCCATTCTATTCTGGTTCATATAAAAGACATAAGGATGGTCATGAGTCACAAAAGTGATTTCATGATCCATTGGTTGCACCTGCCATTTGAAGAACAGCGTGCCTCACTGTGCTGCCCTGCTTGGCCGGGCTCCTGCTGCCTGGCAGCACCGTGCAAGGAGCCTTATGACACAGTGATTGTCACTGCAGCCCTGCAGGGTGTGTCAAGTTAGCCCCATTCTCCAGGAAGGAAACTAAGGCTCAGGGAGATTAATAACTTACCTGGAGATGAACAGCTAATAAGTAGTAGAATCAGAACTCAGAACTATCCAGCTCAATTTTTTTTCAGTAAGTATTTGTTGGACAGCATGATATCTCATCAGACATTTTACTCATTGTTTTTCTTTTCTTTTTCTTTTTCTTTTCTTTTTTTTTTTTTTTTTTTTTTTTTGAGATGGAGTCTTGCTCTGTTGCCAGGCTGGACTGCAGTGACGCCATCTCAGCTCACTGCAATATCTGCCTCCTGGGTTCAAGCGATTCTCCTGCCTCTGCCTCCCGAGTAGCTGGGATTACAGGTGCGTGCCACCACACCCAGCTAATCTTTGTATTTTTAGTAGAGACAGAGTTTCACCATGTTGGCCAGGATGGTCTCGATCTCCTGACCTTGTGATCCGCCTGCCTCAGCCTCCCAAAGTACTGTTTGTTTTTCTGTCTACCCAACTTACAAAAGGTTCCCAGAAGCCATAACCAAAGAGAGCAAATATACAGCAAAGTCAAAAGGTATCTTTTCTTTGAACTTTATCTGTCATTTGGACAGTTAGGTCATTTTGAAAGACTGAATCATTTGTGATTTATTTTTATTTTTATTTTTATTTTTTCCAAAACCTTAAGTGACACTAAGCACTAAAAGAAAATCATTTTGGAAACAGAGTGTATTCACTTATGTGTCGTGGGCTAGTGAGCGTCAGAAGATCCTCCAAGCCTTACCTTGTGGGAGCTCAGAGCCCTTTTTCTTCCGAGGCCTCGCTGGCTGCAGAGGGTGGAGAAGGCTGGAGACTTGAGGTTGCATGAAGGTTACTGGTCTGCAGTGCAGAAAGCATACACCCCTCTTCCTCAGAAGTGAGTGGAAAGCCAAATGGCTTGTGTCACCACACACTGATGTAGGGAATCTAGGAAGTTTGGGAGCAAACACAGCAAAAGCAGAACCAAGTGCTGTTTCTTCGAATGGCCATGTTTGGGCAAGTCTAGCCTGCATGGCTTCCTGGGGTTGTGTGGAGCACGAGTTTCTGTGTTCTCTCTCTTCCTGGCTTATCCCTTTCATTTATGGTTCAGGGTCCTCTGTCACTCTTGACCACACCATTAGCAACTCAAATTCGTGGTTAGGATTAAGCAGCAAGGACCTGGGAAAGAACTGGGGCACAGAAATGATGACATACATAGTCAGGGGCCAGTCCTGGAGTCACTTTAAGAAACAAATACTGGGCCGGGCACGGTGGCTCACGCCTGTAATCCCAGCACTTTGGGAGGCCAAGGAGGGTGGATCACGAGGTCAAGAGATCAAGACCATTATGGCCAACATGGTAAAACCCCGTCTCTACTAAAAATACAAAAATTAGCCGGACGTGGTGGTGCGCATCTGTAGTCCCAGCTGCTCGGGAGGCCGAAGCAGGAGAATTGCTTGAACCCCAGAGGCAGAGGTTGCCATGAGCTGAGATTGTGCCACTGCACTCCAGCCTGGCGACAGAGGGAGACTCTGTCTCAAAAAAAAAAAATACTGAATTCTTAAGAAAGTACCCCTCAATTTGTATTCAAAATTTCAGGAAGAAGCGAACAGTGAAAGTACTTCCTAAATAATTTCCCTAAACAGAATAGTTAGCTGAAATGTATGCTTCTTTTGTGTTCATGACACAGGGTAGTTAAGTGCACTTCCCAAGGAGAACACCAAGGTGATACTATAACTCAGACAAGAGTTTGCTTAACTGAAGGATCTGGAAAAATGGATTTCAAAACTTTTTTTAGGATGGATTATTTACTCCTCCAATCCTACTGGCACAAATAAATGTTTTCAACTAAAGAGTAACTTCATGCAAATTCAACATTTATGATAGCACCCTAACGGTTGGCATACATCAACAGCTATAATCTTTGTTAGGATTAAACAGATTCATTTTTCATATTTGATGGACTTTTTTGTTTTTCTATCAAAGCAAAAGCTAAGTAGTTTTTAAGCAGCCCACTGCTCAGACTTCTGCTATCTTGGTATTTCTACTCCCTGAATTTTCTTCAGTAAGTTGAAAAGGTTAACCAGAGTGTGTCTCTTTAAGACTTCTTTTTTTATTACCTGATTTTCTTTCCTTTTTTTTTTTTTTTCTTCTTTTTGAGAACAAAATTCAAAGGGAAAAGAGGTAGGTATGCAGTTACTAGTAAAGAAATACAATTGGATTCTGGCCTAATGCAGTCAGTCCTTTGTTTCTGCACACTGAAGTCTTCATTAAGGCCATGGAACTGCTCCCTGGAGCTGGTGACCTTTTTGTATCTAAAGAAGACTTTACACGACTTAAATTCTTTTTCCTTTGTTGGTGAACAATGTTCTTTTCTTCTGAAAATGGATGATGATCAGTTCATTCAGAGGCTACAGGGTTTTTTTAAAAAAGAAGGGAAACCAAGATTTAAAGTGACTTCAGGTGATTCCCTGATTCTTGACACAGGGAGATGAGCTGCCCTGAATCAAGGTCTTCAGGATTTGAAATGCACACATAGCTCTGAGGACATCAGGCAGCAGCAGTTGTGGCTAGCTACTGTGCAGTGTATATTTTAAGAGAGCGAAGTTTCCTGGTTTGGGACAAGATTAGGGTAAAGTATTGTGCTTTGTCCTGCTGGTTTGTAACTCCCCATGCGATTTTTGTCTTGGTCCCAGGTCGTTTTAAGTGTCTGAAGGTTGGTGGATAGAGTTTCTTCTTGAGATAATGAGAGGCTTGTCTTCCAGAAGTTTATATGAAAGCTCTAGGAAGACTGTAATTTTCAGTCTTGCAGTCCTGCTGAGGGATTATCAATTTACTGCACTAAATGCTTTGATTCAGAGCGGCCATTTTTAGGTCACGTGGTGGGTTTTTTTTTTGCTGTTGTTGCTGTTGTTTTGAGACAGTCTTGCTCTGTCTCCCAGGCTGCAGTGCAGTGGTGCTATCTTGGCTCACTTCAACCTCCACCTCCTGGGTTCAAGTGATTCTCCTGTCTCAGCCTCCCGAGTAGCTGGAATTACAGGCGCACCCCACCCTGCCTGGCTACTTTTTGTATTTTTAGTAGAGATGGGATTTCACCATGTTGGCCAGGCTGGTCTTGAACTTCTGACCACCAGTGAACCACCTGCCTCGGCCTCCCAAAGTGCTGGGATTACAGGCATGAGCCACCACACCCAGCCTGGTCACATGTTTAATATCAGCTTGTCTTATGTGAGTAATGAGGACAAAATTACTACTCAGTATGGCGCAAAGATTTTTAAAAAGTATGACCTTTAAACCCTAATGAAAAACAGGTTTGATCTGGTGCTTCATTTAAAATAATACGTTGAACAGAACATTGGTTTTGCTAACAATGGAGGTTAAAACTCGTACTAAATGACATTTTAAAATATATACCATCAATAAATATGTACTTAGGCTACTAAATCTTTTACATTTTACATGAAGATTGTATGTTTACCATAAATCTCTACTCTGAAATGTTCTGCCTGCAGAGGTTGGAATTTTAGAGTTGATAATTACAAAGAGTAAGTCAAGTTTTTATCTTTTAATCTGAAATAACCAGAATGATGGTTATTCCCCTCACAAGAAATTCCCACCATTGTTTAGATGGTTGTTCAGGTTTTGGTCTTCAGTTGGGTACTTTTAAGACAGACCTTACCTGTGACTCTTGGAATTTTTCAGTTCCATTTGGTAATTCAGAAACATCATGTGACCAGTGACTTTTCAGTGCTTTTGGAAGGATATTGGCCACTTTATCAGCTTTATACACACAAAGTGCCCATTTTACCGTCGTTTCCATTTTTGCATTTTGCTGAGGACTTATGTTTTTGGTGGCACCCTGTCTGCCTTCTACATCCATTTCTTCCTCACCAGCCTTAAAACGGAGACGATAGGGAAAGGGATGAGAGCCTCCCTGGATATCATTTTTCTTTATGGCTGGAGAAAAAAGAAGTCTACCACCTTTATCTCTCTTCTCAGGCTTTTGGGAAGTGAGGAGGAACAGTCCTGCCCCAAAGCCAGGTGAGATTTGAGGCCAGTGGTTCCCTTGAGCATTTCTCCAGTACCTGTGGAAGAGTCTCACCTTCTCTTGTTCCCACATCTGTGCATCCCCTTGTTCTGCCCCTATCCTTGAAAGCAGTTGATGGGGCTCCTATATCCTTATGGCCTGGCTTATTAGAGCCTTCCAGAAGAAAAGTTTGTGTTTTTGTTTTTTTGTTGTTTTTTTTTTTAAGATGGAGACTTGCTCTGTGGCCCAGGCTGGAGTGCAGTGACGGAATCTTGGCTCACTGCAACCTCTGCCTCCCAGGTCAAAGTGATTCTCCTGCCTCAGCCTCCCAAGTAGCTGGGACTACAGGTGCCCGCCACCGCACCCAGCTACCAGAAGAAAACTTTCACACAGCCTACCTAAGCTTATGTTCAAGAGTCTCTCTTGAAATCCAGGAAGAGGCTGATATTCCAAGAGTGATTTAATTGTGGGATCCTCCTGAAGCAGATGAATAGGAACAGCTATTTAAATTGATGTAATTTTATTATGACCTCCTTCACAGTGGTTTTCAGGTAACCCTGCTTTCTTAGTTAATAATGAGGTTCTGTGACCCAGGTAACCTTGATGCACAGATGAGATAATGTGGGGATTCACTGATGCAAAATCAGAGGCAATCCTTTCATAAGTAGAGGTGCCTCTGGCCCCAGTTGTTTAGATCTCCTTTGGCCAAAAAAAAAAAAAAAAAAAAAAAAAAAAAAAAAAAAAAAAAAGGATGTCCCATTCTGACATTGGAGAGATTTTTTTTTTTTTTTTTGAGAAGGAGTTTTGCTCTTGTTGCCCAGGCTGGAGTGCAATGGCACGATCTCGGCTCACTGCAACCTCCACCTCCTGGATTCAAGCGATTCTCTTGCCTCAGCCTCCTAAGTAGCTGGGATTACAGGCATGTGCCACCATGCCCAGCTAATTTTTGTATTTTTAGTAGAGACAGGGTTTCACTATGTTGGTCGGGCTGGTCTAGAACTCCTGACCTCAGGTGATCCACCCGCCTCGACCTCCCAAAATACTAAGATTACATGCGTGAGCCACTGCGCCCGGTGAGAGATTCTTAATCTTGGAAAACTGTTTTGCCAACGGAGAAAATAATCCTAATTTATTCTTTAGTGCAAATTGGAAAATGCTTAATAATTTGGCTTTGAAGCACAAACTTTAATCATGCTGTCGGTATTTTCCAGTATTACATGATTGATAGTTAATTTCTATAGCTCTATTCATGTAGACCCTCGAATAATTATATCCTTATATTTCATGTTAAGCTAATAATATGAGGAAAACAGTTTTAAACATCAGGCCTGTATTTTTCATTTTCTTCTTAAGATAGCACATTGCAACAGTTTTGTTAGTGTTCAGTGGTCTGGAAGGTATTTTGGAGCACGCTTTGTACAGTGGAACATTAATAGATATGTTGTTTTGTAAACAGGCATTTGTAACGCTATAATTATTATCATGAATTTTATTTTTTGGTATCTTAATTCTATTGTTGATGTTAGCATTGGAATAAAATGAAAAAAGAGTCTGTGGTAATGACCGTGACTATTTTGGGCACTTAGGAACCTGTTTTGTTCACTGGAACAATGAGGAAAAACCTGGATCCCTTTAATGAGCACACGGATGAGGAACTGTGGAATGCCTTACAAGAGGTAATTGATAAAATGTAATTATCTTTAGTCTGTTAGCCTCAGTATGTGTATATGTACCTTTACAGCATTGCAGGAAATTAAGAGGAGCTTAGCGGTTTAACTAACTTTGTTCACCACCCAGGAGATCATTGAGGATGTGGATATGCTATAATGTGTATACTGATGATGATGAAAACCAAAAATAAAATTTCCCTGGTTCTCATTTTAATTTTCTTCCTGTTGTCCAAAACAGTTTGGTGTTGTTTTATTTGTCTTTAGCAATGCGTTAAACTAGAAGTTGTATTTATGAGTTGAGATCCTATTAGTGACTAAGTTACTCTGCACCATTTATTTTACTGCTCTGTTCTTAGGGAATTTCTAGTAAGGGAAGACCATAGTCGTTTTTCATTAACTAAAAGATAGATCATATTTATGAAATGCTTTAAGTTTTATAAGAAAGTGTTTATAAAGGTAAATTATACAGTTGGAATGGGATAATAATTATTTATTGGCAAACGTGTAATTTTAATGCAGATAACAGAACCCTGCAGCCTCTGCTAAGGTTTTATACTAATATGTTGATTTCTAGAGGATTTTTCTATTATTTATGTGGTTCCTGTTGGGCCACTTCTTGAAATTTTCTCACCCTTGCATGAAAAAAGGACTTTGACTATTAAGGTGCTGTTGGTTTGTGTATTTTAACACTGATTTTCTGTGTTCAGTCTAGTTCTGCAAATTTGTGCCAGTCTACTTGATGGCAGAAACCATATCATAAAACTGGTAATCCCTCACAGGACCTAGTTTAGTCTTTTGCTTTTAAAAAGTAAGCATTTAAGGCTGGGTGCAGCGGTTGATGCCTGTAATCCCAGCACTTTGGAAGTCTGAGGTGGGTGAATCACTGGAGGTCAGAAGTTTGAGACCAGCCTGACCAACATGGTGAAACCCCATTTCTACTAAAAATACAGAGATTAGCTGGGTATGGTGGTGTGCGCCTGTAGTCCCAGCTACTCAGGAGGCTGAGACAAGAGAATTGCTTGAACCTGGGAGGCCAAGGTTGCAGTGAGCCGAGATCGTGCCACTGCACTCCCATCTGGGCGACAGAGCAAGACTCCGTCTCAAAATAAATAAATAAATAAATAAAAATAAAAATTGGCCAGGCCCGGTGGCTCATGCCTGTAATCCCAGCACTTTGGGAGGCTGAGGCGGATGGATCACGAGGTCAGGAGTTCCAGACCAGCCTGGCCAACTTGGTGAAACCCTGTGTCTACTAAAAATACCAAAATTAGCCAGACGTGGTGGTGCGCATCTGTAGCCCCAGCTACTCAGGAGGCTGAGGCAGGAGAATTGCTTGAACCTGGGAGGCGGAGGTTGTGGTGAGCCAACATTGTGCCACTGCACTCCAGCCTAGGCAACAAGAGTGAAACTCCATCCCAAAATAAATAATAAATATTAAAAGTTAAAAAAAAGTAAGCATTTAATAAGTATGTATTAATATGTTTGATCTCTTCATTTCAAAGAAGTGTGGAGCCTGGACAACATGGTGGACTTTGTCTCTACTAAAAATAAAAAAAAAAAAAGAATTAGCCAGATGTGGTGGCATGCACCTGTAGTCCCAGCTACTCAGGGAGTTGAGGTGGGAGGATCTTGTGAGCCCTGGAGGTCGAGGCTGCAGTGAGCCATGATTGCACCACTGCACTCCAGCCTGAGTGACAGAGATTAATTTCCCTCCATTGTTATTGTTGTTGTTTTGAATTGGTGCATTTGTCATTGTTGCCCTTCCAGGGATAGCTCTGAAATCTTTAATTTATAGATGGGTTTTGACTGTGAGCAAGTAGACTTGGAGGCCTGACAGTTTCCTGCCAGTAATTCTTGTTTCTGAAGGCATGTCATTGCCGAGTCCTTACACACCCACCCTGCTTTCCAGCAACTGTGGGGATTTTCTTTTTCTAAATTAGGTCGATTACTTCACCTCCTGATACTTGATAAGCAATTGACCTCTGATTTCATTTAAATTTGTGAATCTCTGTACAGTGAAATTCTAGGAGAGAAGAGGTGGGTACAGTTAACTGTCAAATGTAAAGAAAGATAAGGCAATCCTGTGCCCCTAAACTCTCAGGACAGGTTTAATAGTGAAATTGTGACACACCCTAAAAGAACAAGAATTACTCATAAAGTGTTTTTCTATTTGTTTCAGAGCTTGAGATTCCTTGTCACAGATTCTCAGAGAGCAAAAGTACTTTTTAGAAACACATTTCTCTATGAACAGTGAAGAAATGTTAATTGGGAGATGATCCTATCAAAAACCATCATGGAACTTGACTGTAACTCATACTTATTTCATTTGTTATAGCCAAAATTAAAATAAAATTTAGTAGCCTCTCAAGAATTCTAGAAATGATGAGGTGGAAGACGTGGTAGGTCCCCCTCAGAAGTGAAAAATTATCCCATCATTGTCTTTCTCTGGGAACTACTTCTTTATGGCATTGTAGGTTTTTCTGTGAATGATTTGGAAGAGTTACTAAAAATTAGGGTACAACATTGTATTTCCAGTGTGATTCCAGCTGTTTTTAATCATTCTTATATTCTGACACCTGACCTAAGAAAGACACCAGAGCATTTACATTGCTCGTTTGGGGGTAATGAGACAAAGACTGGAGGAGAGTGTTTTCTTTTCTCTACAGTTTTCCTGGATTTTCCAAATTTCCTTCTGGGTGCTTGTATTCTTTTTACCTTCTAGATGGTCAGGGGAAAGGCTGAGCACTCCTAACAAATGAAGCATTGTGAGTTTTTCACAACAAGTTTCATGACTACAAGTTGATGGAGGCTGGGGGCATTCTGATAGGTCAGGAATTCTTCCCCTGGGGTCCGTGGAGTCTGAGGGTCTTCTCGTAGAGAATTCCAAATCTTACTTCCTGGTGATTGTAAACGTGAAGTTATGTGTGTGTGTTTATCTTGAGAGATACCACACAAGGGATTCAGCACCACGACTCTGGTGCCATTCAAGTTTCTCTGGACTTCTCTGTCACATTCTGTCTCTCTGCTGTCTCCATGGTTTTCATCTTTCATTGATATCCAGTTCAGAACTGGATAACTCATCTTGCTCTTTAGTAGGAAACCTGGTGTCATTTGGAAACCCCCTTTAAAGCAGACAAAAAACATAGTCACTTGGTTTATAAATGAGGCCAAACTGGAAATGGGAACCCAAACTCAGAGGGTTGGCTTGAGATTAGGACAGCACTGTCAGTTTTTTCCTCTTTAACCACTTAAAAGGTGGTTTAACCACATAAAAAGGAAAGATGCCTTTTATTTCTTGGAAGTTTTTTTTATTTCTTCTTACCCATGATCCCTTGGAAAGGGTAATACCTGACATGCAAAAGAAGTTCGGGCATCTGGAGGGAGACAGTCCTATGGATGTGGTTGTGTCATCTTGGTTATTTTTTTATTTATTTATTTTTATTTATTTATTTATTTATTTGAGACAGAGTCTCACTCTGTCATCCAGGTTGGAATGCGGTGGCACAGTCTCGGCTCACTGCAACCTCCGCCTCCCGGGTCCAAGCGATTCTCCTGCCTCAGCCTCCCGAGTAGCTGTGATTACAGGTGCCTGCCACCATGCCGGCTACTCTTTTTGTATTTTTAGTAGAGACGGGGTTTCACCATGTTGGCCAGGCTGGTCTCAAACCCCTGACCTCGTGATCCACCTGCTTCAGCCTCCCAAAGTGCTGGGATTACAGGCGTGAGCCACCGCGCCTGGCCTATTTTTATTTATTTATTTATTTTTTTAGACAGAGTCTTGCTCTGTCGCCCAGGCTGGAGTGCAGTGGTGCAATCTCAGCTCACTGCAAACTCTACCTCCTGGGTTCAAGTGATTCTCCTGCCTCAGCCTCCCAGGTAGCTAGGATTAAAGGCAAGCCCCACCATGCCTGGCTAATTTTTGTATTTTTAGTAGAGACAGGGTTTTGCCATGTTGGCCACACTGGTCTCAAACTCCTGACCTCAAGTGATCTGCCTGTCTCGGCCTCCCAGAGTGCTGGGATTACAGGCGTGAGCCACCACACCCTGCTCGTTTTTTGGGGTTTCTTTTCTAATGCTGAAAGTTATCGTAAATACTGAAAAATAGTCAGCTGTAAATGGAAGAAAGTTTACTAGAATTAGTGCCACTTCGGGCCCCTAAATAAGAGCAACTCTGTAAATATAACGTAAGTAATGATTAAAGATGGAAGTCGTTTATGAGAAAAAAGTCAAAAGATCACACAGTAGGTACAACTAAGAAAATGAATCAGCAGCACGTTATTTCTGTTAATTAAAAAACGACTTTAATACTGGGATCTACAATTAAGACTAGGTTATATCATGTTGGAATAGTGGAGAAATTATCTAATCATGTTCAACATTGATAGAATTGCTGTTAGAATACAAGGATGTCTTGTATTCAGGACACCATAAGACAGAAATCTGCACATCAGCAGTGTCCACATCCTCTGGGCCTTCTATTCCCCACACCTTGCACCTCCATTTTTCCCAGGCCTGTATTGCCCAGAATGGGCTTCCGCTCGCTTCGTTCACACTTAGCTGTGTTCTTGTTAAAGGTTGTTCCCATCTGTTGAGTTGCTGTTTATCACATTTCAGTCTCTGGCATCAGAGACTTCCTTTATGAAAAGTCAGAAAGTTCAAAGAAACATGGAAACAGAATCTGACATCCACATGAGTCTCTTTGAGGCTTTGAAAACATTTATGATGATAGAAATGGGCTGTCTTAGAAAGTTCAGTTCATTATTTTCACTTTTCCTGTAGTTTCCTATTTTTTCTAAGCTTCAAAATAACCTGATACATTGTGTTTGAAATGTATAGTTTCAAATAGTATGATTTGATTTTGTTTTCCTGAAATTACAACCTTTATTAAATGTAGAAAACATTAAGTTTTCTATATTTTAAAGTATAATGTTATGATATCTTGGAGCCAATTAATTTTATAAGGACTGTTTCTTTTACAATGACATTTAGTAAGAAAATTGTATGTAAATTCTATTTCTTTGTGGATTTACTTTGTAATTTATAAGAATAGACATGTCACAAAATGAGGTATCCTTGTGACTTCATACATTCAACAGATTATGTGTGGGGAGGTTTTTACATAGGCATTGTAGACTCTGGAGCTATAGCAGTCATCAAGAGAGATAAAATCCCTACCCTCTTAGGGCACAAATTCTTGTATGGAAGATAGAAAATAAGAAAATGCATATGTAATATAATATTAGGTACTGGTAAATGCAGTGAAGAAAACTACAGCAGTGCATGAAAAGAACTAGCTGACTGCATTATTAAAAATAGGCGGCTGGGCGTAGTGGCTCACGCCTGTAATCCCAGCACTTTGGGAGGCCGAGGCGGGTGGATCACGAGGTCAGGAGATCGAGACCATCCTGGCCAATATGGTGAAACCCCATCTATACTAAAAATACAAAAACAAAATTAGCCAGGTGTGGTGGTATGCACCTGTAGTCCCAGCTACTCGGGAGGCTGAGGCAGGAGAATCGCTTGAACCTGGGAGGCAGAGATTGCAGTGAGCTGAGATCGCACCACTGCACTCCAACCTGGGTGACAGAGCAAGAATCCACCTCAAAAAAAAAAAAAAAAAAAAAGAATAGGCAGTATTTCATTGTCCAGGAAGGAGCAAAATAAACAAAAAGAATAGATATTATCTATTGATCTCTTACTTGGTACCAAGCACTATTGTAAATGCTACACATACTGACTGATTTTATACTCCAACAATTTTAGGAGATAAACATCTTCAAAATAATCTTAGTATGGTCTTATTTACAAGTTAATTAGGAAGCTAAGATAGAGAAAGTTCAGGAACTTGCCCAGTTGGCAGAGCCAGGCAGGACTCATACCCATGCTGTGTGTCTTCAAGGCTCCATTTTTTTATTTTAAAATGTCCAAATCACAGAACAGTCAAATGAATAGTATTATGAACATACACATACCCTTCTCCAAGATTCACCATTTGTTAATACGGTATTTTGCTACATTTGCTTCCTCTCTTATAGCCCTTGAAAGTAAGTTGCAGACATTTCCATGAAGTTGCAGTTCATCCTTAAATATGTATGTGTACCTCCTAAGAACAAGAACATTCAACTACATGACATAATACAGTTATTTACCTCACTGAAGAAATTGAAGAGTAATGTAATACCATTGTTTAATATATTTTCAATTTCCCCAGTTGTCACTCTTAGTCACTGTGTTCCACTGCCTCCATTGTCTTTTTCTCAGTGCTAATACTTAACCATAACTTGAATGTATGATAACACTACAGAGGGCCTTCACATTCATATCTTTTTTTTTTAATTGAGACAGAGTCTTACTCTGTCACTCAGGCTAGAGTGCAGTGGCGCGATCTTGGCTTATTGCAACCTCCGCCTCCCTGGTTCAAGCAATTCTCCTGCCTCAGCCTCCTAATGGGATTACAAGTGCCCGCCACCATGCCCAGCTAATTTTTTTTGTATTATTAGTAGAGATGGGATTTCACCATGTTGGCCAGGCTGGTCTCGAACTCCTGACCTCAGATGATCTGCCTGCCCCAGCCTCCCAAAGTGCTGGGATTACAGGCATGAGCCACTGTACTTGGCCATACATTCATATCATTCTCATAACCATCCCCGATTCAATCATGATGACAGAGTCTCAGAAGACACTGTTATCTGGGAAATGTGTTCATTATTCTTCACCTCACAACCCTATTCTTCATCAAGTCAATGTGGATAACCTCAAGGAGGGTCAAAACCCAGAAGAATGATGGGTTGGCCCCTTAATCAAGGGCAAGTGTGAGATTATTTCTTCAAATCTGGCTGCCGGTCTTAGAAAAGACCTTTTTGCACTTACCAGTATTATCAAAATCAACTCAGAAGGAAAAGCTAATAAAAACTTTGCTAACATCTACTTTTGATCAGTTCCATCACATGGGGTATAGGTCTGTGAGTATGTTTCATAAAAAGATTACTCAGCAAGTCCTCTTCTTTGTAATGGAGAGGGTTTGACTAAGCTGACATATTCCATCCTATAATTTTCAGGGTAACATTTTGCACCACGAGCCAAATCTTACACTTCGGATTTTAATTTCCTACCTTGCATGCTAATGCCAAATATCAATACCATATTTAATCTTAACTCAAAATTCCTGTTTCTTGGAGTTGGACTTCCATCATGAGTACAACTCAAGATCACATTCATAGAAGTGTGCTTCCGTGTTTAAGGTACATGACAATGTTACCCGTTTACTCTTGGCTTTTTGTTGTTGGGCATTGTAGTTCTGTACACCTGCTTATTGGCCATCACTCATCTATCTGCTTGCTGATCTCTTAATTGGAGATGTATTGACTCTTGGTTCCTCTATAGCTCTCAAATGTCACCTGAGTTTGGCTCTTGTTCTATAAAATTTC
Source organism: Homo sapiens (assembly GCF_000001405.40). NCBI lineage: Eukaryota > Metazoa > Chordata > Mammalia > Primates > Hominidae > Homo > Homo sapiens. The sequence goes on along the minus strand of NC_000013.11, from coordinate 95,045,673 downwards.
TCCAAAACAAACATCAGTGAACTGAACCACCACCCAATGTAGTATCAGATCATCTTATAGCTACAATTTTATAAAGATACATTAATATCAACATCATCTATCCCCGTCGTCTGGGGCAAGATGTTATATTGTGTCCTGTTTTTTTGTGAGTTTTCATTCACTGCAAAACATTTATTAGACTGTAGAAAATGTACTGACCTACTTTATAGCCATAGGGGCTTAAACTTGGGAAAGGACCAGCCCAAGAATAAGCTCCTGATTTCCTAACAAATGAGGCACAGTTTCCCATTGTTTGCATTTGTATTTTTTTAACTTTTCCAGTTGATTAAAAAACCTTCCAAAATGGTAAAGTGCCTATAAGATGATATCTTTGGAGGACCATACTTCCTGCAGTAATTTTCTTTTTAAATTTTCCCTTGAGTTATACTCACTCGTCTCCAAAATGTGCTTTGGGAAACTTGACTCAACCAGAAAGATCCTTTCACCTTTTCTTCAGACTCTATATTGGGAGCATGAGCTTCATTTTTTGAGAAACTTCCTTCCCTACCTGGAAGAGGGGTTCTTGTTGGCTGTCATGTTGGTTATTGGTAAGGGAGTTCAGGTGCTGGGGGACACTGATATGATTTTTTTCCAACAACTCTATTGAGGTCTAATTTGCATAGCAGAAAATGCTCCCCTTAGAAGTGATTCAGTGATTTTGGTAAATTTATAGAGTTGTGCAGTCATTGCAGGAATCCAGTTTTAAAACATCTCTCTTACCCCAAGAAATTTCCTTGTGTCCATTTACAGTTAATCCTCCAGCCCCTTGGCAACCATCACTCTTATTGTCTCTCTAAATTTCTGTAATCTTTTAACTAAAAAGAAGGGAATTTTTTTTATCTTTCTGTATTTTACCTACAGAATACTTTTATTGATCATACTGTGTTTTTCTTAATGAAATTGGCCCAGGCAGTATTAACACGTGACCCTGCATGAACAGACTGTGTTTGCTGATGGTGATAAAGGAGCATCTTGGGTTCCATTGTTTGTTCTCTTAAGTCAGAATATTTCCGTTTTGTGTTGACTCTACCATCTTTCTCATTGAACATTAACTAGAGGTAATTCAGCCTCATGTGTGTGTCCACTTAAGTTATATCTCTCGAGAGAAGGGACTTGAAGGTTCTAATGTCTATGAGGCTTGACTACTTCCATAGCGGCTTGAATGATAGCAGTCATTCTTCTTTGTACATCTACAGGTACAACTTAAAGAAACCATTGAAGATCTTCCTGGTAAAATGGATACTGAATTAGCAGAATCAGGATCCAATTTTAGTGTTGGACAAAGACAACTGGTGTGCCTTGCCAGGGCAATTCTCAGGAAAAATCAGATATTGATTATTGATGAAGCGACGGCAAATGTGGATCCAAGGTATAAAGCTGAGGTCCATGTAACCTTGAGTCCACATTTTAAGTGTGTAAATGGGAAACATGGAATGATTCTGAGAAATATTTCTAAGTGCTCTGTTTGCCCCAGACATAACATTTTAACATGGATAAATTCATTCTGAAAAAAAAAGAAGAAACCCAAACGTGTTTTCCAGTGTCAGAGATATTATTCAGTATCCCAGGAGAGCTAGATTCCTAAAATCCACTCCCAATAATCAGCTTTAAGCAATTTGGAGGGAAGACATTTTTCGTTGTTTTATGAAAATTAGTAAATTACTACATAGATTTTTATACTTGTTTTTAAAGAATAAGATTGTCCTAAAACATTTTAACATGATTTTTAAAACATTAAATAGATATGATCTTTTTTTTTTAAATCTCTATTGTGAAGTAGAGCTTTTTAAGTCTTAAGTCTACTTTTTGCATCTTTACGAAATTAAACTTAACTTCTTTGATTGCAGAACTGATGAGTTAATACAAAAAAAAATCCGGGAGAAATTTGCCCACTGCACCGTGCTAACCATTGCACACAGATTGAACACCATTATTGACAGCGACAAGATAATGGTGAGTCCTTCACCTGCGGAATTCCTGTTGCTCCCAATTATGTTCACTTTTTCAGTTTATTCCTTCCTTGTAAAACTTGATAGAAACCCCTAGTAAGTTAATTTTCTGTTAATTTTGGCTCTCTTCCCAGCAGTAATTCATATGCTTAACTACACCCTCAGTGCTACTAACAATATATCCAATGTATCTCTTTGCATATAATCATATGCAAAAATCATATGTTAAAAGTTTACCATGAAAATATTCCAAATCTAAGATTCAGCTTGTGATGCTAACTGTCATACTACGGAGTAGTATCCAATAGAAGATCACAGTCATTGTCACTGTCACAGTTGTTTCAGCATGCTTGATCCCCTTAATGAAAGATTTAGGTTTTTATATACTGCAAGGGGCTTGTTGGGTAAGGTTGCAGAACTTCTATGCTGTTGGGACGTTCACAAGATACGTGTCACAGGGGAAGAGATGAGAAGATCCATCACAAATTATTTTCAGAGAGGGCCTAGCCAGAAAAACAAATGATTCCAACAGAAAGGATTTAACATAGGAAATTTGTTACATAAGAATTGGAGGGCTTAGAAAATGAAGGGAAACAGTGATAATTTTAGGAAGCAAGGCCAGGCACGGTGGCTCATGCCTGTAATCTCAGCACTTTAGGAGGCCGAGGCAGGCAGATTACTTGAGGTCAGGAGTTCGAGACCAGCCTGGCCAACGTGGGGAAACCCTGTCTCTACTAATAATACAAAGATTACCTGGATGTGGTGGCAGGCGCCTGTAGTCTAAATGTATCATATAGACTTCTTGTTGGGATTTGCTGTTACCGCATTGGTGATAGCTACTCCTTTTATTATCTAATGCTTGGAAGTGCTGTCAACTTAGAAGGTCTGATTAGTTAGAGAGACAGCAAGCAAGGACAGAACTTGGCAGACAAGTCAGTTGGTCACTCCTAAATCTGATCAATCAGCTTCTGACCACATAAATGTCTAGTTCACAAGCATCTTCTTGATCCATCAGCGCTGTTACCATTATTGAAGTGTGCCCATTAGTTTATTGCTTTATATACCAGTCCCTCTAGGTAGATTTTGAGAACCTTAATTTTTTTCTCTCTTGAGTAATGTCTTTATCTAAACTCTGAACATGGTTCTACAAAGCAATTTACAGTTGGCCCCTCCCTACCTTTCTAGCCTTTCCTCCCTCTGTTCTCTCTCTTTCCTTTGCAGTAAAAGCCACAGTCCTTTAGTTATTGTCCTTCAGTTCATCAAACGCAGCATTCACTGTTGCGGTCATGCCCTCTCTACACCATGCACAATGGCGGCTTAGACTATGGTGTGAGCAGTGAAGATGGTGCAATGGATAGATTTGGAGTAAATAGCAAAGTAAAGCAACTGGACTGTGATGGATTGAATGTGAGATTTGAGGGAAGACAGGGGTAGTCAGTCCTGGTTTCTCTGTTTGGGACCTGACTATCTGGATGAATGAGGAAGACCCGGAAGAAGTAAACTTGGAGGAGGGAAAGGCAAGCATTCCCTTGGAGGATGTAACTGTTGAGATGACCTTGCATTTCAACATGGAGCTTTCCTTCTCACTCCCAACTCCATTAGTGTCTCCATCTATGGCGATCTCTCCAATGATATTGGGAGAGCTTCCATTTAGGGCTCCCTGGCCACGAGGTCATCAGTGGCATCACAGGAGGTCCTACCAGGAGGTATAAATTTAAGTAAGGAGTCTTATTACAAGCTCTGAATTCTTTGTGAGAACTATTTTCCAATTTTTCTTAACAGGCAGTGGCAGGATTCAGCCTCAGGGAACCCAGGAGACATGCATTCTGTAGCTTGAGATTGGGAACTGGCCTCTATGTTCCCTCAACCCCTAGCTGAAAGCATCTCCTGTATTCTAGAGCTTCTGATCATCAGCCAGCTTTCAATTCGGGGGAACACCATAAATACCATTCTTCCTCAGATCTTTGATTTTGGAGGTGTTTTGTTTTTTTTGTTTGTTTGTTTTTTCCCCTTGTTTGCTTTAGAGATACCGTTCCAGAAAACACATGTTCTGTTCTGTTATTCTGAAAGCTGTGAAAACATAGAGACAAGTGAATCAGCTGCAAAGCTCAGCACTCCAAAAGGCAGGCTCAGGGAGTGGCTGGGGAAGTGACAGATGTTAATGAAGGACATAACCAACACTATTGTCATCATGCAGTCCTGTAATTGCAAGTGCTTAAGGTGTAATAATTACGTTTTGTTGCATTGGTGAATACTTCTCCACAAAGACGGATAGATATAGTTTTGTTTACTGTAAGTAAATCAAACAAAAAGCTTGTTGGGAAACAACTGCGACCTAATTAATAGCTTTGTTTATGTGTTGACTCTCCAAAGGGATTTACCCAGTTTTGGTTCATTAAGCGCCATCAATGTGTTAAGCTTAGAATTTTATTTTATGAAGATGTTCTCCCAGTTTTAACTTTATTAAACATGGTGTAGTCTTAATGACAGCTAATTTAATCTTCATTTGCTCAGTTGCCACAAAACAGTAGAGCAAGACAGACAAATTAGAAATCCTCTTTTTTCTAATACGCACCACTATCTCCACATTAAAGACAGCTTCCTCCCTGTAGTTTTTAGGATTAGCTGGTTACTTGTGACCTGTTTTCCTTTCAGCCAATAGCACAGCCTTTTCCTCCAGTCCCTGCACACCCGTCCTTACAACGCTCTGGATTCTCCCTGGTAGTGTGAGTGAACGAGGAATAAGCGAATCTGCAGTTAGAGAATTCTTCGGGAGTGAATTACAGAGAAGCAAAACCAGGCCTGAGAAATTCAGATTGTAGCTCTTT